>NC_000008.11:142057857-142359935 GCF_000001405.40 Homo sapiens | reverse complement strand
CTGGGTGCTGACCCCTCCTCCTGGCAGGGCAGCTATGCCAGCTGTGATTGGCAGTGTGCTCCTGCTGGGACAGGAGTGGCATGCTGTGGCCAGGGTGTCTGAGGCCTTCTGGCATGTTTCATGCCCTGCACTGACGGCTGGCTGACCCCGGGCCTTAGTGTCCTCTTCTTGAATGGGGTTATAAGTCCTGCCTCACAAGTGTCGTGAGGATCAGCATTGCTCACACAGGTGAGGCACCTGGCCAGTGCCTGCTGAGCAGGTGCAGGTGAGGCAGGCGGGCTCTGGGTGGCCTGGGGCCAGTCAGATTCTCTTTTGGAGATTTCCCTGGCTCCCCCGTGAATGGGTTGCATGAGAGAACCTCCTCATGGACTTGTGTGGCATCCAGCGACGTGAGCGGTGCCGTGTCTAAGGACACTGGCTCAGCACCTGTGAGGGCTGGGCTTCTTGTTCTTTCCTCCCTCAGTGAAGGGTGGACCAATCCTGTGGGGGTTCTTGATTAGGGACAGGAGACAGGGTTTCCGATCTGGCCTGCTGGGATGTGCTGAGGTCAGGGCAGGGCTGGGGTGATGATGCACTGGACCGGGCCAGCGTGGGTGAGGACGGCTCCAGCGGGCGTGCAGCCTCCCTCAGGCAGGGAACAGGTGGGCATCTGCATCTTATGGAGCATGGCGTTGCTCGGCCTGACGTGTGGTAAGCATCGGGCTCTGAGGTCAGGTGTGGGCAGGAAGGTCAGGATGGGAGCACCTGGCTGGCCCGGTGGGACAGCTGGGTTGAGAAGTGGGGGCATGAGCTGGTTGCGGGGTGGAGGAGCAGGGGCAGCATGGGGGAAGCCGAGTAACAGCCTGGGTGAAGGCACAGAGGTGGGAGGCAGCCTGGGTGAAACAGGCAGAACCCCCAGTGAGCAAGGGTGTGGGGCAGGGGCGCAGCAAGAGCTGAGGCTGGGGCAGGACAGGGCCCAGCTCCCAGAGACCTTGGGTGCCGGTGTGGGCACAGGGGCCACTGTGGGCTGGGGCAGGACTGGAGAGGGCTGGGCCAGCGCAGGATGGGGGTTGAGTCGGACACTGGAGGGAAGTGGAAGCGTGGGGCACCTGGGGGGTTTGGGTTGGTACAGCTCAGTACCCCATGGCCCCTTGTGGTCTCCCAGCGATGGGGGGGTTGCACCCACTGGATTCCAGGTGTCCCCAGGGGCCCAGAGTGGCTTGCTGGGCGGGGCCGTGAATAGGCAGAAGACATGTGCTGCCATTTCGTGTTTCCAGACTGGCCTCCTCTGCCTGCGGTGACTCGGTGGCCCTGACCGTGGGTTAGCCTTTGTCCCTGAGCTGGCTGAGCAAACACAGAGGTGTTTCATGTTTCCATATGCAGCGAAATGAAATTGTGAGTTTGGTCAGGTGGTCTCTTTGGTGGCGGTGGAGCAGCTCACAAATCTTCACTCCCCTCCATGTGCCTGGCCGGAGCAGAGGGGAGTTGGGCAGCCTTCCAGTCCCCCCAGGGGCCCCAGCTCTGATTCAGCTCAGCTCTTTCAGACTTGAATCCCTTCCCTCCTCCCATGAGCGTTCCTACCTCTCATGAGCCCTCCTCAAGCTTCCTGTGCTCCTCCTTGTCCTGAAACCTAGCAGACCCTGCCGCCCTTTGCAGTGATGGCCGCTGGCTGCTCCCCTTGTCCTGAAACCCAGCAGACCCCGCCGCCCTTTGCAGTGATGGCCGCTGGCTGCTCCCCTTGTCCTGAAACCCAGCAGACCCCGCCGCCCTTTGCAGTGATGGCCGCTGGCTGTTCCCCTTGTCCTGAAACCCAGCAGACCCTGCCGCCCTTTGCAGTGATGGCCGCTGGCTGTTCCCCTTGTCCTGAAACCCAGCAGACCCCGCCGCCCTTTGCAGTGATGGCCGCTGGCTGCTCCCCTTGTCCTGAAACCCAGCAGACCCCGCCGCCCTTTGCAGTGATGGCCGCTGGCTGCTCCCCTTGTCCTGAAACCCAGCAGACCCCGCCGCCCTTTGCAGTGATGGCCGCTGGCCGCCCCCTCCTCTCATGGAGCCTCCGCCGTGGCTTTCGTGGCCTCTGGTTAACATCCCCCTGACTCGTCCCCATCTCCTGTGTTGTCTGTGGGGCCCTCTCCTCTCTCCGTGGTGGCTTCTCTCCCTGGGAGTTCTCTTCCTTAACAACTGTCCCTACACAGTGGACTCGCGTTCTGCATGTAGCCCCACCTCCAGGGCTTTGGGTATCTGCCTGCCTGTGCCAGCCCCTCTGGGCTCATCCCTGCACACGGCTCCCCTCACTTTCTGGCACGAGGAAGTCAAAGCACTGTCCGTGTGCCTTCTGGGCCAGAACTTAGGACTTGTCCTTGACTCTCCCTGGGTTCCGTGCCAATCCCTAGCTCCACCCTCCTCCCTCCCGGGCCCTGGTTCCTGCCGCCACCTGCTCACTGCCCTGCCAGCCCCTCACGTGCCCCCAGCAGCTTGCTCCCAATCCTGAAGTAGAGGGAGCTCCCCAAACACAAGTCTTGTGTCAGGCCTGGCTGGCCCCACCAGCGCCCCACCATCATTTGAGGTGATGGCAAGTAGTGCCCTGTGCTCAGAGCCCCCTTGAGCCGCTTCCTTGGGACTGCTGGACCCTCCCCACCTGGGGTTTGAGTGCCCCTCCCCGAGTTCTCTGAAAGCCTGTGCAGCAGCCCTCACCCAAGACGGCTTGTGCTCTTGAGGTCTCACGGGGCGTGAGGGGCCCCTAACCAGCTCGAGTGAGCTCTGGCTGGGATCAGTGTGAATGCTGTTCCTGACGATTCTCTTCCCCTGGCCCTCCTGTCCTTCTTTCTGGAACTCTCCTTCCTCGGATGGAGAAGTGCCTGTGCAGGGCTGGTGGTTTCCTCTGACTCTGCGGTGTCTTCGTGCTCTGGTTTCTGGAGGCCCCCGCTCTGCCTGCCCCTTCTCTGGAGCTCTTTGCTGCTGCTCCCAATGTTGGCTTCTCGGTGCTCCTCTGTGTTCTCTGAAAGTCCCTTTCTTGGCGTCCCCCCTTCCTGTCCTGGGGCTGTTAACACAGCCTTTGTTATCTGAGCTCGTTCCTTTGAGGGCAGTACAGAGAACTCAGGTGTTGGAACCAGACTGCCCGAGCCTGAAACCTTCTCCACCACTTAGCAGCTGGGGGACCTTGGGCAAGTTACCTCACCTCTCCATGCCTCAGTTTCCTCAGCTGCAAGGTAAAGATGCTTGTGGCCCCAGCTTAGAGGGTTGTGAGGATGAATCTGCGCGTGTAGTAAAGCGCCTCTGTGATTGTCGTCACGCGCCAAGTGTTAAGGAAGTGCTAGCTGCTATGCTGTTACGTGTTAAAGTTTTCTCTCTGGATAGTGTCTGTTTCCTCCACGCTGTGTTTCCCCCATGTGTCTTGGGCTGTCTTCCACATCTGAGCTTTTCCCGATGAGGCCCCGGCACATGTGCAGAGCTCTCTGCTCGCTGCGTTGAGACCTGCCTCTCACTCGGGGCTCCTGGAATCCCACCCGCTCTCAGAGCCCACTCTCCCCTGGGGCAGCAGACATCTCCTGCCTCCTACTGAGACCTAACTTCCTGCCCACCTCCCCATTCCAGGCAGCGTGCAGAGAGGGGAGGGAGGCCATGGCGACTGGGCAGGTACCTGGGATGCGAGGCCTGAGACCTGTGGAGAGAGGGGCTGAGGACCACTCTCCCTGCTGCCTCTCTGCGTGGGGCCGGGTGTTTTCGTGCGCCCTGGGCAGAACAAGGCCTGCGCCAGCAGCAGGTGTGAGTCCAGCTGTCCTGCTGGGCCTGCCCGGAGGGTGCCACGACTGTAGGACGGCACCGCTGTCTCTGAGGGGTTTTGTTTTGGAAAATGCAGTGGTTTTTAATAAAGATGTTATCTGTGTTCACAGTAAGAGCTTTGTTATTTAAAATGAGTTACTACTATTTCAGAAGCCTCCGTTTGAGTTTCTAATGCAGTGGATGTTAGTAGGTGCGATCCGCAGCAACCAGAGCTGTTTGGGTCCCGATTGTTCTGAGCAGGGCAGTGGGGCCCACTGGGTCGATGGTGTCCTGGTGCTGCCCTGCTCTGGGCAGGGCTGGATGGCACAGGCGGGTGTCTTGCTCAGAGGGAACGTGGGGTCACACCGCCTTCCCCGGCCCTAGGGACTTGGGTCTGTACTCAGCTGGCGTGAGGCTCACTTTGCTCTGAAACCTGCCTTCGCACTTCAGGTGTTTGTGTGGGCGGGTGGAGCCCTTGCCCTGAGGTGTTTAGAACTTAAGGTGTGGCCTGGCCAGCAGGTTCCGTAGTGATAGCATTAGGGTGTAGGCCAGTCAGAAGCTGCCCGCACAGGGACCCCTGCACACAGGGAGGACGCTCTGGCAGTGTCTGGGCAGGAGAGCTCCCGTTATCCTCTGGTCATTTGCTCTGAGTCCCTGGAGCTGCAGCCCACGGGAGGAGAGGTTTGGGCGGGATGCCCAGCTCCCCATTCCAGGGACGGCCGGTGCCCCAAGGGTGGCGCCACTCCCATGAGTTATGTGTTGAGTGCTTACTGTTTGCCAACCATAATGTGTGTCTGATTGCATCTCACAACAGCCCTAAGACGCAGGTCCTCTTCTTCCCCTTACTTCACAGATGAGGAAACTGAGGCCCAGAGAGGCCCCATGGCTCTTGCCAGCTGCACAGGTTTCATTCAGCCAGGGCAGAGCCAACCCCGGGCCTGACCCAGCCCCACTACCGTGGAGTGCGGCTCAAGACGATGGAGCTAGAGATGCCGGCAGGCTGCATGGGTGCCGGGTTCTCAGCCCGGCCTGGGCCTGACTCACATGCAGTGGATGCTGCCCTGCCTGCATGGCGGGGGCCCAGCGCTCCCAGAAGCCACCTGGGAGGCTGGCGGTGGGGGTTGGTCTTTAAGAGCCGGCCAGAGGGCTCACCTTGCTGGGGGTCCCTCTTGGGAGGGGAGGGGGCACACCTTCCTCAGGCTGTGTTTCTGTGTTCCTGCAGGGACCAGTGGACCAAGAGGCCACCTTGAAGGGGCTCTGTGGGGGGGTTGCTGTTTGGGGGCTGGTGAGAAGCCTGGAGTAGCCTAGGGAATGGGTACAATGGAGCCAGGGTCTTGGGGCTGGGGAGGGGCCGGCGGCCCCTGTGCACCCTGAATTGGAGCTTTAATCCCCATGTCTTCCCCCTCTTCCCCCTGCTTTTCGTGTTTCCTCCAGCTCAGTGTGGAGGCTGCTGGCCCTGCCATCTGTAAGAAGATGTCATACGGATCCATCGCCCGTGGAGGTGGCCTGGGGAGCCGTGGCCCTTTCGGGGGACCTTCGAGACAAGGCTGTCAGCCCCTAGGTAATGATAGTAGCTGGAAGTGGGGGCGGGGAGGAGGGGATGGTAGTGGGTAGGGTAGGATCCTCACTGTGTCATGCTGATGGCTGGAAACCAGTTCTGTTCTTTTGAGGAAAGTGGCCTGTGTCCTGAGATGGGGTGTGATTCCTGAGCTCAGCCCATTCAGGCCCCTGGAAAGGAAGCATCAGGAGTGGCTGTCCTGGGTGTGGGCAGACCTGGGTGTCCCAGTTCATGCTGGGCATGGAGCTGGCACTTAGAGCACCAAGCTGCTGGTGGGTGGTGCTCGGGGTGTTTGGAGAGTGGCTGAGGGGATGCAGGATCTCACCTGGCCTTCCTAATGACGGTGTGGAGCAGGTGGCACTTTGCACTCTGTACAGAGGAGGAAGCTGAGGCCCCTGGGGCTCTCAAACCTCATCCCAGGGCCGCGCAGCTGGTGCAGGGCAGAGCTGGGGTTTATTTCTAGGTGTTTCAGAGCGTCGAGCCGCTGCTCTTCCATTTCACCTCATCCACCCCCACCCTGCAGGCTGGCCCCACTTAGGTCCTCATGGTACCTGACTGCCATGGTAACCCCCCGCTCCTGCTCTGCTGTCAGCTTGGCCTGCACATCCGGCCCTTCACGTGGGCAGGCCTGGGTCATGTAGGTGATGTCTGGGTCAGGGCAGCCGCCATGAGGGTTGTCTGGGTGTGGGGAAGAGGACTGAATTTGGGGCCTCAAGCTCTTTGCGTACCTCTCTCCACCCAGTGCCAGGCCTCGGGCTCAGCCTAACAGCTGTGCAGGCAGGGGCTCCCTCGCCGTGGGGCCCTTCTCTGCTGGGGAGTGAGCGTCCTCCCAGCTGTGCGGGCAGGTCTCCCTCACCCTGGGGCCCTTCTCTGCTGGGGTGGTTCCTCCCTTGCAGCTCTGCTTGGCTCTTGCCGGGGCTCTGGTCCCCAGGGGGCCTGTTCAGGGAATGAGGCCGGCTGAGGGGCCCTCGCTGGCTCCTTGGCAGCCCCCAGTGCCCTGGATTTGTTTCCCACCCCCAGCCCTGCAGAGAGGGAGCAGCATGTGCTCGAGAGGGCGGCTGCCTGCCTCAGCCCTGCTGGGATAGGATGGCAGCAGGGAGGACGGGTGCAGATGGCCATTGGTGATATCACCAAGTGCCCCTCCTCATCTTGCCATCACCACTTAGCGCCTCACAGGCCAGGTCCTCTAGGATGCCCTCATCCTTCCTGCCCACTGGGAGTGCCGGGCTGGCCTGGTCTCCTCCCACTTCTGCCTCCCTTTCCTCCTTCCCGCCGAGACCATTGATACAGCGTCTGCTGTGTGCCAGGAGTTGGGCAGGAGGCAGAGAGACAAGTGAGTCCTGTGCCCTTAGGGGGCCTGTGTTCTGACTGGGATGGTTCTGAGATCCTCTTTCTTGAGTGCTAGGAAGGAAATGACCCAGCAGGGACTAGGACTGCCAGCCCAGAGGGGTGGACTGCATGAACTGAGGAGGTGAAGGAGGGCCCTCGGGGAGGGGGTGCTTAGTGGAGAGTAGAGGGGGACCCTGGAGAAGGCAGCCCCGGGAGACCTGAATGAGAGTGTCCTGGGAGACGGGCCGGTGTGGATGGAGGTTCCTTCCATGGGCCAGGGAAGCCTGCAGGGCCTTAGGCAGGGCACGGTGTCAGCTGCTTGATCTATTTTATGTTTAAAAATGTGTTCCAAGGGACGCTGAGTAGACACAGGATTGTACGTGTGTGTGCATGTGCACACGTGTGCGTGGGGTGTAGACACAGGTTCAGATCTAACGGTTCGGAGGTGGTGCGCCTGACCCCCAGGCCCCTGCTCCTTTACCCTCCTGCCTCCTTCGTCCTTGCTCTGAACTGTGTATGTGCCGCATCTTGCTGGTTCTTCACGGTTTTGCTTATGCGTGTGCATATCCCTGAGCCGTATGTTGCTGAGCTGTGCAGGTTTTGAACTTCCCTGGGCTCAGACGATTTGCGTTGCTCCGTGTCGTGCTGCTTTTACGCATCGTGTTCTGAGAGCCTCCACGTTGCGCGTGGCTGTGGCTCCTTCGATTCCGCGCTGCATCACGTTGGGTTCTGTGAGCACACCGCGGCGTCTGTGCGTGTTCCGCATCTCAGGGATGCTAAGGCTGGCTCCTGTGTCGTCCCTCACAGCCTGTGCCCATGGCCAGGGCCTCTGCAGGTACACGGGGCGTGGCGTTCCTGGGCTGGGCCACCTGCAGCCGAGCTGATGCGGGCCCCACCCAGAGCCCTCTTTGCTCCATGTCCTTGTCAGCACCCAGGGGTGTCGGACGGTGATGTCTTGCCAGCCTGGTGGGTGTGGCTTGTCCTCTCTGGTTGGAAGGATGTTTCTCTGATAATGAATGGGGTGGATCCCCTTTTCGTGTTTATTGGGCATGTGGGTCTTCCTGCCAGTGAGCACTGTTTGTCTGCTTTTCTCTTGGGTTTGCCTTGTGCTTATGGGTTCACAGGCTTCCCTCCTGTGCTCTGGAGATGAAAGCCTCATCAGGTGGGTTTACACAGCCCAATCCAGGCCGGGCCGGCTTCTCACTGGGAGGCCTGCTGGGAAGCAGAAGTTCTCAGCCAGGGCAGCGTTGAGTTGATCCATCATTCCCTTCGGGACTCGCACTTTTCTCTTTAGTAACTTCCATCACAAGATGATAATGCTGCCATCTTTTACTTCCCTCTAAAGATTGAACAATTTGTTTTTCATATTTAAGACTGTAATTGACCTTTGATTTTTGTTTACGGTGTGAGGTGGGGTGAGTGTGGAGGGGAAGCTGTGATGTTGTTTTTCTCTGTTTGAAGAACAAATTGTGTGGACTGTTGAATTGCCTTTCTTCTGTAGACCTGCAGTGACAGCTCTGTGATAAAGTTTTCATGTGGATTCTCTGGTCAAGTTTGCTTTTCCTGTGCCAAAATCCACCTTAATTTCTATAGTTTTGCTATAATTCTCAATACTTTTTAGAACAAAGTGCCCTTCTTATTTTTCTACAGAAGTGTCTCGGGTATGTTTGGCGGTTTGATGTTGACCATAAGGTTTAGGATCACCTGTCGCACTCTGGAGCTTTGACTGGGTTTGCCTGGCGTCCCTGCATCTGTGTGGGGAGAAGTGATTTCTTTATCGTTCTGAGCCTTCCAGTCCGTGAACAAGCACACGTCTTTATATTTATGGGGTTTTCTTTAATGTCTTGCAATGAAGTCATTTAACTTTCTCTGTAAAGATCTTACATATCTTTTCTTAAATTCATTTCAAGAAAGTAAAAACTTTCTTTCCTGCTGTTGTAAGTGGTACCATTCTGAATATTACATTTTCCAAATGCGTCTTGCTGGTGTGTGCATGTAATTGGCTTTTTCTAAGAACAAAGTCCAGATATTGTATTTAATTTTTGAATATTTTATGTTTTAATTTTCTAAATGTGGAAACTTTCAAACACATCAAAGTAGACTCAGACGCGTCACAGCCCCTGGTGTACCTTGGCTTCCCCTCACTGCTCGTGGCCAGTGTGGCGGTACATGTGCCCCCAAACTGCTTCCCTGCTGTGTCATTCCGGAGTAAATCCCAGATAGCAGATCATCTCATCTGGTAATATTTCAGCGTGTCTCTAAAAGAGAAGGACTCCTTTTATGTGTGACCAGATTTCCACTGTGACAGCACGTTTGGCTGCCATACCCGACCTGCAGTTGAAGTGGCCGACGGCCTCTAGGAGTGTCTGTTTCAGAGATGCCGTTTAACGTGGAGCCTCCCGAGATCCCGTGTTACAGCTGACCTATGCTCCTCCTTCGAGTGTGTCTCTGTCTCTGGCTTCCCTCCATCTCTTTATTTCCCTCCAAGTTTATTTGTTGAAGAAACCAGGGTTTTCCTGTGTGGTGTAATTGATTTTTGTGTACTGGTTTGTGTCCAGCCATGTTGCTAAACCCTTTTTATTGTAATTATTTGTCTGTGGAATCTGTTGAGCTTTCCCTGTAGATGGTGGTGTTTGTGCATAATGACAGTGTTTTCGCTCCTTTTCCAGTGCTTTCACCTATTATGTGTTTCTTTTCCTGGCTGGAACCTCTACTGCAGTGTTGAATGGAGATGGTGGTTCTATTCTTGGTGAGTTTGTGGAAGAACAGGATTATGTATTCCTTGAATGTTTCTGGGTTTTTGCTGTAAAACTATGTGGGTCTAGTGTTTTCCTTTGTGGAAAGATTTTCTGACTACCAGTTAATTCCTCTAGTTGTCAAACGTTATTCAGGCTTTCTGTTTCTTCTTGGGTCAGTTTTGTTAAGTTGCATTTTTCTGGAAATTCGACTGTTTTATCTAAATGTTCAACTTACTGAAATGAAATTGTACACAATAGCCTTTCGCTGTCAGTTGTGACACTGGGGCACCCTCATGTAATGGTTAAGATGCAGATGCAGAAGCCGGCCTGCCCTGGTCCCAGCCCTGCCCGCCCTGCCTGCCCTGGTCCCAGCCCTGCCTGCCGAGGTCCCAGCCCTGCCCACCCTGCCTGCCCTGATCCCAGCCCTGCCCGCCCTGCCTGCCCTGGTCCCAGCCTTGCCTGCCCTGCCTGCCCTGCCTGCCCTGCCTGCCCTGCCTGCCCTGGTCCCAGCCCTGCCTGCCCTGGTCCCAGCCCTGCCCGCCCTGCCTGCCCTGGTCCCAGCCTTGCCCGCCCTGCCTGCCCTGGTCCCAGCCTTGCCTGCCCTGCCTGCCCTGGTCCCAGCCCTGCTAGTCTTTGTCCCAGCGTGCCAGCCCTGCCTGCTTGGTCCCTGCCCTGTCTGCCTTGCCCTGTCTACCCACCCTGCCTGCCTTGGTCTCAGCCCTGCCCACCCTGCTGCTCATGAGCTTTGTGAACTCAGGGTTGGGAAGGGGAGGTGAGAAGAGACCTCCGGCCTGGTGGTCATGCAGATGGATGTGTCGACACCCGTGAAGCTCGGGCAGGGCCGCTGAGGGCCAGTGGTGGCTGCTGCTGCTTTCACAGCCACAGCATCTCAACCACGTCCCCTTTCTCATTCCTGATATTCTGTATTTGTACCTTCTCTGTCTTCTTTTATAGTCAGTATCGACAGAGACCTGGCAGTTCCACAGGTCTCTGCAGAGATATGGCCCCTGGCTTCCCCCTTCTGTGCGTGCGAGTTTTAAATTGTGATTGATTTCTGCTCATAGTTTCATCATTTCCCTCCTTTCTTTAAGTTGATGCTATTTTATTTTTCTGACTCCCAGATTGAATATTTACCACATTCACCATGAATATGGTAAATATTCATTTCTAATAAAAGCATTGGAAATTAGAAATTTCCCTAGAAACTGCTTTAGTTGAATATCACACATTTTGAAATGTATAGTATTTTAAATTTTTTTTCAGTTCTAAATATCTTTAACTTTCCATTATGATTTCTTTGTTTAGGAATTACTTGGAAGTTTACTTCATCATTTTCAGATGTACTTTTTTCCAGTTGTCTTTTTAAAGTGATTTCAAACCCGAACACACATCTGAAAGAAAAGCACCAGTGTTGTCCCGGTTTGTTGAAAATCGTCGCGCTGGGGCTGCTTCTGGGGCATGGGGGCGAGCCTGGCTCAGTGCCTCCTTTGCTCCCCTCAGCTCTTGGCCTTCTGTGTGGGCGGGGCCTTCGAGGACCCTCAGAGCTGGGCAAGGCCTTCCAGGCAGGCTGGTGGGGCCTGGACAAATTCCCCATGGGTGTAGGGTCAGCTGCATGTGCCCAGTCCCTGCTGTGTGCCAAAGTCCTGCCACCCTAACTGTGCAGCACCTTAGGGCCGTCGTGTCACTATAACGTTCTCTGGACAGAGGCAGCAAAAAGCCAGCTAGTGAGTCGTCAACTCATAAATAACTCAGATACACAGAAGAAAGCTCCCCAGAGCTCCATGCACACGGGCCAGCTCTGTGGACAGCTAGGACATGTAGCTGTCTCCTCAGCGCACCAGCAGCGGTCAGCCTCACGATAACCTGGCAGGAAAAGAAAATGTCGACACGCCCTTGGCAGCCTGGGGCGGGAGCGGGGGCCAGGGGAGGGTGGGCATGGGGTGCCGGGAGCAGCCAGCTTTGGGGCAGCCTGGGGCGGGAGCGGGGGCCAGGGGAGGGTGGGCATGGGGTGCCGGGAGCAGCCAGCTTCGGGGCAGCCTGGGGCGGGAGCGGGGGCCAGGGGAGGGTGGGCATGGGGTGCCGGGAGCAGCCAGCTTGGGGCGGCCGGGAGTGTTCCTTCTCTTAGCCCAGCCGTGCTTCCTCTTGGACTCTGTCTTAGGAGATAGACACACGGGCAGAGGTGTTCACCACATGTGATTTGTGCGAGTGCTGACTCAGAAATACTGTAAGCATCTGGCTTTAGGGAGACGATGTGTTACAGCTGGGATAGAATTTGACGCAGGCATTAAAATCACATCGTCGAAGGCTCTCTAGTGACCCGCGCACGTTCTGTGATTTGTGGCGAATGTGGTGCGTGGAAGAAGCAAAGCCATACGTGCAGCATTTGCTTGTGGGAGACAGCCGCCCACCTCCAGGGTTAATGTTTATCTCTGGATGTTGTGATCTTTATTTTTTTATTTATAACTGTCTGCATTTACATTTTTTCTGTAATTTGTGGGTATTATTCTATTCAAAAGCAAACAGCAAATGTCCCAGGCCTGTCCCTGCCATGTTCTAGGTTCACGTGGCTCAGGTGGGCAGAGCATACTGGCCCCTCGAGGGGCGTGGGGAGCAGCGTGGAATAACGTTGGTGCAGTGGGCAGGACCTGGACTTGGGTGAGTGGATGCAGTGTGGTGAGGTGATGACATGTCCTTCTGGACTTGGGTGAACGGATGCAGTGTGGCGAGGTGATGGCGTGTCCTTCTGGACTTGGGTGAGCGGATGCAGTGTGGCGAGGTGATGGCGTGTCCTTCTGGACTTGGGTGAGCGGATGCAGTGTGGCGAGGTGATGGCGTGTCCTTCTGGACTTGGGTGAGCGGATGCAGTGTGGCGAGGTGATGGCGTGTCCTTCTGGACTTGGGTGAGCGGATGCAGTGTGGCGAGGTGATGGCGTGTCCTTGAGTGACAGCAGGGCCTGTGGTCTCTCTGGGGGCCTGTGGGACCCCATTTCTGAGCAGAGGCTGAGCTCAGTCACCAAGTGCCTGGATCCCCTCACAGGCCATTGTCCGGGGTTTCCAGCTTGGAGAGTGTGTCTCTGTGCAGAGAGAGGATGGTGTGGATGCCAGGGGAGAAGGGCCTGCCGGGAGCTGGAGGGACAGGCCCTGCCCTCTTGGGAGGGGGACCCATGCTGGAGGCTCACTTCATCAAACACTGAGAGGCGTCTGTGACTTGGGATCCCTCCCTCTGTGACTTGGGCCCCCTCCGGGCCTTGGTCAGTGCCTCTTCGTGGGTGCCTGGTTTTCCCAGGGCAGTGTCTGTCTCCAGGCTGCGGCTGCTCCCTCTCCATCCCCTCCAGAGGGTTGTCTTCTGACTCTGATCTACTTTGCTGCACTTCTCTGCCCTGCGGAAACCTCCGCCCCGAAATGAGCCAGGCAGCTGCCCTCCCGTCCTTCTGCAGGCTTCTCCCTCTTCCCCCCACCAGGGCCCAGAGCTGGAGGGTGAGCGTGCCCCAGTCCAGAGCAGTGAGCTGGGCACTGGAGGCCCTTTCCTGAGTCTGTGTGGCCGTAGGCCTGTCTCTGCCTGTGTGGTTTGGGCAGTGCTGTCTGGGGGCAGGAGGATGGACCAGGTAGCCTTTGGGCCCTCGCCCACCTCGTGGGGGTCCGATGAGAGGCTTTGGGAAAGTCCTTCCCTCCCTGTCACGTTGGGCTGTAGGGTCCCCCTAGACGGATCCTGAGAGGGAGCTCACCAGGGCGGCCCCTAGTGTCACTTCTCTGAGGGTTGTATGAAGGGCCTTTTCCAAGAGCTGCTGCTTCAGGCGCTTGGCTCAAGGATGCAGCCCTGGGACCCACTGTGCCGACCTGGCCCTGGAGGCCGCGGATGTGGCTGGAAAGCGCTTCCAAGCCAGCAGCATCCTTGTGACCTACCAGGACACGTCCCGGGAAGAACAGGTTGCAGACAGGCACGCGGGGTCTGGCTTCGGAGGCCTCAGCCTGGCGCACACGGCGTGTCTGTGACTCTGGGGTGCCGTGGATCGAAAGGCACATCGTGGTTCTGGAGATTTTAAAAGGCTTTTATAAGGTGCATCTGAGGATCAATGAATTTCAATGAAATGTGTCCAGAAATGTTTTGTGAACAAATGGAAATAATTAGAGAAAATTACGATGCGTTCCGTGCGGGGGCTGGGAGCCGGGAGATGGGGAGCACGCGTCTCTGCCTCCGCAAAGCCGAGTGGGGACAGCAGTGTGGCTTTGCTTTTCATCTCCCATACGCTACGGAGTGGCACTTTTATAAAATGCAGTAGAATGATTCTGAGCGTGGAGGTCGCAGCAGTTTCAAATTGCCTTAAACGATGCTGGAGCCGCACTTCCCATTTTGTACTTTGTTGCTGACTGGTAATAGCTGTCCAGGGATTAATCTGTGGCTACCCCTGCAAGCCCTGGGGGTTGTTTGCTAGTTTGCAGTCACATTTCAGAACTGGTTCAGAGAAAAGTCCGGAACACCTAAAGTTCTGAACTCCTTGCTGGCATTCAGCAGAAGGGGGATGATCCAGAGGATATAGCAGGCAGGGAGGGCTTCCTGGAGGAGGAGCCCTGAGTGGAGCATCTCGGGTCCTGGGTGTCTGCTGTCCGTGCATGGGGGCCTGGCACTGCCAGGAGCGCCCTGAGCTGAGAGTAATCGTGACTGTCCCTTGCTGTCCGTAGAGTGCGCTAGATGTTGGACCGAGTATGGAATCCGCCATTTCCCCTGCCCGTCGCCAGAGAGCAAGCTGCAGAACCGCTGTGTGGGGAAGGACGGGGAAGGTGATCTGGGGCCAGCAGGCACGCCTATTGTCCCAAGGGCCAGGAAGCGAGGTACTTCACTCAGACGCTGGGTCTCAGGGGTCCTGGGAAGGCGGCTTGGAGATGCAGGTGCTGAGGAGGGCAGGGTCAGCAGGTGGGAGCTGCAGGGAGGAGGCTGGGACCAGGAGGCAAGGGACCTGCATCCCCTGCCCCCTGCCAGGCCTTCCCCTGAGTAGGGTCAAGGGTGCAGCCGGCCCATACAGGCCACAGGATGGAAGCTGTGTGGTGGCCAGAGCTGGCCAACCCTGTAGGCTCAGGACTGAGCAGGGGTGCTCCCGCTGGGGGCTCTGGACCTGCTCTTGTGGCCCCTCACCCTCAAGCCCGACTGTCCTTGTGCAGTGGGCCGGTGAGGGGTGGCAGAGTGCTTGCTGTGGTTTGGGGAGGAACAGGTGCGGTGACCTCTGCAGGTATCCTGGTGGGCTTCCCTCCTGGTGGAGGGGCCCCTTCCAGGTCCTTCTGGGACACCAGGCCCCCAGGGAGAGGCCTGTACTTGAGTGCTTCTCCTTGGGGGCTCAGACATGCAGCACCAGGGAACCTGCAGTGTCGGGCACTGTCCCTGCCTTCAGGAAGCTGGTCCGGTTAGTGAAAAAGCTCGTCTGTGAGCAAAGACGCAGAGACTTTGCCACTGTTGCCAGTGCAGCCCTGTTCCCTTGCAGGATGGAGGGCTGTGGAGGCACAGGATGGTAGGGGGGTGAGGCTGCCGACCAGGCCACCACGTCCCCACCGGCCTCAGCCCAAGTGCGGGAGGGGAAGTCGAGGCTGGCCACCGTGTCCCCACCGGCCCTGGCCCAAGTGTGGGAGGGAAGCCGAGGCCTGTGCTCAGAGGGCTCTTAGTTGTGCTGTGGGCAGGTAGGCAGGAGCCTTCCAAAATGTCAGCTGGCAAGGCTGTCCCCAGGCGAGGGCTGATCCCGGGAGCAGCCCAGCCCTGGCCTGAGGGCAGGAAACCCTGGAGAGGGTCCAGGGCCGCAACCTAGCCTGCTCGGCTCCTGCACCTCTGTGGTGGCTGCAGGGGCAGGCAGGGCTAGTGGTGTGCTGTCTTGGAGATGGGGCACTGTGACCCAGAAGCTACGTGCTTGCTGATGGCACCTGGTGAGGCAGTGTCAGGGCTAGGGGATCGTGGGCCCAGGTCTCTGGACACCCAGCAGGGAGGGGTGGTGGCCAGGACCAGGCAGCCGTGTCCTGAAGCAGAAACCAGAGAGGAGGCGCCGTAGGGAGCTGCCGCCGGGGCCGCTGCCTCCACAGGCCCAGGGCCTTAAACATCCGCCTTTTGGTGCCTTTCCAGGGCCTGGGGTTGCCCCTGAAGGCAGCCGGATGCCGGAGCCCACCTCATCACCCACCATTGGCCCGAGGAAGGACTCGGCTGCTGGGCCCCATGGCCGGATGGCGGGGCCCAGCACTACCCGGGCCAAGAAGAGGAAGCCCAACTTCTGCCCGCAGGAGACCGAGGTGCTGGTGTCCAAGGTGAGCAAGCACCACCAGCTGCTGTTTGGCACGGGGCTGCTGAAGGCCGAGCCCACTCGCAGGTACCGCGTGTGGAGCCGCATCCTGCAGGCCGTGAATGCGCTGGGCTACTGTCGCCGCGACGTTGTGGACCTGAAGCACAAGTGGCGGGACCTACGAGCCGTCGTGCGGCGCAAGCTGGGCGACCTCCGGAAGGCGGCCCATGGCCCCAGCCCTGGTTCCGGCAAGCCCCAGGCCCTGGCTCTCACGCCCGTGGAGCAGGTGGTGGCCAAGACCTTCTCTTGCCAGGCCCTGCCCTCCGAGGGCTTCAGTCTGGAGCCGCCCAGAGGTGAGTTCCTTGCTCAGCTCACCTTGCTAGGGTGCCACTCTGTCCAGCAGGAGGGGGGGGCCCATCTTGGCCATGTTGCCCTGCATCTTCCTCCACAGTGACTTTCCTCCTCCTCCTCTTCCTCCCCTTCCCCTCTCCCCTCCTCCTCTCCCCTCCTCCTCCTCCTCCCCCTCCTCCTCCTCCTCCTCCTCCTCTTCTCCCCTCCTCCCCCCACTCCCCATCACCACTGTCTCATCTGGAGTGTTCTTGTTCATTCATCCTCTGCCCCGTTCACTCTTCACTCATCTGTGCATCCACCCGTCTGTGCATTCAGCCAATATCTATTACCTATAAAGGGAGCATTAGTAAATTTTGTCTCCCTGCTTGGCGTTTGACTTGGCCTGTCCCTCACCGCGTCCTAGAGCGGAGCTGAGCATGCAGACAGGCAGGACAGAGTTCTCCCGTCACCATCACCCAGTCACACACTGGGACCACGGCCGTGGCGAGAAGGGCATTTGCCGTTGCTGCCTGGGGTAGACACACACACCGAGAATCAGGCATTTCTAGCCGTGCCGACGCTCCCCATGGCCACGCGTGCTCATGTTCCTCCTGCTGCGTCTTGTGCTACTCATGAAAGAAAAAGCTGATTGCAACTTACTAAACTGGTTTTCTGACCTGGGTTTCAGCGCCGTGGTTTGAAACATGCTGCTCTGTTACTGTTTTTAACACCCAGAAGAGGCCTTCCTACAGGCTGGCGCCGCCCTGTGGTGTCAGGGTGGGCAGGTTGAGACCTGGGAGGCAGCATCTGCTCAGAGCTGCAGTGGGCCTTCTGCAGACCCTGAGGCTGAGGCTCAGGCAGAGTCCCTTTTCCCAGGGAGAGCATCGCTTTATTGGTGTCTGATGGGTCAGGGAGGTCTGCAGGAGGTCAGCGTGGGCCCAGTGTCTGAGCTCCTGCTGTGGTGGGCCCGGGCAGGTGCTGGGACAGGTGCAGGGCGTAGGCATGGCATGCTGAGCTCTTGCTGTGGTGGGTCTGGACAAGTGCTGGGACAGGTGCTGGGTGTAGGCACGGCGTCTGAGCTCCTGATGTGGTGGGCCCGGGCAGGTGCTGGGACAGGTGTCCGGAAGTTGCCTGGACAGGTGCTGGAACAGGTGTCCGGACAGTTGCCTGGACAGGTGCTGGGCGTAGGCATGGCGTCTGAGCTCCTGCTGTGGTGGGCCCAGACAGGTGCTGGGACAGTTGCCTGGACAGGTGCAGGGCGTAGGCATGGCGTCTGAGCTCTTGCTGTGGTGGCCTGGACAGGTGCTGGGACAGGTGCTGGGCATAGACATGGCGTGCACTCAGGCCTCTTGACTGTTGAACGAGGCCGTGCTATAGGAGATCTGGAAGAGGAGGGCGGCAGCCTGGTTCCTGCACTGGATTCCAGCTGTGGGCGATGAGGCCTCCGTCCTGGTGTGGAAGCTGCCTGGACATGCCCTGCCCCGGGACTGGATGGGTCCCTAGAGCACTGGGCTGCAGTGGGCCAAGGTTCCCCTCAAGACATTGGCTGGGATCTGCCCCCATACCTGAGCCCAGTGTGTGGCGAGGACCGCAGTGCTGGCTGTGGTGGAGCTGACAGTGTCTGGAAGAGGATCTGAGCAAGTGCTCCCAGCCCCACCTGGACGGGGCAGACCTAAGTAGGCATCTCTGGTCACGGGCGCTGAGGCCTCCTGCTCAGCTGCAGGATGAGGTAGCAGGCAGTGGCAGTCCCGGCCCCGAGTCACTTGGCCTTGCTGCCGGAACTTCCTCGGGACTGTTTCAGCTTGAGGGAGGTCTTTATGGGGCAGCCCTTCCTCTTGGCACAGTTGGGGGCCGTGGGGGAGCCCCTCTTTGGCCGTCAGTGGGATAGCTGGCCCCAGGGCCTCCCCTTTGCTGTGTCCGAGGACAGGGCCTCTGCTCTCTGGCAGCCGCTGTAGTGGCTCAGTCGCCCCAGCAGTGGGGTCAGCCCCTATTGTAGGTGGCCGGCAGGGCCTGGGACTGGGGTGACACAGAGCACTGCTGTCATGGGCTGTGGGCTGCTTGTCTCTGGCTTTTACATGAAGAAGTCCTCCTGCCCTCCTCACAGGGTTCGAGTGGGTTTCCTGGTGCTGTCAGGGCTGGGGGTGCTGAGTGAGCCGGTGGTTGTGCTGGGCACTGGGTAATTAACGGGATGGTGGAGGAGGTGGCAAAGTTAGAGACACAGTCTGTGGTACTCCGCAAAAGGCCTGGGCTGCAGGAGGGCTCATTGCAGCCTGCCGGGCAGTGAGTGGCTGATGGACAGTGACACTGACGGGGGTGACCTCGCTGGTGTGGAAGAAGAGGAGGTGGTCCCGGGTGGGAGGTGGTGGGATGGCTTCATATCCTCTTCTACCTTGTGCTGTCCTAGCCTGTGTCCAAGACCTCTGGCCCCAGCCGTGTGTCTGGATGCGCCCCAGGTGCGCACTCTGCTTCGGGTTGGAGGCTGGGGTCAGGCCCCGGGGCCCCTTGCCGGCCTGCCTGCTAGCCTGCCAGGGCCCTCCTGGGATGTGCCTGCAGCCCCAAGGGGCCTCTCCACCACTGCCTGCGCTTTACTCCTCTCCATGCTCATCAAGGATGAGCCTTTATTTCCTGTGAACAGGAGTCCCTTTGCCCTTGCCTTGGCAGGAGATGTGGGCCTGGATTGTTACTCCGAAGAAGACTGCCTGGCCAGGCCTGGGGGGGTGGGTGCAGGGAGGCTGGGAAGGGGGCACTTGAGGGCACTCTCAATGTCCTTGTCCTCTCTCAGTCCCCACTGTGCCACTTCAACTCCCTCCCCAATGTCAGGCTCTGCATCTGAGAGGGTGGAGCCACTTGTGGACAGATGGGAGGCGTCGGGGGACAGGGGAGGGGTCTGGGGGAGTGTGAGAGTGTTTTGTGAGCACCTCCTTTTCCGACCCAGGCGGGCTCTGCAGTTAGGGCCTTGAGGGGCATTTCTCTAATTGCATACCTCGTCTTTGACTTTGAAACAGGCTCCCTAAAGTGTATTAAGAACTTAAAAAGCCAACAGAAGCCAGTACACACTGCCCCTTCTCTGACACCAGCCCCATGCTGTGCTGTGGCTTCCCCTCTGGGCCCAGGGAGGTGTCTAGGCACGTGGTGTCATCCGTGGGGTGTGAAGTCCGAGCAGACTGCAGGCCCTGCCTGCGTGTGGGCTGGGTCATGTGGCCCTGGGGTCTGAGGCAAAGGGCTAGAGAGGTCCTTTGAGATCCAGACAGTGGTGGGAAGGCTGAGGTCGAGAGGGGATGGCACCCTTGGGACTGAGCTGGAACAAACCCACCAGGCCCTGCCTTTCCCAGCTCTGGGGCCTTTGGTGAGTGCCACAGCCTTATTATTTTCTTTCTTTATTGACATAATAGTCACACATCAAAGTTTGTCGTTTCACCCTTTTAAAGTCTTCAACCTGGTGATGCTAGTTCATTCCCAGTGCTGTGCAGCCACCGCCACTGTCTCAATTCCAGAGCGTTTCCACCTCCCAAAAGGGAGCCCTGGCCCTAGGCAGTCACCCCACCCTCAGCTCCCCCAGCCCTGGCAGCTCTAGTCTGCGGTCTGCCTGCGGCTTTGCCTGTTCTGGACGTTTCCTGTGAGTGGAGCCATGCCCCATGTGCCTCTGTCTGCTCTGTGATCCTTGGAGCCTCCGCTTCCTCCTCTATAAAGTAGGGTTCCTGCCATCACGAGGAAACACGGGACATGCCTCGGCCAGGGCTGGTGCACAGGAGGCCCCGGCAAGCCTCACTTCTCTTATGTGGCCCCGTGTTCTTTTTGGACTGGTGCTCGCCTGTCTCCATCTTCCAAGGCCTGAGCACCACCCCTGCGCCCCAGCCTTCATGGACGCCTCCTTCCTGATGCCGTCCGCCTTCCTGGAGCATGAGGCCCCGACCCTGGCCACAAACCCAGCCCTGTGCTGGCCAGTCTGGCCCCGACCCTGCCCCAGAATGAGCTGGTTCCCTCCCCAGCTCTCCGGCTGCATCATCAGCCCCTGTTGGGAAGTGCCTCTAGCCCTCTCAGTCCTCTGCGGAGTTGCCTGCATGCTGCAGGACTGTTGCCATGTGTGTTGGAGACACCCCCGGCGCAGCTGTCCAGAGGAGGGCTGGTTGCAGAGGAGGAGGGCGCTGTACGGCAGGGCCGCTGCTCTCCGCTGGCGAGGGCCCAGACTCAGCAGGTGTGGGGAGCGAGCCTTGTCTTTGATGTGTCCATCTGCCACCTGCCTTTCCCGCAGACCTCCCTCGGGAGTGGTTGTCCAGGTGGGCAGGAGCTGCCCTATGCTTCCCCGACTGCCTCATGGCTGCTGGCACAAAGCCTAGCTCTCAGCTTTGCTGGCATGGCAGCTTGGGGTTTAGTCACGTCCTCTCCATGAGGCCCTCAGAGGTGACCCTGTCTCCCTGGGGTGAACCTTGCCAGTGCTTGAGTCTGGTTTCTTAGCGCCCTGTGGGAGCCAAACAGCATTTGCTCTATCCACTCTGAGCTGCCCCTCCTGGCCATGGTGCCCTGGCCCACACCCCCTGCCTGCCCGCCCTGGCTTCCCCTGCCTCATCCACGGTATAGGTCCACGGGCCTGTGATTCTCCCTGGCCTGCAGAGACCCATCTCTGTGGTCGCCTGGGCCAGTGTAACAAGAGCCGTCACACATCACGTAGCTGCCCAGCTTAGTCAACGTCAACTTCGCTTTGAGCCGCATCCGATTCTTCGCTCCTTCGGCATGGGCTGGCCCAGGGCCAGCTGGGGAAGTGATCATCAGCCTTGTCAGTCACACACTAAGGTTTTGGGGTACTCCGTTTCTCCTTGAGGACCCCTAGTGGTGCTCTGTGGATTTTGAAGCACCATCATGGATGTGCAGAGGCCCAGAGTGGGGCTTCAGACCTCTGTCCCTACTACCTCTTTCCTCACGTCTGTCCATCACCAGATGAGTGGGCAAGAAGGGTCCTCCCAGGGTGGGAGGTGGGCTGGCCACTTGTGCCCTGCCCAGGTCACGGTAGCAGAATCTGGCAGCAGCTCACGTGCAGGGTAGCAGGGCCAAGGCATCTCACCGCAGGGCCAGTGTATGGTGGCTCCCAGATGGCAGAGGGAGGGCCGGCCCTGGGCTATTCTTCCCTTCCCTGGGGCCACTGCATATGGACTCGGGCACACACCATGCCCTGTCTGCAGCCGTGGGACGGGGTTAGCATTGCATGTGAGGCACCCAGCGCTAGCTCAAGCCAAGTCAGGCTGCACACTGTCTTGACTGGGCTTTTTCCTGCCTGAACCTGAGCCGGGGCCACATCCTTCAGCTCATCCCCTCCGGCAACTGGGGAACTGCCTGGCCAGTGTCATGCCTGGTGGCAGCAGAGCCTGGCAGCCTGTCAGCTTGCCCAGTGGTCCAGGCAGCCTGTCAGCTTGCCCAGTGGTCGAGGCAGCCTGTCAGCTTGCCCAGTGGTCCAGGCAGCCTGTCAGCTTGCCCAGTGGTCGAGGCAGCCTGTCAGCTTGCCCAGTGGTCCAGGCAGCCAGGCAGGCTTGTGGTGGGTGTTGGGTGTCCAGGGTGGCTCGGTGCTCACTGTGGAGTGGCTGTGTGGGTGCCCTCCTCAAGCTCCTGCCCTGGGGACCCCCTCGTGCTGGGGCTGCATTGCCTTGAGACCTGGTTCAGTGAAGAGCAGGTGGGGACCCAGACCCTTGTAATCCCACACACGGCCGAGTGTTCATCAGAGGCCTTCGTCTGCAGCGGGCAGGTAAGTGGGGCCTGCAGTGAGACGTGGGGGGACGCAGCACTGGTGGGGAGCGTGCCTGCCGCCTTTTGGCGTTTTAGGGTGTCCCGTTATCCCTGTTCACAGCAGAACTGGAGGGTGGGGATGGGGACGGCAGAGAGAAGTCCTGATAAGCGCTGCTGACGTTTCGTTTTGTTTTATGGAGTGTTAGTGAAGTTGCTCAGATGGTGTGAAGATGGAATCTGGGAAATGAATTTTTCTTCCTTCTCCTGGGAATGGGTGTTGGGGACAGGACTGGGAATGAGGGGGGCCCTCTCTGGACCTCCCTTAGGTCCCCGGCCAGAGTCATGGGATTGTTGCTAACGGCCTGTGAAGCCAGGGTCTTCAGCTGGGTGGCCGTCCCTCTGAGGGTTCCCGGACCCAACAAACCTGTGCTCCAGCGGCAGCCGTGGGATATGTGGGAATGGGCGCTTCCTGAGACCAGGATGTGGCGTCCTGCATGTAGTGATGAGTTGGCCCAGTCGGGGCTGGAAGCGGCAGGAGGCCTGTGCTGTGGTTGGTGGGGCTGCGGTGTCGCAGGAGTGCCGTGGTGGTGTGGGATGAGGCAGCCCCTGCCTCGTAACCGTGGACCCCCAGCAGTAGCAGAGGCAGTGCTTGGAGGAGGCCCCACAGCCTGCCTGGTGACAGGACGGCACTCCCCGCGGCTCCCTCAGTCTTGAGGTTATGCTGTGACTCAACAGCCGTTTCTAGAAAGCACGGTTGCGCCGAGTCCTGGCTTTATTGCTGGGCGGCAGGCATGTCTTTGGACATAGCACAGCCTGCGTTTCCACTTATCGATGGATGCTTTCGCGTTCTCCAGCTTTTGGCTGTTAGGCGGAAAGAGGCTGTGAGCATTTCTGTAGGATCTTTGTACGGACAAATGTTTGCATTTTGTTGTGGGGGGATTATTACCTGCAAGTTGAATTGCTGGCCGTAGGGTTGGTGTGACTTTTAAAGATATGCCCAATTAATTAAGATCAAGATCAATTAATCTTGATCTGAATAATTTTATCATCTCAGTATTATTCCCATGTAAATCGATTGATTTTATTAATCATTTGAAAGGTCCAGATGTTGATATCATTAGTTTTCTCTATTGATTTGATGTTGATTTAATTGGTTTCTGCTCACCTTTATTATTTCTTTCTCCTGCTTACTTTGGGTTAATGCTTTTGTCAGATTATTGACTTGAGATCTTTTTTTTTCTAAGTATTTATTGCTATACACTTCCCTCTATGCATTGCTTTACTGATACACATTTTAATATCTTGTGTTTTTATTTCATTCAGTTATTTCCTAATTTCTCTTTGATTTCTTCTGTTACACATGATTATTTAGAAGTGTGTTGTGTAATTTCAGATGATTATGTCATTCACAGATAACTTTCTGTTACTGATTTCTAGTTCTCTTTTCAGAGAATGTATTTTGTATGATTTCAGCGATTATAACTATGTCAAGACTTGCTTTATGGCCTAAAATAGAGTCTGTCTTAGTGAATGTTCCACGTGCGTTTGGCAGGAATGTGTATTCTCCTGTTGCGTGGGTTAGGCTGGTTGATGGTGTTGGAGTTTCTGTGGCCTCTATGCTCTTGTGTCTGCTTGCTCTGCTGACCGCGCTGCCTGTAACTGTGGATTTGTGTGTTTCTTTCCAGTTCTATCAGTTTTTGCTTCACGTATTTTCAAGCTGTGACATTAGGTGCATACATACTTAGAATTGTTTTATCTTAGTCAGTTGACCATCTGTTTTGAAAGTGTCCTTCTTTTATTTCTATTATATTTGTGGTTCTGAATTCTACTCTGATATTAGTGTAGCCATTCCAGCTTTCTTATGATTACTGTTTACATGATATATTTTTCTAATTTTTACTTATAATTTCATCTGATTTTATATATGAAGTGGGCTTCTTGTATATACTGTAGAGCAAGATCTTGCCTTTTTTTTTTTTTTTTTTTTTTTTGAGACAGGGTCTCTTGCTCTGTTGTCCATGCTAAAATGTAGCGGTGTGATCAAGGCTCACTGCAGCCTCGATCTCCCAGGTTCAGGCAGTCTTCCCACCTCAGCATTTCAAGTAGCTGAGACTGCAGGTGTACATCACCACAGCTGGCCAATTTTTATTTTTTTATAGAAAGAGATCTCACTGTGTGGCCCAGGCTGATCTTGAACTTCTAGGCTCAAGTGATCCTCCTATCTTAGCCTCGGAAAGTGTTGGGATTACAGGCATGAGCCGCCACGCCTGGCCGGAATCTTGCTTTTACTCTCATCGGAGAAGCTCTGCTTTTTGGTGGGAATGGTGAAAGCAGTGCCTCTGTCCAGTAGGATTTTTGGTAATGATGAAAGGCCCTGTCATCTGCATTCTTCATCGTGACAGCCATTTGCCACATGGGGCTCCTGGGCACTTGAAATGTGGCTAGTGCAGGAAGCAACCGAGTTTACCATTTTATTTAATTTTAATTAATTAAAATCTACATTTAAATTGCCGCAAGGGGTTGATGGCTACTGGAGTGGACGAGCCGTCTTCGGCTCATGCATCATTAAGTGTAAGGCCTTCATGTTGGCTTTAACTCTACTGTCTTGATGTTTGCTTTCTATATTTCCTTTTTTTCCCCCTTTTTATTTTCTTTCTCTTCCTTCCTTTTTTTTTGGAGTAGAATTGAGTGCTATTTAGCATTCCATTTTATCTCCACTAAGGGCTTATGAGAGATTCCTGTTTGTTTCTTTTTTTAGTGGTTGCTTTAGAGTTTACAGCATAGATCTTTAACTTTCCGCAGCCCGCCTTCAAGTAGCACCGTATCATGTCCTGTGTGGTGGATCGGCCACACAGGAATGCACTTCTGTGTCCCACGCCCGCCTCATTGATGTGGTTTCAGTACATTCAGGACCACACGTCATTTATAACACATGGTGACCCCACCTTGTTGACGTGGTTTCAATACATTCAGGACCACGGGTCATTTATAACATGATGACCCTGCCTCGTTGACATGGTTTCAGTACATTCAGGATCACATGTCATTTATAACATCTGATGACCCCGCCTCGTTGAGGTGGTTTCAGTACATTGAAGATCACATGTCATTTATAACACATGATAACCCTGCCTCGTTGATGTGGTTTCAGTACATTCAGGACCACACGTCATTTATAACACATGATGACCCCGGCACATAGTTACGGATTTTGCTTTTACAATCGATAGTGTTTTAAATAAATGAACGTATCTTTTTTCTATTTACCATTCTGGCGTTCTTTAATTCTTCAGGGAGATCCAGGTTTCTTGCTGTTACTTTCACCCTAACTAGCTGCTTCTAACATTTCCTGTACTTCACATCTGGTTGGAACCGATCCTTTTCACTTTTGCTTGTCAAAATCTGCCCCTGTGTTTGAAATCTGTTTCCAGTGGGTGTAGAATTCTAGTTGCAGGTTTTTCCGTCCAGCACTTTAAAGACATCCTTCCATTGTCTTTCAGCTTCCACAGTTTCTGACGAAAGGATCAAGTCCTTCTTATGTTTTTTCTTCCTCATGAAATGTGCAGTTTTTTCTCCGGGCCACTTTTCAGGTTTCTTTATCACTGTTTTTCTGCAGTTTGCCTATAATGTACCTTGGATTTAAAAAATATGTATTTATTCTGCTTGTGGATTGGTGAAATTTTTGAATCTCCGAGTTTATAGTTTCATAAAATTTGGGTACTTTTGGTCATTATTTCTGGCAATTCTTTTTGTTTGTTTTGTGTCCCGTCCCCCCTGCTGCCCCCCCACCCTGTGTGTGCCACTTACTGGCCTGTGACCTTGAGCAGGTCACCTGCCCACCTGTGAATGGGGAGAGTGATCCTGGGCCCTGGGATAGGTTCTTGTGCTCCTGTCAGAGCTTGTTCCATGATAAAAGAAAAACTTGAGCTGAAATAAATTTAAAGGAGTTTAGTTAAGCAGTGAACAATTCATGAATTGGGCAGCCTCCCGAACCAGAGTAGGCTCAGAGACTCCAGCACAGCCATGGGGTAGAAGATTTTGGACAGCAAAAGGAAAGTGACATACAGAAAATGGTAGTGAGGCATGGAAACAGATCAGTTACAGCTTGGCATTTGCCTTATTTGAACACAGTTCCAGCAGTTGGCTTTGTTTGGCCAAAATTCAGTGATTGGCACAAGTATAGACCATGGTCCATTTACACTCCCTGTTGTCATAGCTCAAGATGTACAGATAAACCTTTAGGCTGAACTGAAAATATGTAAGGAGGCGCCTTTAGGCTAAACTTGATTTAACTCATCCTCATTCTCGTTGTTCTACTAATGCAACTGAGGCCCTGGCTTGACCTTGCTAGGCTGGGCCATGGTGACATCGAGGGGTGGTGGGTGCTGGGTGATGGGGGGCCGTCCCTCAGGCCTTGCCTTCCTGGAGGCCGCCTGGCAGTTCCTCCTTTCTCCAGGCCTTGCCATGAGTGCGGCTGCTGGACCGGGAGGCCTGGGACTGGGGCAAGGTGGAGGTAGCTGGACGGAAAGTGTGCAGGGGGCCAGGACTTGCTGGGGAGCCAGGGGTGCACAGAGCATACGTGGACAGGCCTGTGTGCACCCAGATGGAGTGCCAGGGTCAGCTCTGCCCTGGCCAGGCAGCTCAGAAACCCCAAGCAGAGCTGGGCTTGGGCCTTGTCCTGGTGGAAACCCAGATATCCAGCCAGGGGTGCTGTGTCCCTTCATGCCGGGCCACCTCAGGGCAGCCCAGACAGGATTGGTGTTGGGAGGGTCCCCTCGGCACCCCTAGCATCTTCTAGCCCTCACACCTGTTTGTAGACCTCAAACCACGTTCTTTTATTTAAAAATTTTAATATGGAAAATTGTAAACTTGCAGAGAAAGTTGAAAGAACTGCACCGACACCCACGTAGCTGCCACCTGAATGCGAGCCTGGAGTCTCTACCTGGTTTAATCGACCTTTAGTGCCTCCACCTGCATGCGTTTCGGAGCGAGCTCGGCCCCCCGTGCTTCCTTCTGAACGCTGCTTTACTTGCCGTTCACTTTTCTTTCATTTATGTACAGTGAACTGCACAGCTCCTAAGTGTGCCATCCTGGGCGTTGTGACAGATGTGTAACCCACAGCTCTGTCCAGGCACAGGGCAGGCCCTCACCCAGGAGGGTCCCTCCGGCCCTGCCCCAGTTCCCCAGCCTGGCCCAGAGGCCCCGGGGATTGCCTTGGTCGTTCTCGACCTTCGCCCCGTTCGCTCTGGTTTCTGAACAGTGTTTCTGAGATTCACTGTGTTGCGTGCCTGGAGTTTCCTTGCACACAGGCCCCGTGTGGCTGTCCCTTCCCCGGTATCTCTTGGACACCAGCCCTCTCTCCGGGTGTGGGCTGGTAGCAATCAAGCTGCTGGGAGCTGGGAGTGCTCTTCAGGAGCTTCTCTGGATGTGCGCTCTGCTCCTCTGTGTAAACCCTGGGACTGCTGGCTGGAGGGCGGGCAGGCAGCGAGTGTTTCCATGTGCTTTGATGTGTGCTCTGCTCCTCTGTGTAAATGCCCAAGATGCTGACTGAGGGGTGGACAGAGGGCGAGTGTGTGCAGCCTGCAGACCCTTCCCATGGTGGCCGTGCCGTTTATCCTCACCATGCAGCGGGCGAGCGTTCCATCCACCATGTCCTCATGAGGACTTGCTGTCCTCATAGTGTTCTGTAGATTTTTAAAAATTGAGATAAAACTTAGTCACTCAGAATTCACCATCTTATCCATATTAAAGCATATAGCTCAGTGTCTGTTAGAATATTCAGCATTCTATAATCACCACTAATTCTAAAATGTTTCCATCACCCCCAAAAGCACCCCCGTACCCATCAGCAGTCATGCCCATTCCTCCCTCTCACTGCCCCTGCCCTGGCTCTGTCCTAGGATTGGTCTGTTCTGACATGGTAGATGTGTGGAACCGTGCGGCGTGTGGCCTTTTCCTGCTGGCTTTCATCTCTGTGCGTGCTGTGCTCAGGGCTCACCTGCATTGTGCGGAAACCAGTGTTTCTGTTTCCAATGCTGAGCTGCCGGTGCAGAGCTGGACCTTGTTTCTGTTGCTTCATCAGCGGGGCTGTGCTTTGACTCTTAGTGATGCTGCTCTGAGCCTCCACGTGCAGGTGCTCGTAGCTTCCGGGCACACACGCCAGCTGCTGCGGTGTATGGAAACTCAGGGTGCTGCCTTTCTGAGGGACCACCCCCTGCCTTCGTCTCTCCTTCCTTCCAGCTTGAAGGTACTGTGAAGGCAGGTGCGGGTGTCCAGCACTGACTCCAGGGTGGCCAAGCCGCAAAGGCAGTGAGGGGGTTCAGGGCCACTCTGCTGCCTGTCGGGTCCCTGCCCCTGGGGGCTGCCCAGAGCGGTTAGCAGAGCTGGGCCTGCAGGCTTCACCCTTAGCCTGTGTTCTTTCCTCCTCCCTGTCTTCTCCCAGCCACCCAGGTCGATCCGTGCAACCTCCAGGAGCTGTTCCAGGAGATGTCGGCCAACGTCTTCCGAATCAACTCCAGTGGTGAGTGTGCGTCTGGCCTGGGCCTGCCCCTCCATCCAGGCACCCTGGACCACTGATGCGACATTGGAGGCGAGGGTGCTGGATGGCTTCCCCCCTCAGGCCATCCTGCGGTGCAGTCCCGGGTTTCGTGGGTCCACTGATGCGACGTTGGATGCGAGGGTGCTGGATGGCTTCCCCCGTCAGGCCGTCCTGCAGTGCAGTCCCGGGTTTCATGGGTGGGAAGGAGCAAGGGCTGGGTCAGGGCCGGGTACCGCTCCCGCTGGCTGCTCCTGCCTGCTGCCCCCTGCCCGCTGCTGGCTCCTCTCCCTGACCCCATGCTGCTCCTTCTTGACACCTTTTGTGTGATCTGGATGGAGCCCAGTGGAGGAAGGAGCATCCCAGGGCCTCTCAGACGTGCAGACCAGAGGTCACTGAGACTGAGAGCAGGGATGAGAGCCACGGCCAGGGGAGGGGCAACGGATGGGGTGAGGGGAGCAGGGTGGAGAGAAGCTGTCCCCAGAGCCAGGGCAAGACTGCTGGAGGCAGCTCCTCAGAGCCCCTGAGCTGCATGTGGGCCTGAGCACCTGTTGCAGGCCAGCTGGGGAGGGGTTCTGGCGGGCGTGACCTTATGCTGAGGCAGTGTGGACCCTGGCCTCCAGGCCACTTAGGTGGTCTGCCCTGGCTCAAGCACTGGTCCCTGGGCTCTGCTCACCCTGCCCGGGCTGCAGTGGGGCCACCCATATGGAGTAGCAGGGGGCAGGGAAGCTCCTTCTGCCCTCACCCTGTCCCTCTTCTCTCGGGCAGTGACCTCCTTGGAGCGGAGCCTTCAGTCCTTAGGGACACCGAGTGACACGCAGGAGCTTCGGGACAGCCTGTGAGTGTGTGGGCCATGGTATCTCTTTGCCTGGGCGTGGTGCACATTGGGGGGCAGGGGCGGGAGTGTGGTCCTCCTGTGCACACGGGCTTTGTCCACACAGCTGCTTGCGCACAGCTGCCTGGACACACATGTGCGCACATATGCACACACGCCTGCGGATAAGCCTAGTCAGTGCTGTGAACCTGAGACTGGGCCCTCAGCCTGCAGGTGCCCTCCACAGGGCACACAGGTGCACCCCGCCCCGACGTAGAAGCCCAGGTGCACCTGTGTGCTAAGGTCAGGGGGTGCATGCCTGCTGGCACACGCTTTTCCCTGCCAACATGCTCCAAATGTGTCTTTGTCATGTCTGAAGGCTCCCTGTTGGGGCCTGCTCAGCTATGGACACAGGAGGTGACACAGATGTACCATTTGCACAGCCATGGGCTAGGTTGGAGTGGGGCGTCCGATCTTGCTTCTGCCCTTTCGGGGAGTTGAGCCTTGGCGGGCTCCCACTGGACTTTCCTTGAGGGGTGCCCAGTGGCCTGCCCTGGGTTGGGCTGGTCTGGGATGGGGAGAGGTGCCTCGGGTGCTGTCTGCTAAGTCTGAGCCCTGGCTGGGCTGGGGAGCGGGGGGAAGGGAGCACCTGCCCTGGGTGTGGTTAGAGTGGCACTCTGGGGTCTGAGGGGACGCTAGCAGTCTATACTTTTCCCCTCCAGCTGGCCCCCACTGCACTTGCTGCTGTGACCTCCTGTGCTGGCCTGTGTCCCGCCCTGCAGTGAGCGGGATGCCCGCAGCTCCAAGGACCCCAGCCAGCCCCAGGCCACTGCACTGGGACGTTGTCCTCGCACTCCCCTGTGCAGAACTGGTGGCCACACCAGCCTTGCACCCTGAAAGGGCCAGAACTGAGGAGGCCGGGAGGGCCACGGCTCCCACAAGGGTGGAGGGTGCTGGAGTCTCTGCTCCTCCTCACGGCGGCTCCGTTCAAAATCCGCAGGCGCCTGCCACACAGCCTCACGCACCAGCTGCGGAGCACCCTTTGCAGATGTTCAGGGCAGTTCTATTCTTAGCCTTTTTTTTTAAGCTCTTTTATAAAACTGAAACTTAAGTGTTTTCTGATGTGACAGTGACGTAGGCTCATGATAGGGAATTTGGACGCAGGATGCCTGGGAGCTGCTGTTAGCATGTCGGTGTTCCCTCCAGCCTTCCTCACACCCACGCGTATTTGCACGGTCAGACCTCAGTGAGGGACTGTGGACCTGCTGGTCACACCTGGGCTCTGGGGTGCTCGGGCTCAGGAAACGTGTGGCCTCTCAGAGGGCCCTGTTGATGCAGATAACTTGTGTAACTCTGGGCCGGGTCTGTGGCTCTCCCGTCTCTTCAGTGTGGTGGGCAGGTTCCCAGTGAAGCTGCTGTGCTTAGATCTTAGTGCCACTGGCCCACTCCTGGGTTAGGTCACGAGGGCCAGGTGGGATGGGCACGTCCGGACCCTGGCCCTCATGTGCGCATCCTGGGCCGCCCGGCCTGGTTAGCTGAAGACCGACACCACCCGCTGTGGGCCTCGGAGAGGAGAGGGGACCCCAGCGTGGAGTAGGAGACTGTCCTGGTCTGAGGACCGAGTATCCCGGCACCTTGGCTCTCCCCTGGGCCGGCCTTAGCTCTTAGGTCTGGAAACTCGCCTTAGTGCTTTTCTGACCCTCCCTGCATGGCCAGCTGTGGGTCTAGCCTGCTTGGCATGGCTTATCTAGAGCCTTCTGTGGCCCCTCTGATGCTCCCATATCATGGACTGTTAACATTTAAAAATAACTTTTGAGACCAACGTGGTTGCCAGTTCTATATTTCCTCCACATTGACGAAGTTGCCAACTAAGGACATTTAAAGAATATACCTTCATCCACGGCCGCCATCATTTCGTCAGGGAAAAGGCTTTCCAGCCCTGCAGTGTAGGAGGGACCCAGTCTCAGGAGGAAGGGTGGTCCTTCCACCCGAATACATTCAGCTTCAGAAAAACCTCACCAGGTGGGGCCCATTTCTCTGATCCCATGCAAGGCCAGTGTGGCCAGGTCATTTCTGTCACCTGTGTGCGGAACCCTCCCCCCCCCCAAAGGCCTCCCTGTCACAGACCCCCACGCTGGAGTCCAGTGGCCACGTTGCGATCCCATGGGCGGGGCTCAGTGGCAGCTCAGCTCACGCACTTCTGTCTGGGCTCTATTCCCTTCCACCCTGGGGGCCGTCACGATCTGGAGATGGTGTGTGGGCTGGCGCACCCCTGGTGTGTGGCTGTCAGAAATGCTCATTCCTTGATGCCGAAAAGAAGAACTAGCGCTCAAATAATTTTCTCAGCAAGGCAATTTTACTTTCTGCAGAAGGGGTGCTGCCTGTTAGCACTCCTGCCACGAGAGCACAATTGAACAAAGAAAGGCAAGAATATTTATCCCTTACGCATTGGGTCCTTTAGACCTGATTGGCTAACAACTTAAAACTTTCCTGAACAGGTAAAGGTAATGGAGAACAAAAGGAAAAGAGGAAGTTGCTTGCGAAAGAACTTAGAAAAGTAATGACATTTCCAAATAAGGAGGGCACGTAGGCTGTGAGCTGGGACATGCTTGAGCATGTTTAGAACAAATACCTTGATTAAAGTACAAGGACATAGGATGTACTTACTCCCTTATATCTAACAGCTACATAGGATAGGGCTTAACAAAGAGTTATTAGTATAAAAGCAAGGAGGCTTGAAGGAAGTTAGTTTTTTTTTTTAAAAAACTATTATTTCTAACACCTATGATATATTCTTTAGTAAGAAGGGAAACTTTGAAGAGGACATTTTTTACTTTCCACAGTGGCACAGAGGACCCGCTCCCCTTGGGGCTTTTGGACTTGTTCCCATGGGCTGTGTTCTCTGATCTGCCTGGGGCATGCAGCGATGCCTCCCTCTCACCTCCCCAGTGTGGTGAGGGTGTAGGTTGGGTGGCCCTGGTGGGGATGCATTAGAGGTGGCTGCTGAGAGGCTGCTGGCCCACTGCCCAGCATGCAGCGATGGCAGTGGGGTCTGGGTGAGCTGGGCTGCTGCTCCGCGTGAGGTGTGCTCTCCTTCCTGGCCCGGGACTTGCGTGTCAGAATCAGCACCAGAAGGGCTCAAGGAGCCTTGGATGACGATTGTTGAGCACCGTGGGCCCTCGCTTGGCAGCTCTTTCATGGGCGTAGTCCTAACAGCCCCGCCTCCTGCAGTGAGAGCTTAAGCAGGGCAGGACCATGATCCATGTGTGCGGTTCATCCCATCCCACTTGATTGAAGGCAAGTCCCTGTGGCAGAGGGGTGGCCAGCAGGGTGTGAAGAGCTGACCTCCCGGAGTGCCCGATGGAGGGCTCTGTGAGGGGGCCAGAGAGGGCTCACAGTACCCTCCATATGTAGGGACAGACCCATTTGCCAGCTGGTGCAGAATTGCACCCCTCTGTCCCTCTGTAAGGATGGACCCATTCACCAGCTTGTGCAGAACCGTGCCCCTCAGTCCCACTGTGAGGACACACCCATTCGCCGGCTGGTACAGAGCTGTGCCCCTCTCCCACTGTAAGGACGGACCCATTCGCCAGCTGATATAGAACCGCCCCCTCTCTGTCCCACTGTGAGGACAGACCTATTCACCAGCTTGTGCAGAACTGCACCCCTCTGTCTCACTGTAAGGACAGACCCATTCACCAGCTGGTGGGCATTTGGGTGACTTCATTTTGACCATGATGAATAAAGCTGCGGTGAATGTTTGCGGTAGGTGTTTGCGTGGGTGTAGATTTTCACCTGTCTTGGATATATCCCCAGGACTGGACTTGCTGGGTTATACGGTGGCTCTTTGTGTAATCCTTTGAGGAACTGCCAGACTTTCCAAAGCAGCTGCCCCATTTTACACCCCCGCCAGCAGTGTTGGAGGGTTCCTGTCTCCCCACCTCACTGCCAGCACTTGTTGTTATATGTCTTTTGGATGTGGCTATCCTAGTGGGTGCGAAGTGGGGTCTTGTGGTGATCTCATTTGTATTTTCCTGGTAATTGAAGGCTTCAAGCATCTTTTCATCTGCTTGTTAGCCATTTGTATATCTTCTTGGAAGGAATGTCTATTCAGATCCTTTGCCCATGTCCTGATCGGGTATTTTTCTTTTTACTGTTGAGTTGATTCCTTCTAGAAGTTTCCTCCTGCTGTGCAGCCCATGCTCTCCAGGGCCTTTACTGGTGCTGGTTCCTCATCCGTCTCGTGCTCTCTGGGGCCCTCCCCTTCGCTGGTGCTGGTTCCTCATCCGTCTCATGCTCTCCGGGGCCCCTCCCCTTCGCTGGTGCTGGTTCCTCATCTGTCTCGTGCTCTCCGGGGCCCTCCCCTTCGCTGGTGCTGGTTCCTCATCTGTCTCGTGCTCTCCGGGGCCCTCCCCTTCGCTGGTGCTGGTTCCTCATCTGTCTCATGCCCTCCGGGGCCCTCCCCTTCGCTGGTGCTGGTTCGTCATCCGTCTCATGGTCTCCGGGGCCCTCCCCTTCGCTGGTGCTGGTTCCTCATCCGTCTCGTGCTCTCTGGGGCCCTCCCCTTCGCTGATGCTGGTTCCTCATCTGTCTCGTGGTCTCTGGGGCCCTCCCCTTCGTTGGTGCTGGTTCGTCATCCGTCTCGTGGTCTCCGGGGCCCTCCCCTTCGCTGGTGCTGGTTCCTCATCCGTCTCATGCTCTCCAGGGCCCTCCCCTTCGCTGGTGCTGGTTCCTCATCCGTCTCGTGCTCTCCGGGGCCCTCCCCTTAGCTGGTGCTGGTTCCTCATCTGTCTCGTGGTCTCCGGGGCCCTCCCCTTCGCTGGTGCTGGTTCGTCATCCGTCTCGTGCTCTCCGGGGCCTTCACTGGTGCTGGTTCGTCATCCGTCTCATGCTCTCCAGGGCCCTCCCCTTCGCTGGTGCTGGTTCCTCATCTGTCTCATGCCCTCCGGGGCCCTCCCCTTCGCTGGTGCTGGTTCGTCATCCGTCTCGTGCTCTCCGGGGCCCTCCCCTTCGCTGGTGCTGGTTCGTCATCCGTCTCGTGCTCTCTGGGGCCCCTCCCCTTCACTGGTGCTGGTTCCTCATCCCTCTCATGCTCTCCAGGGCCCTGGTCTTCGTTGGTGCTGGTTCGTCATCCATCTACTCCAGCCTCTTTTCCTCTCTGACCTCCTCCCCTCCCTTGGTGGTGTTGCATATCCCGCAGCTCGGAATCCCTCCTCAGTGGGGCCCCAGAACCCCAGGTGTCCCTCCAGCCCTGCCACCTTCTCTCCTGCTAACTTAGGGTCCTTCTGGACTGACCTGGGGTCTCCCTGTTAGTCCCAGGCCAAGGAAGGGACCTCCAGGACCCCACGCCACCCTGCCCTCACCGGTCGTGGGCTGGCCTGTCCACTCCTCTTGAGCTGCCCCGTGTCCACGCACTTCTCACCTCCTCTCCACCTCCTGGTCCAGGCCCGGCCTTGGCCCCTGGGCTCCTGCACTGTCTCCTCTTGGCCTCCCCACCCCTAGTCTTGCCCCCGACGGTGGATTGTCCATGCAGAGCTCAAAGCGATCTTTAAAAATGTGGATCTGATCACATCAGTTCCTGCTCAGGATGTTCCACTGGCCTCCCTCCCTGTAAAGTAAAACCCAGAGTCTGTGTTGTGGCCTTTCAGGTCCGCCCAGCATGACCCTGACAACTGTAGACCTGTCTCATGGGCCACACCACCCCCTCCAGTCCCACGGCCTCAGGCTTCTGCCCGCGCTGCCCTCTGCCGGCCTCACTTCCAGGCCCGCTCAGTCCAGGCCTTGCCGGCCCACTCGCCCTGGCCACCTCCTCCACCGTGGGCGGTCCCTGGGTCTGTGCACCAACACCACTGCGTTGTGTTGACTTGGGCATCACCTGCTCATGAAACTGGGCCGTGGTCTACATGGAGTCACTCCTGGGGTGTTGCCAGGTCTAGGACGGGGCAGTGTACCTACTGGGAAAGGGCAGGAACCAGGAAATCAAACCAGCCCAGCCACAGGCTCTTCCCACAGCCCCCTCAGCCGAGGGACCGGCAGGGGCGTCGCAGTCACTAGGAACACGGACAGAGGGGCGGGAGCGCCGATTAACCACTCGAGTCTGGAGTGGGCAGCAGGGTGCCTTCCAGGGCGAGTGTGTCACCTGGAAGCTGGCATGGAGGCTGGGAGAGCTCGGGACCCGGTGCCAGGGAGCCTGGGCTGGTCCTGACCCTACCTCTGCCCACTCCAGCTCACCAGCTCCAGCCTGCAGGTGCTTTTGTGACTCAGGGCCTTGTGTCTTCGTCTGTAAAACACAGGTGGTCATGGGAGTAAATGAGCAGGTATGAGATACGCGGGACATGAGGTGCTTCTAAACGGCATCTTAAGTAATGACAAGCAAATGCGAGAGCCTCCGTACTCAGGTCGGTTCTGGCCCCGGCAGACTAGGGCAGGGCGCTAGGGCAAATGGGCCTCAGGTGACACACCCCCCAGGCAGGCCTCGCAGACTCCTCAGTCACCTGACTGCTGGCAGCAACGGCACCACCTGGCTGGTAGTACAGGAGCCGCCGAGCTGGCAGCTGTGCAGACCTCGCACAGGAGTGCTGGGAGAGGGATGCTTGGGTCAGGTTTCCTGGACCCTGTAGCCGCCTGCCTGGCCTTTCACCAAAACTGTGCAGAGCTGGCTTTGTGGGGATACATGGGTTTTGTAAAGCGGTCGTGGGGCTTCAGGTGCAGTTTGATGAAGGCTCCAGTTCACTTGGTTTCTTTTGGCTCTGCTGATGCATCAGATTCAATCTCAGGCCAGCTTCTCTTGAGGTGACAAATGGGTCTTATGGTTCCGGGCATTGCATCTGTATCCCACATTGAATGTGGAGAGATGGGCCCGCTCTCTCAATGTACAGCTAGCGTTTCCAGCCTTCTCTGCCTCACTTGGCTCCTGGCTGAAGCAGTCCAGGGCGGGTGAGGGTCACAGGTTCACTGACATGGGCCTCGCTGGTGTTGGGGTCATAAGACAGGTGCAGTCTCATCCATCTCCCTGCACTGGATCCACTGCTGTTCCCCAAGCCATGCATGCTATGGTGATGGAGTGGGACCCCTCCCTCGGTGGCCGTGAGGATGGATGGGGAAGTGAGACACAAGCGGGAGGGGCACTCTATTTGTTGTTGTGGCAACTGCCTCGTGATGGCGAGTGGGAATGCTGACATCATCAGTCCATTTTCTAGTGAGGATGGTGACTCCCTGGCTCTGACAGTGTGAGCTCCCGTGTCCTTGGGCCAAGTGCCCTGCTGGTCCTGGGTTGCTCTGTTGCCCTTGCTGAGGCACCTCGGCCTTTGGAGCAGTGTCCAGCCTCAGATTGGAGTCGCCATTTCCCGGAGGAGCCCCCTCCAGTGGGACCCACACTTGGCCTTGCTGCCCCGTTGCCCCTCACGAGGCCTCCCCTTGCCAGCAGGAGTCTGCCTAAAAGTGCGTCTTTAGGATGTCTCTCATACTTTGGCGACAGGCAGAAGTTCCAGAGAGTCCCCGATGGCTCACTGTCCACTCTGGAGACCCAGGAGGTGGCCACGAGCTGTTCCTCGCCTCGCCTGCCCCATGCCACAGTGTTCAGCCAGCCATGCTGGTGCTGCCCCCCGTGCTGCCCAAACGCATCTCCTCCTCTCATACCCCTTTGTAGCTCAGTATACATTTTAGAATCAGTTTGTCAATTATTATTTCTTTAAAAAAAAGCTTTCTATAATTTTTTGGGATTACCTTGAATCTGTGGATAAATTAAAGAACTGGCATCATAACAATATCGTCATCCAGCCCACAGACATGGCTAGGCTGGCCTTTAATAACAATATCGTCATCAGCCCACGGATGCAGCCAGGCCGGCCTTTCATAACAGTATTGTCATCCAGCCCACAGACATGTCCAGGCCGGCCTTTCATAACAATATCATCCAGCCCACAGACACGGCCAGACCGGCCTTTCATAATAGTATCGTTGTCCAACCCACGGACACGGTAAGGCCGGCCTTTCATAACAATATCATCCAGCCCATGGACACGTCCAGGCTGGCCTTTCATAACAATATCGTCATCAGCCCACAGACACGGCCAGGCCGGCCTTTCGTAATAGTATCGTTGTCCAACCCACAGACACGGTAAGGCCGGCCTTTCATAACAATATCATCCAGCCCATGGACACAGCCAGGCCAGCCTTTCATAACAACATCGTCGCCCAGCCCACAGGCACGGCCAAGCTGGACTTCCATAACAATGTCATCGTCCAGCCCACGGACACAGGCTGGCCTTTCTCTTATTTGTGTTCCTCTCCTCTCATTGGCTGCAACTCCATAGAAATATAAGAGACTTCTGTGTACTTCCTTGTATCCTGTGACCTGCATAGATTCACTCGCTGATTAGTTCCTGGAGCTTCTTTGTGGATTCCTTGGGATTTTCTATATAGATGTACATGTCTCTATGACTGAAGACAGTTTTACTCTTCATTTTCAATCTTTATGCTTCTTAGTTCTTTCCCCCTTATTCCTAGGTAAACTTATAGTATGAAGAGTAAAAGTAGTGAAAGCACACATACCTGCCTTGTTCCCCATCTTACGGGGAAGCATTCCATCTTCTGCTCTAAGTATCTTAGATGTTTGTTTTGTTTTTTATTTAACAGCCTCTCTGTATCAGGTTGAGGGAGTCCCCTTCTTTTTTCTAGTTAAGGAAACTAGGAACTAAACTAAAGGAAGTTTTAGTCTAAAATGAGTGTTGAATTTTGTCACATGCTTTTTCTGCATAATTTATTAAGATGTTTTTCTCCTTGTTAAATTTGCTCTGTTGATATGAGAATTACACTCACTGATGTTTGAATGTTGAACCAACCTTGTACCCTGTGGGTAAATGCCTCTTGGTCATGGTATACTATCTCTTTCATATATTGTTGAATTCGTTTTTCTAAAATTGTATTGAAGATTTTTGCTGCTGGGTTTGTGAGTGATATATGGGTTTCTTTCCTTTAGATTCTCTGTTTGGGTTTTGTTATCAGGGTGGTGTGAGCCTCATACAATGTGTGTCTCCTCTCTGTTTTCTAGGGGATTGCATGATATTGATATTGAAGCCTGTTGTGCCTGTGTATTTGCAGCAATGTTTTTAAGCACAAATTTACTTCTGCCATACATATAGAGCTATTTAGGTTTTCTATTTCTTTTTGAGTCAGTTTTGATATAATTCATGTCTTTTAAGGAATTTTTCTATTTCATCTTAGTTGTCAAATTTATGGGCCTGATATGATTTGTGTTTCCGTAATGTTCTTTTAATGTTGGATCTGTAGTCAGGCTCACTCTTTCATTCTTGATCTTGGTAATTTGCAAGTGTGGTTTTTTTCCCTCTTGACCTGTCTAGGCAGAGTTGTGTAATGTTTTGAATGCTTTTTTATTTTATTGTTTCTATTATTGGTCTGTTTGCTATTTTATTAATTATTGAACTTACCTTTATTATCTCTGTTCTACTTCCTTTGTGTTTAATTTGCTGGCTTCTTTAGGTGGACTTTCTGGACACTGATTTTATTCTTTTCTCTTTTCTAATATAAGAATTTAAAGCAGTAATTTCCTTGTAAGTACTGTTTTAGCTGCATCCCTTAGCTTTGTGTGTGTGTTTGTTTAAAATGTATTTTCTGCTTGTTTGAGGTAGGAGGTACTGCCTGGTACCATGGCTGTAAGTGGAGGTCTCCTCTGGGCCTTTTATTGGGACGAGCATCATGGAAGGTGGCCCCTCTGTAGTGCCATTCCGCCTGCTGCCCTTCCTTGACTGGTGGCTCTCATTCCCTACTCCCTTCATCATGTCTTGGGTTTTCTGGTTGGCAACCTCCTGTTCCCACGATGGACTTGGCAGGGTGATCTGATGCCTGGGGTATTGCCAGGTTGGGTAAGGAGGCCTTGTTCACTTTGATCCTGCATGGTGCTAACAGTTTGTGAGGGAGGCACAAATGAGACGAGATCCTGCCTGGAAAGAGAAAAGCCTGACCCACTGCCTACAGGAAACGGGCTGCCTTCGTTCCAGCACTAATGGCTCCATGAGGATGTTTCAGTGGGGGCATGAGTGAGAGCCCCTGCCACATGGGAGTCTAGAGGAGTGGAGAGGTCAGCGCGGAGCAGAGAAAAGTGTGAGTCGTGACCTGCCTGACCCTCCCAGGGGAGCTGTCTGGGCAGGTGTTGGTGCTGGGGGCGTTGCCCACGGTGGCAGCGTGACCACAGACAGCTGCTCCTGGGTCAGCAACTAGGGCTTGGTTGTCTGCATCTGGCCTAGGAAAGTGTTAAGGCAGGGATTTGTCCGGCTCATTCAGGAGCAGCAGAGACTCATGGGCCAGGAGTGAAGTGAACCCAGGGGTGGTGTGGGGAGGTGAAGTTGCAGGTACAGGAGGCCACCCACGTGGGCCTAGAACCTAGGGGTGGTGTGGGGAGGTGAAGTTGGAGGTGCAGGAGGGCAGTGTGGGGAAGTGGTCGGAGGTGCAGGAGGGCAGTGTGGGGAAGTGAAGTCGGAGGTACAGGAGGGTGGTGTGGGGAGGTGAAGTTGCAGGTGCAGGAGGGCGGTGTGGGGAGGTGAAGTCAGAGGTGCAGGAGGGTGGTGTGGGGAGGTGAAGTTGCAGATGCGGGAGGCCACCCGCGTGGGCTTAGAGCAGCGCTAGAGGGACTTTGGCTTTGACCGGAATGAGATGTGGAACTGTTGGTGAGCTCTGAGGTTTGGACTGGCAAGATCTGAACTGTCTTTAGCAGAATCGCTCAGGCCTGCTGTGCACAGAATGTGAGGGGATGCAGTGGTGAGTGGGCCGGGGACGGGAGGCCGAGTGGCAGCCCAGGGAGAGGGACAGGAGGCTGCGTGGCAGCCCAGGGTGAGGAGGGGACTGGTGGGAGCGGGGGTGAGGGGCACTCTGCTTCTGCATCCTTCTCACAGTGTTAAGCCAGTGGTTGGCCGAAGAGGCGTGTTTGGGAGCTGGAGGCACTGGAGGCTCTCCAAAGCCTCAGACGCCAGCTGCAGGAGGAGGCGGCCCTGACCAAGGCCCCGGGGAAGAAAGCTCCTGTCCCCGCGCTTCCCGCCTAGTCTGTAGTAACCTTATGGCTCCTTGCCCTCCTTGGCCCACACCCTCTCTAGCCTGCTGGGTGCCTGTTCTGGGGGGGCAGTCTTACTCCTCTGTGTGCCACAGGCTCTGCCCGCCCAGGGTGGGTATCAGGAGGTGGGCCCCGCTCCTGTAGGCTTGGCCTGCAGTGGTGGTGCCAGGCTCGCTCCCACGTGTCGGCCCCAAGGCCTGCTTGGTGCAGGTCCTGGGTGATGCCTGAGGGGCCTGCAGGGGCCTTTTGGGCTGTACTTGAAAGGGTCACTGAGGCTCCCCAGTTTCCAGCAGGCCAGGGTCCTCCCTGCACTTGGTGTGTGTGCCTGCAGCCGGGCTGGGGTACCGTTGCCCTGGTGCTCCTCTCTCCAGGGATGGGGGTGGCGAACCCCAAGCGGGAGACGGGCTGGTCTTCCCAGTTGCTTTCGAGGTCATGCTTGGAACTGTAACCTGGGACTGTCCTGGCCTCCTTGTGTCTCCCTGGGTCTGGGTGTGAGAACCGTCTCACCCGGGGCCCCTCAGAGGTGTGCACCCCTCAGAGGTGTGCAGGGGGGTGGGGACTGCTGGCCTCCCTGGGCCATGGCGCTCTTGCCCTGATTCTCCTGCTGGCTTTCCGAGGGGAGCTGACCCCGAGACGGGCCTTTCTGCAGGGAGGGCTCGTGGCTCAGCCTCCTGTCTGTGGGGTATTTGGGGGTGGTTGCGGCGGAGCAAGGTGGTCCTCGCAGTGGCCGATTGGTGGGGCCCGGCTGCCACTGTTCTGGCTGGGCCACCCACCCCAGCCAGAGCTTACCTGCGCCGTCTCTCTCTGCCTGCCTTTCTGCCCCCACTGCCTCTTGCTGTGTGTCTGCCCGTCTCCCCCGTCTCTTGCTGGGTGTCTGCCCGTCTCCCCCGTCTCTTGCTGGGTGTCTGCCTGTCTCTCCCTGTCCTGGCTCTTGGGCCCCCTCCTCTTTCTCTGTGGGAATCATCGCTGCTCTTGTCTCTGTTCCCTTCTCTCTTTCTCTGAGTCTTTGCCTCTTTCTGTTTGCTACCCTTTCCCTACTCTTGTTTTCCTCTCTGCTGTTTTCTCTGTCTCTGTGTGTCTCTCGGCCCTCTCTCCGCCTGTCCATCCATCTGTCTCTGTCTCCCCCACTCGGCCCGTGCGTCCCTGCTTGCTCCGTCCTTCTGGGCCCTTGCTCTCTGCTGCCTTCCTCCCCTGCCTTCGCTCCTGGCTCCTTCTCGGCCCCCAGGCACACGGCACAGCAGGAGACCAACAAGACCATTGCAGCCAGCGCCAGCTCCGTGAAGCAGATGGCCGAGCTGCTGCGCAGCTCCTGCCCGGTATGTTCCTGGGGTCTGGGGCTGGGAGGGAGGAGAGGAATGGACCCCTCTGCCTGTGATGGGAGCAGGGATGTCACACGAGGCAGGATACAGGGAGGCTGACGTGTGTGGATGGACACAGACTGGCCTGGCACCCAGCCTCCCATGGCTCCATGGCTCAGAACCTGTGTGCAGCCATTCAGGCAGCAGCCGTGTGCTGACCACGTGCCGGGAGCTGGTGTGGCCACCTGAACTCTTGCTGTCCTTGGCTTATGCAGTAGTGGGGACAAGAGCACCCTGGGTCTTCCTGGCAAGGCCTTACTGGAAGCTGATGGCCCGCCATTGTTTGTTTCACCATCCTCTCCCCTGCTGTGCATCCCCTGCCCCTCTGCTGCATCCGCCACCCAAGGCCACCTGCACGTGCACCCTCCCTATCCCCTCACCTACCTTGGCGCCTTATCAGACGCATGGGCCTCAAGCCAGACATATGGCCGTGGCAGTGGCCATCAGCATACCCACTGCCACAGCCATCACTACCGTTCCGGCTCAGCTGCCCCAGGGCTGTTCCCTCATTTCCACCCTGTCCGCAATTTTTTTTTGTGTTTTTGAGACGGAGTCTTGCTCTGTCTCCCAGGCTGAAGTGCAGTGGCATGATCTTGGCTCACTGCAGCTTCTGCCCCCAGGGTTCAAGTGATTCTCATGCCTCAGCCTCCTGAGTACCTGAGATTACAGGCGCCCGTCACCATGCCCAGCTAATTTTTGTGTTTTTAGTAGAGGTGGGGTTTCACCATGTTGCTCAGGCTGGTCTCAAACTCCCGGCCTCAAGTGATCCTCCCACCTCTGCCTCCCAAAGTGCTGGGATTACAGGCATGAGCCACCACGCCTGGCCCTGTCCCCACTTCTGACTGTCCCCACACCCTCCGCTCCACCACACCAGGTCAGTGCCCAGTTGCTGAAGATTGGAGGGTACTTGTGACAAAAGATTAAATACTGCTGAACCCTAAGATTTTACAGGGCAGGAGTCAGCAAGCTGCAGCCTGCTGGCCCGAACCCGCTTCATAAGCACAGTGTGAGACTCTGGCTGTACCTGCTTCATGTATACAGTGTGAGCCGCTTGCCCACACCCGCTTGATGTGTACAGTGTGAGCCGCTGGCCATACCCGCTTCACGCGTACAGTGTGAGCCGCTGGCCATACCCGCTTCACGCGTACAGTGTGAGCCGCTGGCCATACCCGCTTCACACGTACAGTGTGAGCCGCTGGCCATACCCGCTTCACGCGTACAGTGTGAGCCGCTGGCCATACCCGCTTCACGCGTACAGTGTGAGCCGCTGGTCGTACCCGCTTCACGCGTGCAGTGTGAGCCGCTGGCCATACCCGCTTCATGCGTACAGTGTGAGCCGCTGGCCATACCCGCTTCATGCGTACAGTGTGAGCCACTGGTCGTACCCACTTCACGCGTGCAGTGTGAGCCGCTGGCCATACCCGCTTCATGTGTGCAGTGTGAGCTGCTGGCCGCACCTGCTTCACGTGCACAGTGTGAGCGAGACGCCAATCTGTCCCTGCCGTAGGTGCTGCCCATAGTTGCTCTCACTGCCTTGGGAGGGCTGGGGTTGCAAGTTCGGCCTGCTGCAGAGCCAGCAGCGTGGCTCAGCCAGTCCTACAGGGGAAATGCATGCCGCCCTCCCTGTGGAAAATACATGTGACGTGGCCAGTGCCGTGTTGGGTGTGGTCAGCAGTGAGGAGCGGAGAGTTAGGCAGGCCACAATGTGGTGAGGCTGGAAGACTGCATGCCCCCACGCAAGAAAACGCACAGTGTATGGTTCTGTTTGTGTGAAACATCCAGAAAATGCAATCTGTGGAGACCAGAAGTCGATGAGCAGTTGTCAGGGTTGGGAGCAGGGCTTGGTTTTGGGGTGCCTGCAGGCAAGGCGCAGGGCCCTTTCTGGGGTGATGGGCATGTTCTAAAACTGGGTTGTGGGGATGGCTGTACAACTAAGAGTTACTGAACTCTACACTTAAAGCGGGTAGATTTTATCAGATCTAAATTAGACAGTAATAAAACTTGTACTTAAAAAAGTAGAGTCAGTTCAAAAGTTAGTTACACTAAAAAACTGTAACAGAGGCAGCAGTCCCCTGTCCAGTGATGGGGTGGCCAGAGTCTCCCTAAAGGCAGATGACAGGAACACTGGGAGCTTTGTGCTGAGCGGCCTGGAGCCTTTCCATGCATGGGTCACTCCTCATAGCCATGGCTGCCCTGCGGGGACCACTCTGTGGGGACCAGGTGCTGCCCTGGCCTGTGCCCTCGGGCAGTGATGTCAGCAGCGTCATGACCAGCATCGACGCCTGTGTCTGACCTCTTCCTCTGTAGCTTTGTTCTCCATTCTCTGACTCAGGTGTGCCTGAGTCACTTATTCATTTACTCCTTCATCCAAGAATACACGCTGGGTCCCTCTTACGGGAGGCGCTGCGCTTACGTGAGGTGCTGAGCAAGGCCCCACATGGTGGAGGGTTGCGATTCTGAGAGGCGTTTCTGTGGGGTGAGAGCAGAGTTGGGTGGTCCGTGCAGGCAGTTTCCTCGTGAAGCGAATGGCTCCTTCACGCGGCTTGGTGGGTGCACGGTCAGTGCCTACCACGTCTTTGACTCTGTGGGCCGTGGACGCTTTGATGAGATGTAGTGCCTTCGATTGTGGGAAGAGGTCAAGGCTGTGGTAGGCTGCTCCCAGTGCCCCTCGGCTGTCAGAGGTTTACCCCAGACCAGCCCGCCTTAGCCTTGGCTCTCTCCAATCCTCCGATAGCCATGGGGTGGGTGCTGGGAGGAAGCTGTGGGCTCCTTGGTGCTGCTGCTGGTGGGTGGTGTCCACGGTGAGCCAGAGCAATGAGGCGGGCCCCAGGGCTGCGTGTCCAGCCCCACCCCGGCTCCGTGCGTGTCCAGCCCCACCCCGGCTCCGTGCTTCTCCAGCTCCAGCTCTGAAGCAGGTGCCTGGTGGGCACTGAGGTGTGGTGGCGAACATCCCAGCAGGAAGGAACTGGGGTTGGTGGACCCTGGAGGCCACGGGGAGCCCAGATACAGGCGAGATGCTGGGGAGGGGGATGGTTCTGGCAGTGGCCCCACCACCTATGTGACCACAGACAAGTCACTCGGGACTCAGGGCCACGACGTCCTGCGCTGTGGAAGAGGAGTCACAGTGCTGCTCGCGGAGGTGGTGTGGGGCCGGGTTTATGTGCCTTGGGTAGCTCCTGGCTCCGGCAGGTGGTGTTGACCCCTGCACCGGATTTTGTGGTGATGGTGTCCCTGGGGACCCTGGGTGTGCCTGTGGAGACGACGGTGACACGGAGGGGAAGTAGTTGATGGCGAGCCCCATTCTGAGTGTGGGAAGGTGGGACATCGGTACGGGAGGAGGTGTGGGTGGTGGGGGCTGCTGGGGCAGGGCCAAGCCTCCCATGCCGTGCCAGCTGTACCTTCTCTGCAGCAGGAGCGTCTGCAGCAGGAGCGTCCTCAGCTGGACCGGCTGAAAACCCAGCTCTCAGATGCCATTCAGTGCTATGGAGTGGTGCAGAAGGTGAGGTGCTGGTGGGGGCAGTGGGGGTCTGCAGGCCAGGTGGGGTCGGCCTCGGTTCCCGGAGCACTGTCATGGCTGTCTTGTCCCTGTGGGCCTGGTGCAGCCCCATCCCCAAAGGCAGAGAAGAGGGTTGTTCTTGCAGACAGTCTCTAGGCAGCCAGGATCCAGACTGTGCCTCAGGGCATGTGTCCTAGAGGACATTTACCTTCAAGAGCTGACCCACAGTAGCTCTGGGGAAGCAGGAAGAACAAGTCTCACCCTGCTCTGACAGGTGAGGAAACTGGGGCCCAGAGAGCTCCCACGCGTGGACAGAGGCCATCCAGCGACTCGCTGGCAGAGCTCAGCCCCGGCCCTGGCAGCCTCTTCTGGGAGTGGCATGGACAGAGGCCATCCAGCGAGTCGCTGGCAGAGCTCAGCCCCGGCCCCGGCAGCCTCTTCTGGGAGTGGCAGGCGTGTTTTGCTGCACCGTCGTCCAGAGCCCTGCACTCAGCTGACCATTTCTTCTCCCTTCCCCACCCTTTTTGCTCTTCCTGTCTTTCTTCTCTTGTCCTTTTTTCAACAGAAAATTGCAGAAAAGTCCAGAGCGCTGCTTCCCATGGCGCAGAGGGGCAGTAAACAGGTGGGTGCCGAGTACTGACCATGGTCAGTGGCTGTTAGGGGACAGCCCAGAATCCGCTGCCATCTGTGCTCCATGGAAGGGCGGGGAGGGCCAAGGGCAGGGGTGTCATCTGAGGGGCGCCCTGAGGCACAGCCTTGAAAACGTGGGCATTTTGACCTTTGGGCCCTGGCACAGTGCCTGACAAGGGCTCAGCTCCCAAAGAATGACTGCGGACGGTGCCATGTGCTGGGCAGGACTCACAGGTCAGACCAGCTCTCCTGCTGAGAGCCACTGTGAAACCTGGGTGAAAACACACACACACACGTGGCCGGGCGCGGTGGCTCACGCCTGGAGTCCCAGCACTGTGGGAGGCCGAGGTGGGCGGATCACCTGAGGTCAGGGGTTCAAGATCAGCCTGGCCAACATGGAGACAACCCATCTCTACTAAAAATACAAAAATTAGCTAGGCGTGGTGGCGAGCACCTGTCATCCCAGCTACATGGGAGGCTGAGGCAGGAGAATTGCTTGAATCCAGGAGGCAGGGCCGAGGTTCCAGTGAGCCGAGATCACGCCACTGCATTCCAGCCTGGGCGACAGAGTGAGATTCTGTCTCAAAAACAAAAACAAAAACAAAAAACACAGGCACATGCATACAGAAAAATGCACACATAGATGCACACAGACATGCAGACACACAGATAAACACAGATGCACAGAGATAAACACACAGAGACACAGACACACAGAGACTTGCAGAGACAGAGCTAGAGACACACAGATACACAGAGACATACAGATAAACACACATAGAGACACATGCAGATAAACACAGATGCGCAGACACATGCAGGTAAACAGACATGCAGACCCATGCAGATAAACACAGACATGTAGACACATGCAGATAAACACACAGAGACACAGATAAACACAGACATGCAGACACATGCAGATAAACAGACATGTAGACAACATGCAGATAAACACACAGACACATAAACACAGACACGCAGACACATAGACATGCAGACACATACAGATAAAGAGACATGTAGAGACACACAGATAAACACACAGAGACACAGACATGCAGACACAGATAAACACAGACACATGCAGATAAACAGACATGCAGACCAATGCAGATAAACACAGACATCTAGACACATGCAGATAAACACAGACACGCAGACACGTGCAGATAAACACAGACATGTAGACATGCAGATAAACACACAGAGACACAGATAGACATGCAGACACACATGCAGATAAATGCAGACACACGGATAAACAGTCACGCAGACATGAAGAGATGCAGATAAACACAGACACACAGACACATGCAGATAAACACAGACATGTAGACACATGCAGATAGACACCCAGAGACACACAGATAGATGCAGACATGCAGACACACATGGATCCAACATGGGGGAAACATCGGAGCAGCTGGGAGCCAAGCCTAGAGAGGCACGCATTCCCAGATCACTCAGGCTCATCATCACTGCCTTCTCACCCCCAGGACATTTGCCAGCTTGTGTCTCAGCTTATTGAGACTGAACAGCAGTGGTGGCTTATAGCTTTAGTGGTCTTACTGGGCTGGAGAGGCAAAAATTAGAGTTCAGGACCCTTAGGAATAAAACCCTAGAGCACAAGGGGATTGCAGCACTCGGTCCGTTTTCCCCTTGAGGCAGGCTTTTGCTGATCCATATTCGCTGGTGTGTGCGTGATGTGAGAGTCTAAGAAGTCAAGCAACAAGTACTTTACAGGAAAAGCTGAACAGAAATTGGAGTACCCTCAGAGTACTAAGAAGACGAAAGTTGGATTTTAAGGCCCACCCAGGAGGAGGGACTCTTGTAAACACAAGTTCTGCTTGAGACCATGAGAGATGAAGGTAAACCAGAAGTAGACCAGCCCTGACCAACCAAACCTAAAGTATAGCCTGGAATCATGTCTATGTTGTCTCTCCAAAGACAGAGGACAATCCCATCATCTAGAATCTCTGCAATTTTTCATACAGTGTTTGGGATTTAAGCCAAAGTCATCAGGCATCATAGGTAACAGGATCCAATTACTAAAGCCAAGGAAAAACAGGAAGTAGAAACTGACCAACAGGTGATGCAGATATTCAAATAGTTGGTTGGACACTCAGCTTATAGGTTGAGCATCCCTAAGTTAAAACTCCAAAATCCAAAATGCTCCAAAATCTGAAACTTGTTGAGCCAACCTGACGCACAAAGGAAATGCTCATTGGAACATTTAGGTTTTTGGATTTTTGATGAGGAATGTTCATCCAATAAGTACAATGCAGATATTCCAAAATCTGAAAATAAAATCCAAAATCTGAAAACAAGTTCAAAATCTGAAACACTTCTGGTCCCAAGCATTCTGGATGAGGGATATTCAATCTGTGTTATTAACATGTGAAAGGAAATAGTAAATGGTATAGACTTTTACCAGAGAACTTACATTTTATTTTAAAAAGGGAGTTCTGGTATTGAACAATATAATTAAAATTAAGAATTTAGTGGGTTAGCTAAATCTCCACATAGACAAAGCAGAAAAAAGGATTGGTGAATTAGAAGGCTGGGTATAAGAAAACTTATATTGAAATGCAAAAGAAAAAATGATAGAAAATCTAAAGAATATAGAGTCCTAGATGAACAGGAGAGAGAGAAAATGGATAGAAATAATATTTGAAGAGGTAACGATTGAGAGTTTTCCAAAACTGTCCAAATACTTCAAGTCACAGATTCAAGAAGCTCTATGAATAGATAAATTTCTCCTTTTAAAAAACCACCCTTGCCAGGCGTGGTGGCTCATGCTTGTATCCCAGCACTTTGGGAGGCCGAGGTGGGTGGATCACCTGAGGTTGGGAGTTCGAGACCAGCCTGACCAACATGGAGAAACCCTGTCTCTACTAAAAATACAAAATTAGCCGGGTGTGGTGGCACATGCCTGTAATTCCACCTACTCGGGAGGCTGAAGCAGGAGAACCACTTGAACCCGGGAGGCAGAGGCTGTGGTGAGCCGAGATTGTGCCATTGCACTCCAGCCTGGGCAACAAGAGCAAAACTCCATCTCAAAAAAAAAAAAAAAAAAAAAAAACTAGAGAGGCTGAGGCAGGAGAATCGCTTGAATCTGGGAGGCGCAGGTTGCAGTGAGCCAAGATTGCCATTGCACTCCAGTCTGGGCAACAAGAGCGAAACTCCGTCTCAAATAATTAAAAAAAAAAAAACAACCACCCTTGGCTGGGTGCAGTGGCTCACGCCTGTAATCCCAGCACTTTGGGAGGCCGAGGCAGGTGGATCACTTGAGGTCAGGAGTTTGAGTCCAGCCTGACCAACATGGTGAAACCCCGTCTCTACTAAAAATACATAATTTTTGTCGGGTGTGGTGGCAGGTGCCTGTAATCCCAGCTACTCAGGAGGCTGAGGCCGAGAATTGCTTGAACCTGGGTGATGGAGGTTGCAGTGAGCTGAGAGCATGCCATTTCATTCCAGCCTGGGGGACGGAGCAAAACTGTCTCAAAAAAGAAAAAACAAAAACAAGCAAAAACACCCTTGGTCATAGCATGATAAAAATTTGAAAACCAAAGGCAAAAATAAAATCTTAGAAAAGCAGATTCAAACTAGAAAAAAAATGTTAAGAGCACATTAAAGTCAGAGAAAAAAGTCACATGATTTTTAAAGGGACAAGACTGACACCTGACTTTCTTAGAAGAAACGATGGAATCCAGAAGACAGTGGAAATGTGCCTTCAAAACGCATGAGAAAAATAACTAATCTCCAGCTGCACCTTGGGGAAGACATGCTTCAGAAATAAAGGTGAAGTGAAAACAGTTTTAGAGGCACAAAAATGAGAGAACTCCTCATCAACAGAACCCCCTCCACGTGGAAAAGGAGTGATCTCAGAGGGAAGCGTGTCCCGGAGGAGGGAGTAAGGGACAATGGAAACAGTTGATGTGGCTGCGCCCAGGTTAACGTCGACGGTGGAACGGTGATGATGAGGACTGGCGGGCTTCAGATTATGGTCAGGTGTGTGCTATTGACAAAATGGCCCAGAAGACAGAGGGGAGGCAAATAGTGTTAAAGTGTCATGACGTCCTCGCATCATCAGAGAAGTAACATACACATCGAGGGCAGACTGAGTAAGTGTTATGTAGTAATATATGCAATTACTAAGGCAGAAATTAACGAAATATAAAACACGTTCAGTAGGCAAGTTAGCAAAGCCAAAATAATTGGCTCTTTGAAAGGGTTGTTAAACCCCTACAAGATTAATCAAGATAGAAAAAGAAAATACAGATTACCAGTTGTCAGAATGAAAATGGATAGATCATTACCAGTCCTACACATTAAAAAAAGAAAAACGCAGGGATGTTATAAACATCAATAAATTTGACAACTTAGAGGAGACTTTTTTTTTAGAAAACAATTTACCAAGAGGTACAGAAAATCTGGGAGTTTAATATTTATTAAAAAATTAAATCCATAATTTAAAAATATCCCACAAAGAAAACTCTAGACCTCAATAGCTGTATGGGTGAATTCAGTCCCATATTTGAGCAGTAGCTAGCAGCAGTTTACACATGCTGTTACAGAGAATACGGCAGGAGGAAGCACACCTTGCCTGCCTCATGAGGCCCCAGTACCTTGATTCCAGATTCTTACGAGGTTCCCAGGAAGGAAAATAACATGCCTGTCTCTGTTATGAACATAGACACAAAAGTCCTAAATATTAGTAACTTCAATCTAGCAATCTGTGAAAGGATGATCCATCATTATAAAGTGGGCTTTATTGTAGGGATGCAGGATTGATTTGCATTCAGAGTCTGTGTGTGATTCACCATGTAATATAGAATAAGTGAGGAAATGTGTACAGGTCATTTCAACAGATAGAAAAAAGCACTCGATAAAATTCAGCACTCAAGGAGGCTAAAAAACTCTTGGCAAACTAGGAATAGATAGGAGTGCCTTTAATCTGCCAGAAGGTATCTTCAAAAACCCTACAGTTAACGTTAGGCTTACTGAGGGATGTTAAAGTCTTTTCTCCTAAGATAGAAGATAAAACTAGGGCATCTAGTACTGTGGTTTCTGTTCCCCATTGTGCCAGAAGTTGTATCCAACGCAGTATGGCATGAAAAAAAAGAGTAGGATTGAGAAGAAACTGTGTTTCATAGACAGTGTGATTATGTCCATGGAAAATCCGAACGCACCTGTAGCGTGCTGTCAGAATTCATCAGTGAATGCGGCAGGACAGGTCACTAGACAAGAAGACATTGTGTATGCTGGCAAAAGACAGTTTGGAGAGGAAATTTAAAGACTGATATAATAAATTTATTACAATAGATAAATTTCTTCAAAAAATTCTATGAAGAGCGGTTTAAGGCCTCTACATTAAAAAACATGCCACATTACTAAGAGAAATGACAGATGACCTAAACCACGGAGGGGTTGCTGTGCTTATGGAGATGTCAGCTCTCACCCAGTGGATGATCTAAACCATGGAGGGGATACCGTGTGTATGGAGATGTCAGCTCTCACCCAGTGAATCTGTAGGCTCAATACAATCCCAATAAGGTTCCAGCAGGTTTTCAGTGTGTGTGTGTGTGAACTGTCAAGCTGATTCCAAAATGTATATGGAAATATGAAAGACCCAAGATAGCAAAGGCAATTTTGAAGAAGAACGAAAGGGATTTATACTATCAGGTATTGGAACACACTATAAAGCACAGAAATGAAAACAGTGTGGTGTTTGTGTGAGGCTAGACACACCAGCCCGTGGACACACCAGCCCACGGACACACCAAGCCGTGGACACACCAGCCTATGGACACACCAACGCATGGGACAGGGTGGAGACTGGACACGGACCACACGTACGTGGCGGCTGGGTTTGTGGCCGAGGTGGACTGCCCTGCCACGGGAGGTGGGTGATTCATTCAGAGCTTGATACGGATCACTCGGATGTTTGAACTGGAAAAAAAGGACCCTTTGCAAACGTCAGCTCACCCTGTGCAGAAAGCACTTCCAGCCGGACTACAGACCCACGTGCGAAAGATAAGGCAGTAGCACATCCAGAAGGCACCATGGGAGGCTCCCCGACGCCTTCACGGTGGACAAGTATTTCTTACACAGACGCACAAGTGCCAACCGCAAAGGAGAAGGTCGACACACTTTGTTAAAATTATACCCCAGGAAGAGAGTGCAGCCCACAGCACAAGACAGGGCGTTTGTACAACACGTGTGAAAAGGACTTACATCCTTAATATATAAAGATATCTTACAAATCAACAAGGAAAGGGCAGACAACTCTATTGAAAAACAATGAAAGGACAGCAGCTTTCCACAGGCACCTCACAGAAGAGGATTCCGGTTGGCTCATAAGCCTGTGATTGTGTACTTGGCAACACGAGTTATCAGAAAAATGGCAAAGAAACCCATGATGGTAAATCACCACACACCACACCCACACAAATAACTAGAGCAAACATGAGTGAAAACCTCTGCAAAAGCCGGGCGTGGGCTGCGTGCAGGCGGTTGCACTCTCATGCCTTTACTGGTGGGGTGTGCCTTTGCATCACCACTTTGGAACACTGTTCGAGAATATCAAGTTCAGCATTTTCTGACCTAGGATCTTGCAGTTCTGCCCAACAGACATGCATATTCAGTTGGCCCTTCGTATCCATGAGTTTCACATCCATGGATTCCACCACTCAGACTGAAAATATTTTTAAAAGATGGCAGCTGTTCTGAACATGGACAGCCTCTTCTTTTCTTGTCATCATTTCCAAAACAATACGGCAGAACAACTATGCTATTTACTACATAGCATTTACATCATATTAAATATTATAGGCAACCTAGAGGTGATTTAAATATATGGGAGGATGTGCGTAGGTTGTATGAAAATACCAAGTCATTTTATATCAGGGACTTGCGCACCCACAGATTCTGGTATCTGTGGAAGTCCTCGGCCACTCCCCCGTGGAGACAGGACAACTGTGTGTTGACAGAAGTCACATGGGAGAATGCTCATAGCAGCCCCCACGCAGTGACACAACCTGGAACACCGCCCAGTCTGACCAGCACAGAAAAGCAGCACCTGCTGAATTCATGCCACGGGGGACTCCACAGCAGCCAAAAGAGTGAGCTGTGGCCACCACGCCCACTGGTGATGTCTCGGACATAACGCTGAGTCCAAGCTGAATTCATGCCACTGGGGACTCTACAGCAGCCAAAAGAGTGAGCTGTGGCTACTGTATGATCAGTGGCCCCACCAGTGATGCCTCGGACATAACGCTGAGTCCAAGAAGCCTGAGACCCAAGGGGATAGACTGTGGGATTCCATTTCTGTAGTATTCAGAACCAGGCCCCACTGGTGGACAGTGTTAGAAGTTGGAACTGGGTTCTCCTCTGTTGGGGGCCTGGGATGACAGGTGCTGGAGGGAGGCCCCGGGGGTCCTGACCAGTGTCCTGTGTCTTGGCTGGGATGTGTTTCCTTTGTGAGCAGTCATAGAGCTATATCCTTTGCACCTGGCATTGAAACACAGATGTATTGCCTTTCGGTAGAATTTTCTTTTAAAAAGGTGGGGAGTGGCCAGTAGTGCTTCTGAGAAATCATGGAAGGTTAGATTATTTCTAGGAATTTGCAAACTATAAATGATGAGATGATATGCAACCCTGTTCAACAAAAGGACTGTTGCCAAGTTGATGCTAGGCTGATGTGGGGGGACTGGGGGGCTGCTACTCACAGGCCGGGCAGCCCTGGCAGGTGCGAGGGGCACTTGCTGCCTTCCCCGTCTCTTGCCTGTCTCCCCTGGGTGTGGGGTGAGCAGCTCAGCCTGTGTGGAGTTGGCGATCCTGGCTGTGGTCCGTAGTTTTCAGCTGGGTCGAGGGTCAGTCTCAGACCCAGCTTGGGCTCAGCCAGTGAGCAGCATCCCAGTCCCTGGGGCAGCATCAGGGCAATGGCCCCAGTGGCAGGTCATGCTCTGTCTCTGCCGTCACTGGCCACCTCAGCCTACATTTCCACCAGGACTTCGTGTGTCCCCAGCCGGGCTGCAGAAGTGAAGACCTGCTTCACTCTCACGGGCTGGCTGGAAATTGCCTAGACACGCCTCCATGTTTGAGGCACAGGGCTGGAGGTCGCCCCTTGTCTCTGGGTCCATTTCCCTTTGATTTAACGTGGGGCTGGGGGAAGCATTGCCACAGCCGTGTCCGTCCTGATGTTCTGGGCTTTGCCTCCAGAGACTCCACCAGTGAATAAATAGAGTCTGTTGCTGCTTGGAGGAAACAGTGAGCTATCTGGGGCTCCTGAAAAGACACCACCACTCCCTGTGTGAGCGCCTCTTGCCCTGGCCCCTGCCCTCCCTCGGGTCGGAGTGCATGAGAAAGTGGTCTCCTTCCCAGAGCCTTGGAGAGCCCTGAGCGCCGGCCTCGGGTCCCTGCTTTCTGAATGCCTGGCAGAGCGGAGTCTCTTCCCACGGGAAACCGTGTGTGCCCTGTCTCCAGCACTCACGTTAGAGCATGTCTCTTCCCTACGTGTCGGAACAGGGACCCAGGCCCTGAGCCCTGTGGGGAGGAGAAAGCCGCCTTTGTCTGTCTGCCTCTTGAGCTGGAAAACTATCACAGGGCCGTCCCCTCTGCGCTTGCCCCAGCACCTTGCCAGCAAATCCCTAATCCCAGCCTCGGAGCTCAAGACCCAAATTGGGCCTTTGTGGGGAGAATAAAGGAGCGCTTTGTGAGCCTTTCAGGAGGAGGCCGCGGAGGGACCCGGGCGTCTAAGCCATCTCTTCCTCCCCTGGCTTTTGTCCTGCACTGCTGGGGAGAGCGGCACCAGGCCCCCGATCCTCCCGCTGTGGAGGTGAGGGAGACCGAGCACCTGCGGGGTCTCCTCTGGCCCGCACCCCAGCCCTGCCGCCTTCCTGGGTGTCCACACGGCTCGCATCCCAGTGTGACTGCCTTCCTGGGTGTCCACACAGCCCGCACCCCAGCCTGGCCGCTTTCCTGGGCGTCCACACGGAACCCCGTTTGCACCCCCCTCCCACCCCTGCGCCCTCCCCTATCCTCCTGAGCTTCCCCTTCTCCACATGCAGGAGGTGGCATCAATCCCAAGGCACAGATCCGAGGCAGGTCTCCATGGGTGCCTGGCACCCTCTGCCCACAGCTCCTGGGGAGCTGTCACTGAAACCCCCAAGTCCAGGGAACATCGCACAGAACGTCCTGTGGTGCCTTCTCCACCTGGCCATCTCACTCGCCCGCATTAGCTGCCCTGGAGGATTTCATCGTGGGAGGGAGCACATTTCCTCCAGCCCCCTCGCCTGTGGCTGTTTGCTGTCAGGGCCGAGGGCAGGCTCCTACATCTCCGTCCTCGGGCACACCAGCCGGGCTGCCCCGGGGACCTCTTACCTCAAAAGTTTGTTATGTTTACCTGGGGGCTTTGACTTTACCCAGGCCACGGGACCCCAGTCAGTGGGGCTGTTGTAGGGCCTGTCACCGCTGGCAGGAGGAGGCTGTGCTCAACCGTCATGCCGCTCTCCAGGGGCGTGTATGGCCATGTCCCCCCTGGGAGGAACGTCTCTACCCCGTAGCTCACAGCGTTGGGAAAAGCACAGCTCAACCTGGTTTCCCACCTGAGTCCGGAAGGTGGCATCTCATGGCATCTCTGCTGTATGCTGCAGCCTTGCATGCCTCAGCTCGAGCTCTCCAGGCGACACTAGGACGTGCTGAGGTCAGCTCCATCCCCTGGAAGTGAAAGCTGGAGGCTCAGGGAAGCTGAGGACCCTCCCCAGGCCCACACAGGAAGTGAAGGGCAGTGTTCCTGAGCCCTCACACCTTAGGAGAGCCTCGTGCTCGGGTTCCTGGTGGAGTGAGGTGCACAGCTGCTGTGCTCTGCAGACATGAGGGGTCAGACCGTGTGGGTGGAGCTTGAGGGGCATAGACCACGGGGCTGTGAGTGCCGCTGCTCCCATTCTACAGATGAGGACAGTGAGGCCCAGAGAAGGGCGTGGCATGCCTGGGGCCTCACAGCCGGCACCACTGCTGGGCCGGAACCTGAGCCCAGGCTCTTTCTGCAAGAGCCCCGGAAGCCTAGGGGCTGGAGCCGTAGGAAGGAGGCGTTGGGGTTGCTGGGCTTGGCGCGAGGCCAGCGCCTCCCTGGGCTCCCACCGCCAGGCACTGCTCACTTCCTCCCGCCCACTCCAGGAAGGGGAGGTGATAATTACCACCTTGGACGAGTTGCGCTTGTCAACAGATTTTTTAGATCTTTTATTTTATATTCATCTATCCACATATTTATTTATTTAAAGGCTTCTGCTAGCTTCTACCCGTGTCAGGGTGGTGTGTAGGAAGAAGCTGGCTTGGGAAGGAGAACCTGGCTAGGGCAGCCTCACCATCCCACCTGCAGGACCTGGGCAAGGTGCCCTTTAGACGAGGGTGGCCGTGCCCCTGCCGAGGGGCCTGAGGAAATGGGAGAAAGGAAGTAGCACCTAGCCTCGTGCTGCATCCCTCCTGGGGTGGCCGGTGCTGTGGCTGTTGGTCCTGTTGTCTCCAGCCTCATGCCACGTCCCTCTAAGGTTGCTGTGGCTGTTGGTCCTGTTGTCACCAGCCGTCTCGGCAGACTGTGGGGACTAGTGAGGTCGCCCCATCCTGGATGCAGTCATACCAGCATACAGCCCTCCTAGCCTCGCACCTGCCTGGGGTGGCTTCTGCCAGAAACGCAATGAAGTGCTTGTTTGTAGATCCACTGGTTCGGTGTCCAGCCGGGGTTCATCTGTCTGTATTTGGTTGTCACCTGTCCATCTGCTCCAGTCCCAGTGCCTGGCGTAGGGTGGGTACCATGGGCCCCCCATGGGTGTTCCTGGAAAGAAAAGCATGTGAGACGGGGCGGAGCCCTCCGTCTCCTGTGTGGTGTCTGGGGTCTTCCTTCCAGCGGCCAAGGCGCAGTCCTCTCCCCACCTTGGCCAAGAGAGGGTTCTCGGGCCTCAGGAGGCGGGGCACCTCGCTGGGCCCTGGGCATAAACGGGACCCAGGCTGGGCGGTTTTTGGGAGCAGCACCTGCTGGGAAGCCAGGCAGGGCCAGTGACTGCTCCAGGGGAGGTGATCCCCCTGCTACCCCGGGAGGCCTCCCCAGGAGCGCTCACAGAGCTTCCTCTGGCCTGGGGTCTCTGCACGTGCCCACCCTGAGCTACATGGCATGGTGAGGCAGCTTTCAGTTTGGGAAAGGGCAGAAGATGAGCAAGTTGCAGCCTCTACAGCTTCTTTGCAGGGCGACTGAGGTTATAGTCCCCGAGCGCTGGGGGAGCCGGCAGAGCAGGTCCTGTGAGCCAGGCTGCCCTGCAGCCCATGTCCCCAGATGCCCACACACACGGGAGGGGCATGGCAAGAGCTCTGGACGTGAGTGGGATGGGTTGGGGTGGCAGCTGTACCCCTAGTGCCTCCATGCTTAGTGCTGACGGAGGATCCTTCACTGTGCCTTGCCTCCTGGCCTGCATGGCCAGCTGCTCTTGGTGGACAGTGCTGTCCCTAGGCACAGCGGAGGCCAGCAGGGTCCAGTGGGGAGAGATGAGGCAGAGAGGTTGCCTGCACCCCAGGTCTAGCCTGGATTTCCATTCCCAGTCAGTTCCACACATTGCACCCAGATCTCATGCCTAGGGCGACACCTAGGCAGGGCCCTGTGCCCTCAGAGGCTAGGACCTGGCAAAGCTGTCCACACTGCCTGAGGGCCCTGATGAGCAGAGGCGCAAAGCTGGCTGGGACCCCGTGCTTTGCGGGGCCTTTCCCAGACCTGGGAGAGGACGTTGATTATGTTCCCCGCAGAGGGCTGGGGAGACGGGGGTGGGGACAGCAAGGGAGGGGGCCTGTGGCTGAGTCCCTGGCTATGGTGTGAGCTGGGCAGCCCCCATCCTGAGAGTCCTGTCCCAGCAGGGGCTCTGATCCAGGCCCAGCAACTGTGCCTCCTGCCCCACTGCCACAGAAGGCCCCGAGGCATCGGGACCGGCACAGCCCCCACCTCTGTCAGATCCTCCTGTCCAGACGTGGTGACACCTACTGGGCCAAGACCAGTGGCCGGACGAGTCAGCTGGGAGAGCACCTGCCTGGGCAGGCAGGGTGGTCTGAGGATTTGTGTCAGGGGGTGTGTGTGGGCATAGCATGAGTGAAGCTGAGGGGAAGCTGGATCTGGGGGCAGGGCTGAGGGCGCCATGGGTCTGCTCCTGAGGGCTGCAGGAGCAGCAGCCTGGCCAGGTTTGCTGAATTGCACGTTCACTGCAGAGTGGCTTGGGTGGCTGTGAACTCCCTGAGTCTCCCATATGGTGGGTGGGGGGTCATTACGGTGCCCCAGGAGCATGAGGAGCAAGTAAAGGTAGCAGTGGCCGGCGTGGCATCAGTGGGCCTGGCACACGTGGCACTGTTCGTTGTCAGCCATCCCCACCGCTGTCGCCTTGTCCTTGCACTCACCGAACCTTGATGTGTGTCTGAGGGCAGGCGCTGCTGCAGAGCCCCACGGGCTCGCCCTGATTTAGCATGGTGCCAGCCCCACCTCGCTCTGCCTCAGTGTCCTCGGCTGTTGTGGAGGCCCTGGCTCCTCCCTGCAGGGTTTTCAGGAAGATCGGGGGCACGGCTGAGTGGAGCAGGTGCTCCTGGTGAGGCCGGTCCTGGCCAGGCCGCCACCTCAGTTTTCTGCTCTGCCCATTCTCGGTGCCTTTTCCTGTCTCCCTTTTTCCCTCACACACACACAATGTCACATGGTCACACATCCCACAACCACACAGGCACTCACAGTCACACATGCATAACCACACACACCTTCCTAAGGTGAAGGAAGGCCCGCTGGCATGGGCAGGGCAGGTGGGGGGCACTGTGGCCGGGCTCCTGACGGGAGGGGAAGGAAGGCCCGCTGGCATGGGCAGGGCAGGTGGGGGCACTGTGGGCTCCTGACGGGAGGGGAAGGAAGGCCCGCTGGCATGGGCAGGGCAGGTGGGGGGCACTGTGGCCGGGCTCCTGACGGGAGGGGAAGGAAGGCCTGCTGGCATGGGCAGGGCAGGTGGGGGCACTGCGGGCTCCTGACGGGAGGGGAAGGAAGGCCCGCTGGCATGGGCAGGGCAGGTGGGGGCACTGCGGGCTCCTGACGGGAGGGGAAGGAAGGCCCGCTGGCATGGGCAGGGCAGGTGGGGGGCACTGTGGCCGGGCTCCTGACGGGAGGGGAAGGAAGGCCCGCTGGCATGGGCAGGGCAAGTGGGGGGCACTGTGGCCAGGCTCCTGGCGGGAGGTGAAGGAAGGCCTGCTGGCATGGGCAGGGAAGGTGGGGGGCACTGTGGCCGGGCTCCTGACGGGAGGGGAGGAAGGGCTGTGGGGTGGGATCACCGCTGTTGTCGCGTTTTCAGTTCGGTATGAACGTGTGCACCTGGAGGGGGCGGCCGCAGCATGGACCCTTCCTGCCTCCTGCCCACCCTCCCCTCTGCTGGGTGCTCCCGGGCCCCTACACCCCCACTTGGGACCTGATGCGGGGGGGCTGATGACACTGGGGACTGACGTCTGTGGTCTTTCCCAGGTGACCGGCGCCTGGGAGGCCCAGATTGATGCCCAGTGACAGGCTCGTGGCCGCAGAAGGCCCCCGCCTCAGACCCAGATCGTCCCCTCAGAGAGCAGATGGGGATAGTGAAGGGAAAAGCACCATTTTGTTGAATTTCTGGGCCTGGGTTGTGGTGGTAATGGGAGGGGTCAGTGCTAACAAGATCTGTCTGTCATCAGCAGAGTCCCCAGGCCCCGTTTGCCGAGCTGGCTGATGATGAGAAGGTCTTTAACGGGAGTGACAACATGTGGCAGGGCCAGGAGCAGGCGCTGCTCCCGGACATCACTGAAGAGGACCTGGAGGCCATCCGGCTGCGGGAGGAGGCCATCCTGCAGATGGAGGTGAGGCTGGCGTGGGCAAGCGTGCTCACTCTCCACACTCCACATGAGGCTGGGAACCAGAGGAGCCCAGGTGCCAGCCTGCTGCACCATTGCTTGCCCTTGACCTGGAGGGGCTGGAACTAGGCCTCCATGGCCTTGCCCATTCTAACCACCTCTCTCTGGCCATCTGGTCCAATAAGGGAGAGACGGGAGTCTGGGAGCCCCATCCCCATCCCCTCCTTCCTGGGTTTCCCTAATAGGGCACAGCCCTCTGGCCAGGAGCTGGGGTCTATGCTGGGGTAGCCTCTCAGTCACCATGGCCATTTCATTTGCTGTGTGGTTAGACTTCCAGGAGGCTGTTTAGCTCTAATGAAGATGATTTGGTGCTTAATGCAGTTCCCAGTAACTTTTTTTTGAAAGGTTGAATAAATTGCTCAGAACCGAACCTGCAATTTGGTGGTGCTACCAGCAGGTGGTGGGGTGAGCTGTCGGGGTACAACTGTAGAGTGTGGGCATTGGATGCTGCTTATTTTTCGTTTCTTTAAAGTTTACACATGTATAATACTTATTTTTTACACATGTATAATGCTTATTTTTCATTTCTTTAAAGTTTACACATGTATAATACCTGCTGCCAAATGTGTCTCTAGCCTATGGTTAATCTCTTAAGACAGTTGCTAAAACAGAGTATCCCAAGAGGCACCTGAGTCTGAGCATGTGTGTATGTATGTGTGTGTGAGTGCATGCACGTATGCATGTGTGTGTGCACGTGTGTGCGTGCATGTGAGTGCGTGCGTGAGTGCGTGTGTGTGCATGCGTGTGATGCATGTGAGTGCGTGTGTGCATGCAAGTATGCGTGCGTGCGTGAGTGCGTGTGTGTGCATGCATGTGTAAGTGCATGCATATGTGAGTGAGCCTCTTCTCTCTTGATGCCTGAGTGTACATAGAACACATCAATCAGGCAGCGTGGGGGGGACACGCTCTGTTGGCGGTGGGATCCGAGCCTCTGCGTGTGACCTTGAACGTCCTTCCCTTCCTCTGGCCACCTCATCTGCAGAAGGCGCTAGGGCCTGCCCACTCTGAAGCTCCCAGAGGCTGGGTTTCCAGAGCAAATGTCTGCTAAGAGCTGACTCTTCTAGAAAAGCAGAGGCCTGGCAGTAATTCAGCTAAGTCACTGGGTTAGTACCTGTGGCTGGTTCTGCTCTCCCAGGGAGCAGGTCTTCCACTCTCGAAGGAAGGGAATACCCCACAGTGCTGGGGCTCAGCCCCTTCTCCCTTGCCCCTTAGTTCTGTGGCCCCCACCTCCCTGCCTCTGCTGTGGCAACCCCCTACTTTGACCTGGTGGAGGAGCGCCCATTTCTCAAGACCTGTGTTTGGGGCCCCCGCCTCCTCTGTGAGGTGTCATCCCCTTCACCCTTTCCTGTCCTCGGGCTCCCTGGAGAGGAAGGCACCAGCTCTGGGCCTGTGGCCCTGGCTGGAGGCTGCTTCGGGGGCTTCTCTCTGGGGCTGAACGAGCCCTTTGCTGCTGCTGAGATGCTCCAGAGAACCACCCGAAGCACAGAGATGGTTTCCATCCCTTCCTGCTGGTGCACGAGGCCCACTGTTCCCAGAGGAGTGGAGAAACGGGTGCTCGTGAGCTCCTCCAGGAGCACTGCCCTGAAGGCTTCACAGCTAGAGAGGCAGACGGACCGCTTCCCCTTTGTGCTGGAATTGAGATCCTCCTGGGAAGGTCCAGTCACAGCCCCTCGGGCGGCTCAGGCTCAGCCCTCCCTGTGGGGCATAGAGTGTCGTGAGGAGAGAGGAGGCGCTGCTTATTGATTAAGTCCAAGGAGTGGAGGTCGCTCACAGAAGCTCATTCTGCCAAAAAGCCCAAACCCCCACAGAGGGCTGCGGGCATGAGGAGGCCGTTAGAGGGCAGCGTCCAGGGAGAGGCTTGGCTCCTGGCCCACCTCCAGCCTCCTGGCGCTCACTCAGCAGCATCTGTGGCACGGGTCTCGGGGTTCCGGCGTGGCACCTTCACCTGAGGGGCTGGCTTCTCACTGTCCTGGCCTGGGAGTCCTGCTCCCAGGGCCTGGTGAGGGCTCGTGCCCGGTGCAGCCACCCCAGGATGGGGTTCAGAGGAGTGGAGGCTGGGGCTGGCTGCCCCGTCCGCGATCCTCTGTGTGAGGGCCTCTCCAACCGGCAGTCCTGGCCCCGGGTTCCCTCTGGCACTCTGTGTGGTGAGTGTGGGCTGAGCAGCGGCCTTTCCCAGGGCAAGGGCGCCCCACGTGGAGGCCACTGCAGTCGTCCAGCTCAGAGATGGAGAGGCCTGGGCCAGGGCGGGAGGAAAGCTGGGGCTCTGGGCTGAACTGAACTCACTCGGGCCTGGGCTTGCATCTAGACCAGAGGACCCAGGTGGCCTGGGCTCTGCCTGTGGCCCTCGGGGACCCTCACAGCTCAGCACTGTGCGGACGGGGGGTAGCAGGGGGGCTGGGAGTGGTGCAGAGTGGGCAGGCCCCATGGCCAGCCTGGCCCTTCTAGCCTCACTTTCTTTGTCTGCAGCATGGGGGTGACGCAGAGGATGTGGATCTTCATGCCAGCAACAGCAGGCGCGGGACGGAGGGCGGCGGGGTGGGAGTCGTTCTTGGAAGGCGTCTGTACACCTCACTGCATCACTCCCTCCCTTTGGTCTCTGAAAACGGGAAAAACAAAACGCAAATTGTCATTAGCCTTTAGGAAGCCCTCCCCACGGTCTGCAGCAGGTCCCGGTGACAGTAACTCCAGCGTGACGCATGAGAGGCTGTGACGCAGCGGAGGTCGCACGTGCCAGGCCCTGCTGGCCCGATTGCTCTGCAGCCATCTTTGCAGCCTGCGCAGGGCTCGGGGGGTGGGCGGCAGGGTTTTGTGGAGCTGTGTTACGCACCTCGGCTGGCTGTAGCCCTTTCCTGTGGAGCCGGCACCCTCATCCCCTCATCTCTCCTCCCACATTCACTGGGGGCTTTGGGATTTGCAAGATTTTGTAGGTTCAGAAGTCCCCTAGGGCAGACTTGAGGTCTGAGAGAGAGCCCCCTTTGTGGCCAGCCTTCAATGACTTACTAGGTGGCTAGTGGGGTGTGAACACACGGGCCAGCTGAGGCCCAGGGAGGGGAAGCAGTATCACAGTAGTGGGCCAGTGTTGCGCGATTCCTGGTGCCCACTTTCCGCCTTGCTCTTGGTCTCCTCGAGTGTCCGTGGCTGCTGTCAGGCAGGGTGCAGATCGGGGTTGTGTTGGGGGCTCCTGTCCACTGGGACAGATGGCCACGCCCAGCATCCCTTTCCTTTGTCCTCCTTCCCAGCATCATCCTTGGGACAAAACAAAGGGCCAGGCTGGGGACATGCTGTCCTGGCTTTAGGCCCGTGTCCGCTCACTGGTTGGGTGACCTTGAACCCCGATTTGCCTCATTCATTTCATCTGTGAAGTGGGCAGGTGGAAGGTCGCTCTCTGTCCTCAGGGACTTGCCAGCTGGGACAGCCCGTGTGGCCGTAGGCAGAGTGTAGCGGGCCGTGTGGAAGTGACAGCCTGTCAGAGGACCCAGGGGGTGCCATGAGGCTGGCTTGAGAGGCCACCCACGGGAGACAGTGGAGAGCAGGCCAGCCTCCGTTCTGGGCAGTGACCTTGCCCCCGCCCAGGCCTGGTGCAGTCGGATTCTGAGGGAGGGTGTCCTGCCCCGTCCTGGGGAGCCTGTGGGGACCGCCGAGACCCACCCTGAGGACCCCTGCTGGCTTCCATGTGCCCCTGAGCACCCTGCCCTGATCTGAGCATTGCTGCTTCCACGGCGTGCCCTCCTCAGGGAGGCCCTCCCCACTGCCCTCGACTGCCCTAGCCCCCTGTCCGCCTCCCACGGGGAGTCTCTGGTTGGTCCCTGCCCTGACAGAAGGTGAGCGGCCCTTGCTTGCCTGGGGTCAGCCCCATCCCCAGAGCCTGGAGTAGTGGGCTCCACAGCGACTTGCCAGTACTTGTGGAACCGACGTGTCAAACTGGCCAGTGCCCCCAAAGACAGTGACTGCCCTTCCCCCACAGTGACCACCTCTCCCCCATGACAGTGACCGCCCCTCCCCCATGACAGTGACCACCTCTCCTCCATGACAGTGACCACCCCTCCCCCATGACAGTGACCACCCTTCCCCCATGAGTGACCACCGCCTCCCCCATGACAGTCACCACCCCCTCCCCCATGACAGTCACCACCCCCTCCCCCATGACCATCACTGCCCCCTCCCCCATGACGGTGACCACCCCCTCCCCCATGACCATCACTGCCCCCTCCCCCGTGACAGTGACCACTCCCTCCCCCATGACCATCACCACCCCCTCTCCCATGGTAGTGACCACCCCCCCATGACAGTGACCACCTTCCTCTTCCACAGTGACCACCCCCTCCCCCATGAGTGACCACCCCCTCCCCCACAATGACCACCCTTCCCCCATGACAGTCATCACCCCCTCCCCCGTGACAGTGACTGCCTCTCTCCCATGAGTGACCTCCCCCCTCCCATGACAGTGGCCGGCCCATCCCTGATGATAGCCAGCCCCCAGTGCTAGGCCTGTCCTGAGCCCTCACTGCCGGCACCCAGGATGGACGCAGGTCCCACAGGTAGCATCTCATCCCTGCGCACAGGGTGTCCTGCAGAGCCATGCTGCAGGGCTGTGTGGTGAGTGCAGGGGGTTGGAGGTGCAGGCAGAGGCTAGGCCAGCCCCAGAGCATTCCCAGCCTGAGTCTGGGCAATGGACGGCCCAGCTGGAAGCACACCAGGCCACGTTTCTCTTTACTGGTTTATGTTGGGCATCTTCCTTTTTCTCTGCTGTGCAGGAATGGAGTTGATAAATACACTAAAGTTCCTCTGAGAGCAGAAGTGGAGCCACCCAGCGGCCAGTGGAGGCTGAGGGCTGCCAGTGACGGGGGCCTGCCCCCTATGTGTTCTGTGGCCTGTTCACTGGCCGCAGGGCAGCCGTCTTTGGCCTGCATGGGGCCCTGGCCCTCTCCATGGTGCTGGGACTCTCCGCCAGACAGGCCCGCTCCAGCTGCATACACAGGGGTGTTAGAGGAGCAGAGCGGCCACCCAAGAGTGAGCAGGACCTGGGGCCGGCTCAGTGCACAAGCTCCCTCCAGGGAGGACACCATGCCCACTTCCCAGTGGGGGAGGCCACAGGGCTGGAACCCAGGCAGTCTGACTCCGACCCAAGTGCCATCTGTCTCTGGAGGGTGCAGGGTCTGGCAGCCCTGGAATTTGAACTTTTCACCTGGGGCTGCCCACCATCTCCCAGAGGAGGGTCGTAGCGGGAGGGGTTGTGCCAGTCACATGTGGGAGCTGAGTCTGCTTATGGGTTGCTCGGGTGGGAGAAGGCTCGAGGGGTCCCGGAACATTGCCTGTCTCCACTGTGTACTCACTCCCCTCCCTGGGGCTCCCCTCCCTGCCTGAGCTGAGAGGTAGCCTGTCTCTGGCCTTCCAGCCTTGGGTAGCCCCTGGTGCTGGTCCGGGCTGGAGCCCCGAGCCTCCCAGGACTCCGGGTGTTGGGTATCCAGGTGCCGCGGAGGTGAGTGCTGGCGGCTGGCAGCCTCCTGGCCAGTGGCTCTGTCTGGATGGGGGAGAAGATGGAGAGGCCATTCCCATCTCATCACCGGGAGTGTGAGCTTCAATTGTGTCTGAGCAGCAGTGCGAGCCCTGGCATGGGCGAGGAGGTGTCTGAGCATCTAATTAGGTCGTGTCCAGGAGCCACTGCCCGTCCCTGCAGCAGCAGCTCCTCTGTAGGGCTGTCTGCTGACTCTCAGCTGTCTGCCTGTCCAGCCAGGCCCTCCGAGCTCCTGCAGCTGTGCCGGCCCTGTATGGACCCTGCTGACCGGCCCCATCTCCTCTTGGCCTTGGCCAGGAGAGAGCTGGCTTCCAGGACAGCTGCCTCCACCCTCTGCACTGAGCTGTGGGAATCCCAGAGGAGGCAGGGTGCCCACGGCCACACAGCAGGGCCGCCAGCTGCCGCCAGGAGCCCAGGCCAGAACCATGCCCGGTGCCTCCCAGGTCACTCTCTGAGCCCTGGTCTCCGACTCCTGCCAGATGGTTGGGAATGAGAAGGCCCTTGAGATAGTGACTGCAAAGTGCTTTGCAAACTAGTCCGAGTGATGCTGTGGGTGAGGGCGTGAAGGACAAAGGACAGCCCTCAGCCTGGTGTTTGGGCCCTTGCTGTTTCCCCAGGTGTTAGCGAGGTGATTGATCCCTGCCTCGTCCCTGCAAACTCATGCCCTTCGATTCTCCCAGGGGCCCTGGGCACCCTCTTGGCCTTTGCTGCGTCTCACCTCTGGTGCCCTTCCTCACACCGCCCTCCACCTTCCCTCTGGCCACTCTGCATCCTCTGAGGTCCGCAGGGGGTCCCAGCCCTCTGCAGACCCTGAAGCAGTTTGCTCTTTCCTCCCCTCCCTGGGCTCCCTTACTCCCTCTCCTCGTGGCCCCTGGGTGGGCTGCCCCTGCCCCTGTCCCAGCTGCCCCTGCCCCTGTCCCTGCCCCTCCAGGTGGGGCCTAGGTAACCTTTTTTATTTGACCAAGATAAAGAATAGGGTGGCTGTGGTGGCCAGGGGAAGCTTAGTGCCAAGGCTGGGCCAGTGTGGCCCCTCCTCTCCCGCCCCCACTGCAGCCCCACTTCCTGCTTGCTGAGGGCCCCATGGGGCTGAAATGCATCCCTGCAGTGTGTGGGTAGATGCAGATGCTCCAGGGCAGAGCCAACAGGTGGCGTCTGAACACCAATAGCACCCAGTTAGCAGGAGATGACCCTCGATCCGAGGTGGCCAGAGCTGTCTGGCAGCCAGGCTGGTGGGAGGGATGACAGCCAGGTCTCCAGGAAGCTTCCTTGTCCCCTGCGGAGGGAAGCCTGCAGGCCTCAGGTGTCTTCTAGACAAGGAGAAGTAGGTGCTGGTCCAGGATCCCAGGCTCAGGCACAGCCATACCACTGGGCCATGTGACCCTGGGCAGGTCTCTCCTGGAGCCTCGGTTTACTTATCTGTAAAATGGGCACAATGACACCAGCCTCTGCTGGCCTCAGGGTGAAAGTGCCACGGTGGAGTGTAACTGCCTGGCGAGAACTCAGGCCTGGGAAGAACCCGCGCCAGGAGGTGTGGCCGTGGCTGTCCACGTGCCCCACACCCACCCTCCTGCCACGCTGGGATCTCCACCTGCCCCTCCCTCCTTCAAGCGTCCCGGCCCTCTGCCTCGGGAATGCGGCCAAGCTCTGGGGTGAGCAGGTGAACCCTGGGCTTTGCTGTTGGCTCAGCAGCTCACTGTACGCTAAGGGGTTAGCCTTGCACTGCTGCCAGCTGGGGTGTCGGTGCCACTGAGAACGGCAGCAGATGCTGCTGATGGCCTGCGGTGCGGCTGCTCGAGGGAGGGGTTTGCGTTTTCTTGGGGACTCCTGAGGAAGGAAAGCACTCAAGCCTAGGAGGTTCCGGAGTCCTGGGATTTCTTCATGTGGGGTCCTGGAGCTTTCTGGGGCAGGAAAGGCGAGCCGTGGTCTGACACGTGGCCCCCCCACTTTCTATGTGCTGAGTGTGGGGGAGGTGGAGCTTGCCACCCCGTGAAGAGCCCGACTGACAGGGTTGTGCTTTTGTGGTGGTGCGGGGCTGTAGATCCACACTGGCGGGGCACCTGGTGAAATGTGTTCTGCCCGCGTTGGTCTGGGATAGGGCTGGGAACTGTTTGGGGCTCTGAAAGGCCCTTGGTGGGTCTGGTGCAGCCTGGAGTAGGGCTCCATGCTCAATGCGCTTTGGGGCTTAGGTGGCGTTCTGGGGGCTCGGGACAGTCTTCCTGTGATTTGTTTCATGTCTGCTCTCCTTCCCTGTCCTCACCCCACTGGTGACCTTGACCTTGACCTTGCTTCTCATTCCAAGGGGAAATAAGCCCTTAGAAGAGCTCATCGACAGCCTCCTGGGGTCTGGCCGGCCTCTTCTCCAGGGGCGGTGGGTGAGCTGCTTGCACCACAGCTAGCCTGTGGCTCCCGCCCTGTCTGTGCCCGCCACCCACCACCTCCACAGGCCCATCTTGGACCCTCACGTCTCCCTCGTCCAATTCTGCCCATCAGCAAGCACATTGCAGTCATGCCCATCTTCAAAATTCCCATGAGAAAGGGTGCCGCACCTGCCTTCCCACCACTGGTTCTCGGCACTCCTCCATTCCTCTCCGGCCCTCGCCTCGCTTCCACGGGGGAAGCTCGTGGGTTCTGTGGGTCAGAACTTCCAACGGGGCAAAGCTGAGACTGCTTTCCCTGTCCACTAGCTCGGAGAGCCAAGGGTGGAGACTCTCGGGAAGGCTTGTCTGCCCCTGTCTCGTGTTGGTGTTCTGGCTACTGGCTGGGATGTAGGCTGGGATCTCGGCTGGAGCTCCACGCTTGGCCTCTCCCATGGCCTGGTTTCCTCCTGGCATGGAGGCTGGGCCCTGGAGGATGCTGCCAGGACCCCGGCAGAGCCAGAAGGAAGCCGAGCCTCAGAAACCCTACAGTGTCCCTTCTATCACATTCTGCTTGAAACAGGTGGGGGGCCGGGGGGGGCGTGCGTTGCTGTGACCGTCCACGGGAGAGGCAGCTGACCCCGTACTCCCAATGGACTGTCCTCTCCCTCATTCCTCACCCCACACCTCACAGTTCCCTGGGCAGGCCCGGCCACCCCTGCTCCTGGTTCCTATTGCCCGAGGCCCAGAGCACCCTATGCCTGACGCCTGAGCCGCTGGCTCCCTTTCACTGGCAGGCCCTGACTCCAGGGGTGTCCTCTAACCCCTGCCGCTCCCACGCTCGCCCCCCACACACTGTTGGGTTCTCGTTAGGATTCATCTCTCGCCACTCGAGCGTAAGCCCGCGGAGGCAACGGCGTTGCCTGTTCCCGTCACGTCTGCGTTCGCAGCAGCTCACCGGCCTGACGCTGCCTGGCACCCAGTGGCTGCTGAATGAACAAATGGGTGGGTGGCAGTGCTGGGTGGGGTGGGTGGAGGAGGGCTGGGTCGGGGGCTGGGTGAGTGTGTTTCTATCCTGGGACTCCATGGAGGCTCTGTGTTTAACGACAAGGCCCTGCTGACATTATTTATATGTGTCTCAGCCCACACCAGAGCTCTGTGAGAGTGAACACTCCTACGTTCTGATTTTGTCAGAGATGACGGTGGCTTGGAGCAGGCCCATCGCTTGCCCAGGGTCACACAGCTCACACGCCATGGAGCTGGGATTCGAGCCCAGGTGCCCTACTCCAGCACAAGGCCATCCTCACCGCGATGCTGGAGAGCCGACTTTTGCTTGGCCTTTCTGAGATGAGGGTGGTGGGATTTGTCTCCAAGGCCACCCGCAGGTCCAGAGCCAGGCATGGAAAGAGCCAGCGCCCCAGGAGCCAGTGACTTAATCCCCAGCTGAGGACACCAGTCCTGAGCAGCGGGTGGCGAGCAGCAATTCATCTCCCTGGGCAGGAGAGGTTGGAGGGAACAGGCGCGTGCCCTTCAGTCCACTGCCAGCGTGCAGCAGGCTCACCGGGGCACTGGTCCAGAGCTGGTGTCTGCTTTCTGCCAGCACTGCCTACCTGCCCCTCTGTGTCTGCACTGGGCTTCCCTCGCCAAGCCCATCTCACCTGCTGGAGCTCCTGAGTGGGCATCACCTGACCCAGGTACAGAGCTCAGAATACGCCACCTGCTCTGTTGCCATGGCTACCTGGCAGGCCCGGGAGGGCGGAGGATGGGATGCGGAGATGGCCCAGGCGGGGCTCCAAGGCCCCAGGCAGAGCCCAGCAGACCTGCCCTGTGGTTGGCATTGCACAGCCTGAAGGTGCCTGACCTGGCTGATCTCTAGCTATAAATGGGCGAGTGGACAAATAAATGCATACGGTTTGGTGGCTCCATTAACTGGAATAGTCGTCTTTGTAGGTGGATGGTTGCCAAGATCCTAATTATAAGAAGAGATGGTGTGATAGAGAAAAATGCAGTGATGTTTTGACTTCTCGTTCTGGAAAGTGAAGGGAACACACAGGCACACACACACCAAGGTTTTATTATGTCTCGTGCAAGGGGCTTTTTCCGCTGTGCCAGTGAAAGAAGAGAAAGAAAATTCCATGAGCGCTTTTAATGAGTTCTAGTTTTAGAAGCAGTCTGAAAAATAATTGCATGATTTAACCATCTACTAAGTTCTGGGTCTTCCCCGCTCTCCCGCCCTCTGGCTGCCGTGCCAGGGTATGGCCTGCGTGTCCCCCGAGAACAGCACCAGAACTGCTGCTGCCCTGGAGGGCTCCATCCGGGGCAGTCCCAGCCCCTCGAGCAGGCCCCACCCTTCTCAGGCCTGGCCTTGGCCTCTCTGTCGCCCCAGGACTGAGGACGGGGCTTCTGCCTGGAACTAGGCTCCCACCTAGGCCCGTGGGGGAGCCCAAATCTCTGGCAAGTCTCCTAGGTGTGCCTGGGAGTGGAGCTGCGCCTGCCCCGAGCTTCCTCCTCAGGAGCCGAGGCCTGCCCAGGTGCACAGGGCCCAGGGCCCACAGTGCCTGGGGGGACCCACCCATGCTAGCTGCCTGCCTGAGAGGCCCTCTTCTGTCTCTTGTGGTGGGCCCTCTCTGGGCCCATCCTTGGGATCTGCCTGCACCATCAGCGACAGGCCCAGCTGCAGGTCCCAGCCCCACTGCGCCTGCCCGGCTCTCTCGCAGCCGCAGGGTATGTTCAGCTCTTTAGTCCTCTGTTTGTTCTGGGACCAGCACTGGGCCAGGACGAAGGAGAATCCCCAGTAAGTCCCGGCGGCCTCCCATGATGGAGGAAGAGACACAAAGGCAGGCAGTGCCTCAGGCTCCCTGCTCCCTTCAGGAAGCTCCTATGCAGAGGGCTTGGGGCTGCCTGGTAGAAGTGGCCCATCCCTTTGCATCTGGGGCCTCTAGTGCAGGCCTCAGGGCCAGGGTGCACCCTGCCCCATCCTGAGACAGCACAGTGGTGTGTTCGTAGCCTGCAGCTCGTGTGGCTGATGTGGCAGGACCTGGGTTTCTGGGGCTGCCTGTGCCCTGAGCAGCCCTCTCAGTTGGTTCCGTGAGATCCCCAGCTCGGTCGCCAGGAGGGATAGTGGGGCCCTGGCCTCCAGCCTCAGGCTGGGGAGCAGGGAGGGGCCCCAGGCTTGCTATCTGAGTTCAGCGTCCTTTCCCTTCTATACAGAGAGTGCTCCCCAAGGACTGGGTCCAGCTGGCCGTGCCCAGGGCCTGTGGGAAGTGGTTCTCTGTGGTGAGCCATTTTCCAGAAAAGAAGGCTCAGGGGTTTCTTAACTGTGGCTGCTTGCCTGGAGCCCGAGCTGCTGTTCAGGCTTTGCCTCCCGCTTTGTTTGAGGTGAATGATGTTCACTTATCAGTGAGCGCCTCGGCAGGGGGTGCCTCCGAGTGGGCTGGGCCAGCTGGCAGCTCACCCTTCTGCAGGGAAGTGGGACCAGGCCGATGTTTGAGTGCCAGGCGTCTTAAAGAGAGGGGCGCCTAAAATGAGGAAGAGCAGGCTTCACACAAATGCTGCGTTCGCTCGAAAGAGGTCAGGGAGTGGGAACCTCTCGGCATGCAGCCCTGAGGACCTGCCAGCCCTGCTGGCCGAGCCTCTTGAAGCTGGGACGCATGAGCCCATGGTGCTAGGAGCCATGGTCCCCTCTCACAGGAGGCACAGCCACTGCACTGAAGGCTTGGAGTCTGTGTGTCCCCCGCGCTGGCTGTGGTGCAAATTAACATTTTGTGTCTTAGCTCATCCCAATGGGCAGTTATCACTGCTCCTGCTGCTTCTCTGCTGAGTCTAGCAGTGAGTGGGCGGGAGCCCCGGCAGCAGCCCCAGCCCAGAGAACATGCCCCCACCCCCCACCAGCTCCTCTGTCTGCGGGCCTGACATGTTGCTGGTGAGGTTGGCGTGGATAGCAGGTGGCTCCGCGAGTGCCGGCTCCTGTCAGCCGCATCCTCGGCACCAGCACTGACTACAAAACCCTTCTGCCCAGGAGGACCCGGGGCCTTGGAGGAGCAAGCTATCTGTGAAGCCAGGCAGTGGTAGTGAGTGTCGGCGATGAGATGGAAAATCACTTCTGCCACTGCCTCCGGGGGCCTCCCCCAAAACCTAGAATGCAGGCCATCTGTGCCCTGGGGGCACCACAGGGTCTCTGCCTGTCTTGGGAACACCGTGTCCCAGCCCGCGCTTTTGGGGTTGTGGAAGTTGACTCTGATGTCAGCAGGGAACGCCCAGTGCAGTGGCCGTGTGTGCACAGAGGCGTGCCTGGAACACTGAGGCCGAGCCTCAGGGACTCGCAGCTGCCCCTCTTCCACCCCGCCCCAGCCGCTGGGCGTCCCAGGCCCCTGAAAGGCACTGGACCCGGCCTTGCTCAGCCACACCCCTCCCTGGCATCTCTCACCAAAGCTGCATCCCCACAGGCTGGGCAGGGGCTCGGAGCCATGCTTCCCCCCAGGGACACAGCAGCATCATGCCAGTGTGGCCTTTCTCTGCCCCTGCTCATGGGAAGCAGATTGATGGGTGCACACACGTAAGGCCCATCCCATGCTGGTGGCTGCAGCACGGGACGTCCTGAAGGGAGCCCCACGATCCCCGAGATCTGACCGAGGTCCTGGGTTCCACGACCTGGAGGGCGGCCCACTGTCCCTGAGATCTGGCCGAGGTCCTGGGTTCCACGACCTGGAGGGCGGCCCACTGTCCCTGAGATCTGGCTGGGGTCCTGGGTTCCACATCCTGGAGGGTGGCCCACTGTCCCTGAGATCTGGCCGGGGTCCTGGGTTTCACGACCTGGAGGGCGGCCCACTGTCCCTGAGATCTGGCTGGGGTCCTGGGTTCCACTGTCCCTGAGATCTGGCCGGGGTCCTGGGTTCCACGACCTGGAGGGCAGCCCACTGTCCCTGAGATCTGGCCGGGGTCCTGGGTTCCACGACCTGGAGGGCGGCCCACTGTCCCTGAGATCTGGCCGGGGTCCTGGGTTCCACATCCTGGAGGGAGCCCCACCATCCCCGAGATCTGGCCGGGGTCCTGGGTTCCACATCCTGGAGGGTGGCCCACTGTCCCTGAGATCTGGCCGAGGTCCTGGGTTCCACGACCTGGAGGGCGGCCCACTGTCCCTGAGATCTGGCCGGGGTCCTGGGTTCCACATCCTGGAGGGTGGCCCACTGTCCCTGAGATCTGGCCGAGGTCCTGGGTTCCACGACCTGGAGGGCGGCCCACTGTCCCTGAGATCTGGCCGGGGTCCTGGGTTCCACATCCTGGAGGGCGGCCCACTGTCCCTGAGATCTGGCCGGGGTCCTGGGTTCCACGACCTGGAGGGCGGCCCACTGTCCCTGAGATCTGGCCGGGGTCCTGGGTTCCACGACCTGGAGGGCGGCCCACTGTCCCTGAGATCTGGCCGGGGTCCTGGGTTCCACATCCTGGAGGGTGGCCTTGGGTGCCACCCCGCGTTGATGGTGGTAGTGACCTGGGTTGGAGTCTGTCTAAATGTGGGTTGGATGCGGATTCCAGCATTTTCCAGCTGTGTGTCATTGGGCAGTCACTAACCCTCTCAGTGACTCAGGTTCCGTCTTCCCTGTCAAATGCAGCAATAACAGGTGAGTCACATGCCGCATGAGGAGATGCTTCTGCCTGTGAAGCCCTTGGGAAGGCCCCTGCAAGTCCCTGAGGCCATGAGCCACCAAGACCAGGCTCAGGGTGCACCAGGCCTGGGTATGCTCAGTGGCCAGGGTCGAAGTTGGTGGTGAGGTCATGCCTGGCTTCTGACGGGATCACGTCTATAACTGGGAAGCCCGTGGAGGTGGGGACCCACCTGGCTGAGCCATACTTCGTGACCTTGATGTCCCCATTGTAGGATGGAGCCTAGGCTTGGTCTCCAGAACCCGTGACCTCACTCTGGCAGAAGGTGGTGGTGACGAGGAGACCAGAAACCGGCCCGGGCCAACCCGCACCCATCCTTTCGTTCACTGTTGCCCCCATAGCCATGCCACAGATGCACACTGAAGCCATGACCCCTGGGCCCCACCTTCTCGCTACCTTCCCAGCCACTGCCCAGTTCCTGCAGAGGGACCGCCTGCCTCTGCATCACATTTAAGCCTGATAATTGAATTGCAATTGATACTACGTGTCAGTTTAAGATCATGCTAATTGCTTCATTTCCCAGAATACTCCTAAAGAGAAAATGAATTCCCTTGTAACATTTTGCAGTGGGGTGAAATGACCCTCATGGAAGTCAGTCCCAGCTCTGGAATGAGCTGCTGACTGGACGGGTGTGCCAGGGCAGGGGTCACGGCAGGCCTGAAGGATCTTCCCCTGGACTTGGCTGGAACCCAGCCATGTGCCAGGCGCTATGTGAGGAGGGTTGCTTTTGTTCGGGTGATAAGTGAGCAAACCTGGCTTGAGGTGGCCAGGCTTGCCCAGGGCCATGCATCTGGCCAGCGGAGGAGCCGTCCTAGGTGCAGCGTGGCAGTCAGGGAAGGAGTGGGCATCTGGTCGGTGGGCAGGGGTCTGAATCCCAACTCTTCCCCTTTCCGAGAGGCCCTGGAGGTCATGGGACCACTTGAGCCCCCAATCCCTGCTCTGTTAGATGGGTGCTAGGATGCCCCTGGGTGGGTGCCAGGTGTGAAGGGGATGGTATGTGCCTTGCCTGAAGCACAGCCCAGGTGTGTGCTCTGAGAGTGGCGTGGCCACGTCTCTTAGGATCATCAGAGCCACTTAACTGGGAAAAAGGAGTTAGGGTAAAGGTAGACAGCATGGAAGATGGAAGAGGCCAGCACAGTATGCCGGGGTGGAGGGGTACCCGAAGTCCTCCTGGCCCACGTTTCTGTTCCTTACTCTGTTCACTAGCTTCATGGAGCCACTCAGTCCTTGGATAGCAGTGGAGCAACCATCCACTTAGCCGCTCATTGACCAACCCACCCACCCACCTGTCCATCATCCATCCACATACCGTCCATTCACTCTTCCATCCATTCACCCACTCATCTATCCCCCCATCATCCATCTATCCCTCATCCATCCATCCATCATCTACCCACCCACCCACCTATCCACCCATCTACCCACCCATGCACCCATCCATCCACCTACCCCACCCACCCACACATCTATCCATCCATCCATCCATCCATCCACCCACCCACCCATCCATCCATTCACCCATCCATACATCTACCCACCCACCCATCCATCTACTCACCCATCTGTCCAACCACCTATCCACCTACCCATCCATCCATCCACCTACCCATCCATCCATCCACCTACCCATCCATCCATCCACCTACGCATCCATCCATCTACCCATCCATCCATCCACCCATTCATCTGTCCATCCACTCGCCCATCCACCCATCACCCACCCATCCATCCACTCACCCATCTATTCATCCATCCACCCACCCATCCACCATTCCATTTGTCCACCCACCTATTCACGCATCTGTCCATCATCCTTTCATCTACCCATCCACCCTTTTGTCCACTCCCCTGAACCCGTTCGTCCATCTATCCCACTTCTTTAGGATTTGCTGAGCAGTGCCTGTGTGCTGGCCCATGCTCAGTGCTGTTACACAGAGAGGGAAAGGTAGACCCTTCTGTGCAGGAGCACCCAGGCAAGTGGGGATGGTATATCTGCCCTAGACATTCTCTGCTCTCTTGCAGTCAGGCCTTTACAGTGCTGGGGATGCTGTCCTTCACTAGACTGCAAATCCTGGGGACAGACCCTGGGACCTCTGTACTCAGGGAAGCAGCTCACAGCCCCTAGGACACCTGGAGAGGTTGGGGTTTGGCTTCAGAGTCAGGAGATGGAGCACTCAGATCCCTGCCCTGTCTCTGACTTTTGGGGTGACCCTGGGCTCACCCCTGGCCCTTTCTGGACCCAGTCATGCCTTCTGTCACAGGAAGTGGACAGACCAGCCGGTCCCCAGCTGTTCTCTGGTTCCTGATTCTGCAGGTGCCACCTGGGCCCGCCCCAGGTTCCATGGGAAACTTTCAGGTGCCCTTGGTGTCTGCCCCACAGCCCTGCTCCTGATGTGGTTCTATGTTGTTTCCACAGAGCAACTTGCTGGATGTGAATCAGATCATCAAGGACTTGGCCTCCATGGTGTCAGAGCAAGGAGAAGCTGTTGGTGGGTACCCGCCCCAGCCTCGGGCCACCTGCTGCCCCGAGGGCCTGCCTGCCAGCCCCCAGCCCTCACCCCTTCACCTAAGGGTGGGTGAAGGGGCCTCTAAGAGGAGCCAGGCCCAGGCTGGGGTCCAGGTCTGAGCATCTGCTCCCTCCCCTCCTGCCCTGTCTTCCTCCAGCCCTGCTCCGCTCGTTGCCACTAGTCCCTGCTCCGCTCATTGACACTGGTCCCTGCTCTGCTCATTGACAGACACTGGCCCCCACTCTGCTCATTGACAGACACTGGCCCTGCCTCTCCTCATTGACAGACACTGGCCCCGCCTCTGCTCATTGGCAGACACTAGCCCCCACTCTGCTCATTGGCAGACACTGGTACCCGCTCATTGATAGACACTAGCCTTCACCCTGCTCATCGACAGACACTGGCTCCATACTCTGCTCTTTGACAGACACTGGCCCCCACCCTGCTCATTGACAGAACCTGGTCCCTGCTCCCCTCACTGACAGACACTGGCCCCGCCTCTGTTCATTGACACTGTCCCTGCCTCTGCTCGTTGACAGACACTAACCCTGCCTCTGCTCATTGACAGACACTGGCCCCACCTCCGCTCATTGACAGACACTGGCCCCGCCTCTGTTCATTGACGCTGTCCCTGCCTCTGCTCGTTGACAGACACTAACCCCGCCTCTGCTCATTGACAGACACTGGCCCCGCCTCTGCTCATTGACAGACACTGGTCCCACCTCCGCTCATTGACAGACACTGGCCCTGCCTCTGTTCATTGACACTGTCCCTGCCTCTGCTCGTTGACAGACACTAACCCCGCCTCTGCTCATTGACAGACACTAACTCCGCCTCTGCTCATTGACAGACACTGGCCCCGCCTCTGCTCATTGACAGACACTGGTCCCGCCTCCGCTCATTGACAGACACTGGCCCCGCCTCTGTTCATTGACACTGTCCCTGCCTCTGCTCGTTGACAGACACTAACCCCGCCTCTGCTCATTGATAGACACTAACCCCGCCTCTGCTCATTGACAGACACTGGCCCCACCTCCGCTCATTGACAGACACTGGCCCCGCCTCTGCTCATTGGCAGACACTGGCCCCGCCTCTGCTCATTGGCAGACACTGGCCCCGCCTCTGCTCATTGGCAGACACTGACCCCGCCTCTGCTCATTGGCAGACACTGATCCCGCTTTTGCCCTTAGACAGACAGTGGCCCCACCTCCGCTCATTGACAGACACTGGCCCCACCTCTGCTCATTGACAGACACTGGCCCCGCCTCTGCTCATTGACAGACAGTGGCCTCCCCTCTGCTCATTGATAGACACTGGCCCCACCTCCGCTCACTGACAGACACTGGTCCCGCCTCTGCTCATTGGCAGACACTGACCCCGCCTCTGCTCATTGGCAGACACTGACCCCGCCTTTGCCCTTAGACAGACAGTGGCCTCCCCTCTGCTCATTGACAGACAGTGGCCCCACCTCCGCTCATTGACAGACACTGGCCCCGCCTCTGCTCATTGACAGACAGTGGCCTCCCCTCTGCTCATTGATAGACACTGGCCCCACCTCCACTCATTGACAGACACTGGTCCCGCCTCTGCTCATTGGCAGACACTGACCCCGCCTCTGCTCATTGGCAGACACTGACCCCGCCTTTGCCCTTAGACAGACAGTGGCCTCCCCTCCGCTCATTGACAGACACTGGCCCCGCCTCTGCTCATTGACAGACAGTGGCCCCACCTCCGCTCATTGACAGACACTGGCCCCGCCTCTGCTCATTGACAGACAGTGGCCTCCCCTCTGCTCATTGATAGACACTGGCCCCACCTCCGCTCATTGACAGACACTGGTCCCGCCTCTGCTCATTGGCAGACACTGACCCCGCCTCTGCTCGTTGGCAGACACTGACCCCGCCTTTGCTCTTTGACAGACAGTGGCCTCCCCTTTGCTCATTGATAGACACTGGCCCCTGCTCCGCTCATTAATAGACACTGGCCCCACCCTGATCATTGACAGACGCTGGTCCCTGCTCCGCTCGTTGACAGATACTAGCCTCCACGCCTTCATCCTGGGCCTCTGCCCAGAGATTCCCCACAGTGAGGCTGTTCTGGGGTGGATAGGGTTGTGAGGTTGCAGAGATGTAGAGGCTGGAGCTCTGGTTCTGCTATGGATGTACCCGTGCTGGGGGGGTGTAGGGAGAGCGGCATGGGAACGTGCAGGCCTGGCCAGGGCATGGTGTCCTGAAGTCCCTGCATCCACGAGAAGAGGGGCTGCACCGCAAGCCAGGGCACCTCCCAGCCAGCACCGTGGGCCCTCAGCTCTGCGTTCCTCTGGAAAAGGAAGTGAAGCAGCAGGGGTGCCCGGGTGCCTAGAGTCAGGTCCTACCTTAGCGCCAGGCTGTATGTGGGGGCAGGAAGTGGGAGGCCCACAGTCTTGTCCCTTGCCTCTGAGTCCCCAGGAGAAGCCCTACCCTTTTGCTGCTGGAGGCCACCCATCAAGGACCTGACAGGCGAGAGGTCAGGATGAAGGGGCTGAGCTTGGAGCCAGGGAGGCTGGAGGCTCCGTTCAGGAAACCTCACCTGGGGCAAGGGAGGGGCCTTCCCAGATGGGACAGAGGTCACAGTGCCCAGTGACCCCGCCCAGGCCCACCGACTCCCCAGCGCCCCCACCCGCCTTGGTTGCTCACCCACCCTGGGCCACAGCCCTTCCTCTATGGGGTTGCCCTTGGCTTCCCTAGAGAGGTCCTCACCATGAGGTCTAAAAGCTCTGGGTCCCCTTAACCCTGACCCTAACCCTGGGGTGACTGTGTCCAGTTCTGACTCCATGCGCTGTGGCCTCCTCTGCTTGTGGAGAGCCAGAGTCTCTCATGTCCTCTTCCCACTGTAGTCACACAGCAGCCCTGGCCTGCCTGTGCGGCCCCCAACCATGGTGGGGCTCCAGGTTTGCAGGGGGCTTTTGAGGGGATGCTGACCTTGCCCCCCTCCCACAGGGACCCCATCCCTGCTGTGTTTTGGTGTCTTTCCCGCTCCCACTGGAGGGCTCTGACCCATTCATCCCGCCCTGTCTATACCTGCTGCTGCCAGGAGCCCTGGCTCCCAGGCCAGTGGGGCAGAGGCTCCTGGCTCTGGCTGGGTGTCTCTTTTCCTCAGTTGAGGAAGAGCCAGGCTGCCCCTGGTGCCCACGGGCCTTTGGTTAAAGCGCTCAGCTGCCCACCAGCACTCTCAGGCTCCACCCCACCCACTCATTCTCCCTCCATGCCCTGACTGAGCTGTGGCCTCACCTTGGGGCCTGTGCCGAGAACAGCCTCCTGGTCCCTCCTGCTCTGACAACTGGCAGTGTGTCCGGAGACCCTCAGGCAGCTGGCGTCCTCTTCCCGGGTACTGTGCTGTGTCCCCAGGAGAAGAGTGACTGCGGCTCAAGCACCCTGCTGCTCCCTGGGGCGGGGCTGGGCCAGGCCGGCCCCTCAATCCCCTCGGAGCCTGGGCTTCAAGCTGCTCTGTGGCCCCCTCCAGCTGCTCTGTGGCCCCATACAGGGCCTGCTGGGCTGCCCCATCACTCCCTTACCACCTCCTCTCCCCAGGACCCCTCCTATCGCTCTGTCCTCCCCCCTTCTCCCCACTGTCAGCTTCCAGAGGTGGCTGTAGCCATTTCTGCCCCTGGCCACCTGTCGCGGGCTGGGATGTGCTGAGTCTGTGGAGCGCTTTGTCCACTTCAGGTGCCCACCCAGTCCCAGTGACAGATTGATCAGTCCCAGTGAAGGACTGATCACGAGGGGCACTCATGCCAGCAGTTCAGGGAAGGGAGCAGTCGTGGGGAGGGGGACAAACCAGGGCTGACCCACCACACGTGGTCAGGGCTCCGGGGAGGGCAGAGGGCACCTGCCGGGTGGACAGGCGGGAGGCCCAGAGAGTAGCTGAGACAGAAGGGCCCCTGTATAGTGGATGTAGGCTGCCTATGCTGGGTGCCGATGCGAGGCCTGGCCGCTGTGCACAGATGCAGGGCCTGTGATGACCTGTGACCCCGAACCTGGCTGCTCTCCCCAGGGTCTCTGCCCCCTGCTCAGCCTCTGGTGCCTTTCCAGGGTCCAGCAGCAGCAAAGCCATCTGCCAGCAGAGCTGCAGCCCCGAGCCGGCCGCGGCAGCCCTGCTGCTGGGTGCCGGGCCGGGCTCCACACCCCTGCGGCCGGGCCCCCACTCCCGCACCAAGACACGCAAGCCCAACTTCAGCCCCCAGGAGACGGAGGTGCTGGTGCAGAGGGTGCGGCGCCACTACCCGCTGCTGTTCGGGGCGCTGCGGGGCACACCTGCCCGAAAGCACCGCGTGTGGAGCCGCATCCTGCAGGCAGTGAACGCGCTGGGCTACTGCCGCCGCGACCTGGGGGACCTCAAGCACAAGTGGCGGGACCTGCGAGGTGCTGTGCGCAAGAAGCTGGCGGAGGGCGGCCCCGCCCCCGGCCTCCTCCTCACACCTGTGGAGCGCATGGTGGCAGAGACCTTTTCTGCCCACGGTCCCCAAGGCGAGGGCCAGACCACGGAGCCCCTGCCAAGTAAGTGGGCCTTCCCCACAGCCCGCCCCCCCGGACCACACTGCCCTGGGGCAAGCAGGGCCGGCGAGTGGGCTTGAGCCTTCTGCACCAGCTCCCAAGAGGGAGACCCTCCGAGGGAGACCCAGAGGCCCATGGAGATGGCCCGCCACCCTCCTGGCCCATCTCTTCTTTTAGGTGGGGAAACCAAGGGTCGGGGCCAGGGAGGGTTCTGCCTGTCTCGGTAGTGGAAGGGCTGCGGTTCCAGCTCAGGGTCCTCCCTGCATTGCCAAGCATTGTGCCATCAAGGGGCTCGACCATATACGCCACCTCAAGCCGTGCCCACCGGGTGTCCAGATGGGATGCTGGGTCCTAGTCACTGTAGAGAGGTGAGCGCTACCGTGGGGAGGCGGTCACAAGGTGGCCTCTGGGACCAGTGCCTGGTGAGGGGCAGAGACAAGGCCTGAGCTCCCCGACGTGCAGCAGCAGCGGGTGCAGCCCAGGGTGCCCTGGTGCCCTCCAAGGCCCCCATCTTGGCCTCTGCCGTTCCCGCCTGGTGTCGTGTGGCCGGAGGCCTGTTTGGCCCCGGGTCCCGGCCTGGCCTTCCTCTCCACGGGCAGCCCTCCCCTTCCAGATGCAGTCCAGCGGTGAGCACGGCTGTCCTTAGGCAGCCAGGTCTTCCAAACCAGTGGGTCCCAGCAGGGAGAAGTCCCTACTTTCCCATGCAGGGCAGCAGGGCCCAGCTGGCCCCAGGGTCTGAAGACAGGGGTGTCTGGGAAGAAGGAGGGCTTCCCTCCGCTCTCCCCCAGCCCCAGAGCCCCAGCGTACAGCTACCATGAGAAGGCAAGGCCAGCCAGCAGGTGGGAGGAGCCTCAGCCCATATGCACCTCCAGCCAGCTGGCCCTTGACATAGCTCCCAGGGAGCAGCAGGTGACCTGTCCATTCATTGGTCACGTTGAGGAGTTTGGGCAGAGCCAGGGAGGAGCCTGGGCCCCAGCTTGACTCTTCCCCGCCCCACGCTGTGCCTCACTCTGGCCTGCAGTGGCCTCCCCCTCCTTCTGCAGGCCCCTCCCTCTGGGCCCACTTGGAAGCCCCACACGTGGTGCTGTCCGGTGACTCTCAGCCTGTCAGGCACGCTGTGCCCCCTTCCGAGCCCACGGGCCCACTCCAGGGACCACCGGAAGCCAGGCGTTTCTGTCTGGTCAGGCCTCGTCTGCAGCCCGCAGCTGCCACTGGCTCCAAGGGTGACGCTGGCTCTGAGGGTGATGCTGGCTCCGTGCTTCCTCCTGCCGCCTCCGTGCCTCCTCCCACCGCACCTCCTCTCCTCCTCAAGACACCGTGCCAGGAGCTCCTTCGCCGTCCTCCGCATATGGTGGCACACCCTTCGAAGCAGAGCCCCGCTGGACCCTCCCCTTCCTGGGAGCTGCTGGAAGGACTTTGGGAACGAAGCCCCGGAAGCAGGACCAGCTCCTTGAGGGCCACAGAGTGGACAGAAGGACCCAGCCTCACAGGACAGGCAGGGGCTGGCCTCAAACGCCCCCAGTGGCAGCCATGGCAGAACTTGGAGCGCTGGGGCATCCTCAGCTGCTCCTGCTCACAGCGGTGCATGAGGCTGGGACCCATGGGCAGAGTGGGCCGGACTGGTTGGGAGACGCATGTAGACCCAGCCAACCCTGTGGCTGGGCTTGGACAAGGGGCCTGGGCTGTGGGCCTTGGGCGATGGGCCTGGGCACTAGGCCTTGTGGTGGGGCTTGGGGGATGGGCCTGGTCAGTGGGCCTCCTGATGGGGTGGGGCTGGAGGAGGATCTGGGTCCTCTCAGGCCTGTGCAGGCCAGGGATGGCTGGATCCACCCCCATTGAGGCCACATTGTCTCCTGAAGGGCAGATTCTTGCAGCCAAGGGTCCTATGGGCAGAGGCAGACCTGGTTTGGGGGTGCTTCATGGCAAGGATAGACATGTGGTGTGGGGCTGAGAAGGAGGGGCCTGGCAGGGGTGGCACTGGTGTGGCCCAGGTGCTTAGTCCTTTTCTGCAAGTCCTCAGCCCTGGAGGCTGCAGGAACTCAGGTTTGCTCACCCTGTGGTTCCCTGCCCTAGACTGAGACCCAGCCTCGACTTCTGTGACCCCTGGTGGATCAGCCACTCCAGGTCCCCAGGCCGCTGGGCTCCCCTGCAGCACGGGAGTCTTTGGTGCCTGTGAGCTGCTTTGAGTGGCCTGCCCTGCTGCTGACAGCAACTGACGTGTTGAATTCCCAAGCGAGAGTGCTTAGGACAGGGCCAGACTTCCTCTTGTGGGCGCAGAGGCAGGAAGTAGGAAAGTGGCTGCCAAGCCTGAGGACAGGGTGGGGGCATCCCAGCTGCAGGCCCAGTTGCCCCGAGCCGGCCATGCTTTCCGCTCTGCAGCGGCACTGCCTGGGGTTTGGGCAGGGCCAGGCCTGCAGGGCTGGTCACGGCTGTGGGGCTGGGGGCAGCGAGTTGACCCAGTGCAGGGGGGTCTCCCACAGGGGTCCCTGTGCCCTGAGGGCACTGGGCAGGCAGTTTCCTTTGAGGTGTGTGTGCTGCTCTGCGAGTGTCTGGGGAGGGCGGTCCCAAAGGCTGCTCTCTCTGGCCCCTGGAGGCCTCTGGCCTAGTGCTTGGGTATCCCTTGGACTCCTGGAGTCAGGGGATGTGCAAGGGGCCCCCGTGGAGCACCCCCTGTGTTGGGAGGAGCAGGTGCCCAGGGCCTGTGGCTCTGCAGGGCTCACCTCACAGACTGGGGGCCTCCAAGACCTGACAAAGCCACTGGGCCCAGGGCTGATGGCTGATGAGGTATTGGAGTGTCGCTCAGTACCACAGGTCCCACGCACCAAACCTGTCCTCACCCCACGAGCAACACGCGGCCGCACAGCACCGGGAGCAGCCCCCCTCCCCTTGTGCATCTCTGTGCACTGCGCCGGGGCAGGACATGGCGTGCCCACCTGGCAGCCTGGGCGCTGAGGGAGATGTTGCTGGCTGCGGAGCTGGGCAGTGGTTGTGTGAGGTGTCTTGAATGTGGGCAGTGCCATGCTGGCTAAGAATGCCCCTGGGACCGCCCTGGGTCTGTGGCCGGTGCATGCAGCCCTGGAGCAGCAGGACATCAGTCCCCATTCTGAGGGTGGGCCTCCAGGTCACACACTACGATCAGAGTCCCCAGGGCCAGGGCTAGGTGTAGAGCAGGATTGGGCACAGGCTGAGTCCAAGGGTGGGGTCCAGGGCTTGGCTGAGGCTGCGTGTGGTCACGGGGCAGAGAAAGTGTCCAGCCAGGGCACATGGCCTGTCCAGCACCACCTGTGTTAGCCCAGACCACCATGGCCTTCCTGTCTCTGCTGGCAAATGCTCTCCACTGTCCACATTCACCTCTCAGCAACAGAAGCGAGGCCAGGCTGTTACCACTGCAGGTGTAAGGTGGCTCCTTTGCACGTGAGCGGGGCATTGCCCGGGCCCAGGCTAGCGCCTCCTCCCTGGCAGGCTGGTCCCTCCTGAGTGGCAATTGTGGGGGGATCCGTCACACCTCTGGCCCCATCTTCCTTCCCTCTCCTCCTCCATTGGCTCAGAGGGTCGTGACCCTAATGTGGCAGGACATAGAGAGCAGAGTTCAGTTGGGGGCTGTCTGCAAGTGAGCAAAGGGGTGCTTTGCTCCAGGAGCGGCCGAGGCCGTCACCCATACCCGCTCTCTGGGCTTTGGCTCCTTGTGCAGGAGCCTGGCTCTCCCCTCCCTGGCTAGGGCAGGAGCCCCCAGATGCGGCGATCAGGGTGTGTCTGCGAGTGCCTGCGGCTCCACTAGGGCCCTGCGCTGGGGGCAAGGGTGGGGTGGAGCTGGTGACCAAGGGTTCAAGGATCCCTGTGAGGCCTGGGTGGGGGCTTCTGAAGGCAGGGCTCATGGGTTCCACCTCCTGCCCAGGGGGCTTGCAGAGATGGGGCCACAGTTCCCTGATGAGAGTAGGGAGTCCTTGCTGGGACGGTGGGGAGTGGCCTTGTCTTTCTGAGGACCCTCCTCCCTCAGAGCCAGTCGTGCCAGGCTGTGCCTGGCAGCAGTCCCTGTGGTTGTAATGGCCTCTCTATCCCAGGCCTTAAGACCCCTGAGGCTCAAGTCAGCTCAGGTCTGTGCCCTGGTAGGCACTGCAGGTGCACAGTTTGTTTAGATACTCCTGCCTCCCAAGCTCTTCTCCAGTTGCCTGATTGGAGGCAGGCCTTGCAAGGAACCTCCCTCCGGGAAGAAGGCTTGCCCGTGCTCGTGTTTGCTCGTGTTTGCATGTGGCTCTGTTGAGGACCCCGGCTGTGCCTGCGCTCCTGGTGCCCAGGTGGCATGTGTCCTTCCTTTGGGTGGAAGACAATGCTGAGCATGGAATCTTCCGGATCCCTGGGGCTGCCCCGGCCCTGGTCTGGTGTCTCCCGTGGGCCCTGCTGATGTGGCTTCCCTGGGTGGCACTGCTGCAGCCACCGAGCCCGGCTTTTCCCAGGTACCATCTCCCGTGATCCCCGCACGGCAGCACAACTTTCTGATCAGCTCCCTGTGCTTGAGTCGAGGGCCAGTGCGTGTGGCAAACCAGAGCCCTGTGCTTGCAGACCCGGTCTCCATCAGCCGCGTCGCAACTCCACAGACGTTAAGGCAGGGGCTTTGCCCCTTCAGAGGGGGCCGTGGCCACAGAGTGGAGGGGCTGGCCCAGGCAAGGTCATGACAGAGCAGGACTTGACCCCAGCCCTCACCTCCGCCTGCCACTCCCACCCTTTCCTGAGTGGACTCTTCCTGCCCCACCTGGTGTGGGCACTGAGGAGTCCCCTTCCCTGGGCCACCTCCAGGCCTCCGTTCTAATGTCATTGCTGCCCACTGCCCACACCACGCGGAGCCCTCGGCACGTCTGGCAGCCCAGCGCCCATCCCTGCAGCCTCTGCTCCTCTGCAGGCCCTGGGCTCAGGCTCCCTGGGCTTGCCTTTGGGGGGTGTCCTCAGGGCGGGGGCGGCTGGGCCTCCATCTGTAATTGCCTTCTGTTGTCTTGATTTGCAGATAGTATTGAAGCCAGCCTTGAGGCTGCGTCCTCGCATGCGGAGGCAGCCCGCCAGCTCCTGGCTGGAGCCAGCCGGCACCAAGTAAGTCCGTGTGAGGGCCACAGTGCCCGGCCGGCCCGGCCTCCGTCCCCTATCCTCCAACCCTCCCTCCGTCTGTCTGGAGGGGCCCAGGCCCTGCCCTGTGCCTGGGAGGGGCATGCCCACAGGCCTCCTCTGAACCAGTCTGCTGCCCGTGCCCTAGGGCTCTGGGAGTGGCGGGGTTGCGGCAGCAGTGGTCTGCGTGGTGCCCACAGCGGTCGGCACCGTCTCCTCTCTTGTATGCACCACGCCGCCCTCTCCCATGGATCCGGGGTGCAGCCGAGGGGAGGGCCCTTGGGGCCTTCCCGCTCCACCTCCTGTGCCAGATGCTGACATGCAGCTCAGTGTCCATACTGGGGCGGGGAACTGCAGAGGGGACTTTGTGGTTGGGGCAGGTCAGTGGCTCAGAGGGAACAAGAAAGCTCAGGCCTTTATTTTCTTGAAGTGGGACTTGGAGCTACCTTGAGGACTAGCCACTCACTGGGCCTTGTTGCTGACTTGTGGTCACCACAAGAAGACCTGACAGGTCAGGCTGGCTGGAGACTGTGGCCCAGCTGAGATGGAGGCCCAGCCGCTGTCTTCCCCTCACTGGCTCTGTCCCCATTGTGGCCTGGTGCTCCCCACTGGCCCTGACGGGCAGAGATGACCAGAGCCTGTTCCTCAAGGAGTCCCAGGGGCCAGGCAGGCTGGACATTAAGTCCAGCAAGGTGAGGGTGGCATGGGCCACGGTGGGAGCGCAGAAGAAGCCCCTGGGCCAGCTGGGGCCAGGAGAGCACACACTCTTGAGGGCGGAGCAGGGGCAGTATTGGCAGACGAGATGGTGCAGTGGGTGTGAGGCCAGGGTCCAGGAGCAGCCAGACGAGCCCAGGACATCACAGGCAGGTGTGACGAGAGAGGAGCCACATCCCCAGGACGCTGGGATATCACAGCTGTGCCCGCAGAGGGTCCTCAGTTGCCTCAGGGGTGCAAGAGGAAAAGGGGGCCGCAGCTGGAACCACGCAGGGGCCTGACTGGGTGGAGAATGAGGGAAAGGCCAGGGCTGCCTTGAGCTTCCCCAGTGGGACCCAGCCCGGGCACCCCCACTGTGGGAGTGTGTGGTAACGGGGAGGCTGATCCCAGTTTGGGCCTCCCCATTTCTGTCGGGGGCCATGAGACTCAGAAGGTTCAGGTCACCAAGGGTCAGTCCCTGTTGACAGCTGGTGAACGCCAGGCCGGGAGACAAGACCTGGGAGAGGCTGTGCCAAGGTCACCTGCAGGATGAGGTCAGAGGCAAGGCTGGGGCTGGGTCTCCTGGCGCCAGCTCTGGGCTGTTTGGCCTCAGCCCTTGGCCCAGCACCTCTAGTCGCTGAGGGCAGCTAGGCCCAGGGGCCTCCAGGAGGCAGAAGGTGATGGGCAGAAGGTGACGCCTGGTGACGGGCAAGGTGGACTCGCTGGAAACTCAGGGCCACACCACGCAGAAGGCCTTGTTTCAAGAGGAAAGCCAGCCAGCAAGATGACCCCTCCTGAGCACCCTGGGATCACCTGGTCAGAAGCAGCGCTGATGCCTGGGACGGCAGGAGGACGATGGGACAGTGAGGAAGAGGAGGAGGTGAAGGAGGAGGAGGAAAGGAGGGCAGTGGCAACTGGGCCAGCCACCTGTGCCATGGACGCCGTGCCGCATTCCCAGTGAGCCTGTGGGCTCAGTCCTGGCAGAGCAGGCACCGCCCCCCCGACACACTGCAGAGGAGGTGGGCAAGGCTCAGGCCCAGGAGGCGGCCGTGAAGTCACCTCTGCATAGACTGTCCCACTCCTGTTCCCGAGGGGGTCCACCAGGGAGTATCAGGGAGGGATGAGGCATCTGTGAAGTTGCCTCTGCATAGAATGTCCTGCTCCCACCTGCCTGCGAGGGGCCTTCCCCACGGTGTCAGGAGGGTTGAGGCATCTGTGAAGTTGCCTCTGCATAGAATGTCCTGTTCCCGCCTGCGAGGGGCCCTCCCCACGGTGTGTCAGGAGGGACCAGGTGTCTGTGAAGTCGCCTCTGCGTAGAATGTCCTGCTCCTACCTGCAAGGGGCCCTCCCCACGGTGTGTCAGGAGGGATGAGGCCTCTGTGAAGTCGCCTCTGCATAGAATGTCCTGCTCCCGCTTGCGAGGGGCCTCTAGATGGGCGGGTGGATGGATGGAAGGAGGAAGGTGTAGATGGGTGGGTGGATGGAAGGAGGAAGGTGTAGACGGGTGGGTGGATGGAAGGAAGGTGTAGACAGGTGGGTAGATGGAAGGAGGAAGCTGTAGACGGGTGGTGGATGGATGGAAGAAGGAAGGTGTAGACGGGCAGTTGGATGGGTGGATGGAAGGAGGAAGGTGTAGACAGGCGGGTGGATAGGTGGATGGAAGGAGGAAGGTGTAGATGGGCGGGTGGATGGATGGAAGGAGGAAGGTGTAGACGGGTGGGTGGATGGAAAGAGGAAGGTGTAGACGGGCGGGTGGATGGGTAGATGGAGGAAGGTGTAGATGGGCGGGTGGCTAGGTGGAAGGAGGAAGGTGTAGACGGGCAGGTGGATGGGTAGATGGAAGGAGGAAGGAGTAGATGGGTGAGTGGCTGGGTGGATGGACAGACAGCATGGATAAATGGGTGAGTAGACGGATGGATGGATGAATAGAAGGAAGAGGAGGTTGGAAGGGGTTGGCTGGACAGTGATGAACAGACAGGTGGACAGATGAGTGGATGTGGTGGGCGTGTCTATGTGGAGGAATAGACACTTGGGTAGCAGGATGGCGGGTAGACCAGAGGGCAGGCGGACGAGCGGATGGAGCACAGGGGAGTCGGTGGGAGGATGAATACAAGTGGTGCTGTGATGAGTGGGCACGCAGGCTTTGCATTTGGACAGGCTGTGGCTTCAGTCCCAGCACTACTAGAGTAAATGTGCCCACCTCTCTGGGTCTGTTTCCTCATCTCTCAAACGGGTGCAACTCCCACTGCAGACGGAGCATCGTGAGACCCATACAGCTCCAGGTGCAGAGGCCTCACATGGGCACTCTCCCTGCACCCTGCTCACCCTCCAGATCACTGGGTTTTGGGTGTGCAGGCTGACATTTTCCTGTCTCCCTCTGTTAGCTGATGAGGAGGACGAGACCCCCAGCTGCTTGTGGCTGCCCCTGAGGTCCCTGGAAGGGCCCAGCCTGCCTGAACCTGACCCCCTGGACTTACGAGGAGTCTTCCACGCACCCACCTCCTCACCCTCCCCACCTGCTTCCCCAGCCTCCACCCCACCAGCAACCACACTCATGGGGGCCTTCCAGCCTTCCCCGCCCTCTTCGGCGCCAGCACCTCCCTTGCCCTCCAGGAGGACCCCAGCGGCAGCATCTGAAACGTCCGCATTTGAGCAGCAGCTGCTGGACTCCCACCGGCAGCAGGGCGCCCTGCTGTCCTCCTGGGCCCAGCAGCAGAGCACACTCATGGCCCAGCAAAACCTGCTGCTGCAGCGGCTGGCCGAGCAGAGCCAGCGTCTGGCCGATGGCGTGGAGGCCCTCAACCGGACCCTCGAGAGGCTGGTGGAAGCACGCCCTACCCGGGAAGCCTCACCCTCACTCCAGGACGGTAGTCCTGCCAGTGGAGTGGCCCAGGGGCCTGCTGGAGGCTCCCAGGACAGCCCCAAGGGCACCCACTCGGGGCTCGAGGTCTTCTCAGGGATGATCTTGAAGGTGGAGGAGGAGATATAGGGCTGGTCGGGGGTGCTGGCAGAGCCAAAGGGCAGGAGCAGGGCCTCCAGTCTTTCCCCTGCTGAGTCCAGGCAGGGGAGAGGTGGCAGTGACTGGGTCTCCAGGGCACCGGGACAACTCCAGTCCAGGAGACCGGAAGGATGAGAGGATGTGGGCTGTCTACCTGTGATGTCGCGTCCTTGCCATTGCCTGTAGAGGGTGGTGACCTGCAGGGAAAGGCTGCAGAGAGCCGACCTGTGGGACTCAGTGGACCAGGTCTACTCAGGGATGATGCTGTTGGAGGCTCCAACCCCATGTGGCAGCAGCTGCGAAGTCTGCAGCCCAGCGTCCCTGGAAGCAGGGGAGGTGGGGAAGATGCACTGAGGGGCCCCCTGCTCACTGGAACTCTGGAAAGGGTGGCTCAGCCAGGCTCTAAAAAGGTCCCAAGCGTGATCTGGTGTGACTCCTGAAAGCCCCTGTCCCTTTGGTGGGCATGCACACTTGGAGGGCAGGGCTCCTCTGCCCTACGTGGTTCTGGCCCAGGGGAACCACATCCCATATGCCTGGAATAATTTCTATCCAATTTTCTGTTATAAATACATAAATATATATATATATATATATATGCCTATATATTACTTGGTACTGTATGGGGCTGGGATGACATTTTGTACCTGTAGATTTTTCTTGCAAAAAGTATTTTTTTACATAAGCATAAAATGACAAAGCAGGCAGCAGTGCGGCTGCTGACGAGCACGTGAGTTGGAGCCTGCTTCTCGGGCGTGGCAGGCACCGCTGCTTTCAGCCTCCCTGCGGGGGCCTGGGCACTTCCCTGCGTCTTCAGATCCTTCTTCCTCCATTACCTCCTTTGACTCTTGGGAGATCCCTTGGCGGGGCTGCCACATCTCCAGTCCCTGCGCGGCAGGGCACAGTCTGCAGCCCCCCAGCCTAGGCAGCCGTCGGGAGCGAGCAGGAGCGGGAGGTGGGACCAGCCCGGGCCTTGGCTAGTCTGGGGCCTCTGCCTGGCTCCCATGGCCCAAAGCCTGTCCCAGGAGCAAGATGCTGGCTGACTGGCTTGAGTGGGAGGCATGCTGGTCCCAGGAGCTTCCGGGGAAGCTCTGGCACAGCCGAGAGTCAAAAGACTACAGCATCCCTGAGAGCAGGGAGAGGGGCCTTTTCCTCGTTTTGCGTTTTCCCCTGGAGCCAGCAATGTGTCAGTAACTTGTCTATGAAAGAACCTGAGGTGTAGCCACATGTCCAGCTGCCTTCTGCGCACGCCTGGCCTCCCTCCAGGCTACCCCTTCTATGGGTGCGCATGGTGCTGCTGTTGGTTCTGGGCGGGGCCTCCACTCTGATGGTTCCACCCTGGGAAAGCTGGCCTTCCATCCTGCCAAACCAGATGACCTCAGTCCCACCACCTCCAGGAAGCCTCTGTAGATCTTCATTCTGGGTTCTTGTCCATTAAAAATACCCACCATGGCCTGGGCACAGTGGCTCATGCCTGTAATCACAGCACTTTGGGAGGCTGAGGCAGGAAGATCACTTGAGGCCAGGAGTTCGAGACCAGCCTGGACAGCATAGCAAAACCTTGCTTCTACAGAAAATAAAGCTTAATAAATAAAGATACCCAGCACGGCTGACAGTGGCCTCGTATGGCTGTGTGTGTTTTCTGTCTTGCGTTACAGTCTTAACCTGGACACAGCCTCTACTCTGGTGCTAGCTGAGCCCCAACCTTCACCCCACACTGTGTCCTGACTGCAGTTGCACATTGAGCCTTGACCCTGAGCCCTGATCCTGCTCCTGCACTATGTCCTGACCCCAGTTACACATGGAGCATTGATCCTGGTCACTGACTTAGCCCTGATCCTGGTGACAGACTTGGCCCTGATTCTGATCACACACTGAGCCTGATCCTAGTTACACACTAAGCTCTGGCCCCAGCCCTGACCCTGGTCAGTCCAGGCATCTTCTGGGAGTATCCTCTGGGCTGAGCCCTTACTAAGTGCTGAGGATACAGAAACAACCAAGGCAAACTTGAGGCCTCTTCTTCCAGAGCTTAGCGTGTGCTACAGAAAACGTATACTAAGCAAGTCAGTACATATTTGATGAAAGTTATTTTGTGTATCAGTTAAAAATCAGTGTAACTGCATTTGGTAGGAAACAGAGAATAGGGTGTCTTAGAGTAGATAGGCGTCATGGCCCCTACGTCACCGACATTGATGACCTGGAGCTGGCAAGGCAGGGCCACAGTCCTCAGAGGTCCAGGTGTCTTTCTGCTCCCTTCTCTGCCGTGGTCCTCATGGCCCAGGATGGCTGCAGGCCTCCCCCCATCACGCTTGTGTTTCAGGTAGCAGGGTGTAGGGAAGGAATGGAGGAAGGTCACACACCCTCCCTTGAAGGAGATCTCTGCCTGCATCTCAGCCCACTGACTGGGAGTTAGTCAGATGCCCACATTTCGTTGCATTAGAAGCTGGAAAACACGGCTTCAGCCCCAAATCAGGATTTTGTTACTAAGACGGAAGGGACTGGATGCTGGGGTAGGCAGCGTGCAATCTGCCAAGCTGGGGCGTTGACAGAGCTGGGATTGCACAGTCTAGAGTGTCGGGGGCTTCCCTGCAGGACGGACAGCAGAGGCCTCCAAGGCGATTTGGCAGTAATCACTGCAGCCAGCGAGGGGCAGGAAGATCCAGAAGTACCTCAGGCAGAGAAGACCAAGGGCCAAGCTAGGAGAGCCGGCTTCACCTCTGCATTGTGGCTGAGGAGCAGGGACTCGAGAACTTAGGGGCAGAATGGGTAAGTCCTGGTCCATGTGTCTCCACAGTGCACACGTGCCCTTTGCACTCTAGGACAGTTTCCTGAGAGCTGCTCAGATGCCGAGAGGCCAGGCAGGAGCATGGCCAGGACAGCAGATGGCTGTCCATGAAGCTCCATCATCCAGTGGGGGCATGGAATGGCAGGTGGCACGCAGGGAGGGCAGAGGCCATGCCTGGCCCTGAGGGCAAGGGTGTTTCTGGATGAAAGGAGAACCAGGAGGGTCCAGGAGTGTTGCCCTCAGATCTGGGCCTGGAAACCCCTTCTCTTGGATGTGGGCCAGGGGTGGCCTGAGGTTCGCCAGGAAGGAGACTGTGGTCTTGGCTTCACCAGGAACCTGTCAGGATCAGAGCTTTTGAGGAAGGAATGCTCTTAGCAAGCGTGTGAGAGAGGCACCCGGGAAGACCTTGAGGGTTGCCGACCTATCCCAGATGGGATTTCAGTGGGATTCGTATCCACACTGCTCACCTTGGACACTGTGCTTCTTGCATTCCATCCCCCAGGCAGCCCAAATGTTTACCAGGAGAGATTAGGAGGATGGTGGGTCTGTGATGAGAAATAGGATGTGGCATTCTGTGGCGGAGCTTGCCTGCAGGGCCTTCCAAGGTGTGTTTTAGAAAGAGGCCGGGGGGAGTGGCAGGGATGGTTCCTGTCAGAGCTAGAGAGCCCGGGTCCCCTCACTAGGTCCCCCATTTTACAGACAGACTGAGAGCCCAGGGTGGTATTGGAGGGGTGGTGTTGAAGCTGCAGGGTCATGTCCAGGTTCACAGAGAGTGCTAGAGGCAGGCCTTGAACCAGGTGTCTGGATTCCAAGTTCATGCCCTTTCCCTACGCAGTGCTGCATTCCAGGTGAGTGAGGACAGTTTTCAGGTGCCTCATCCATCTGGCTCAAATGAGCACGGCCAGCTTGCCCACCCTAGAGGATCTCAGGAAATGAGGAAGGTTCTTGCCCTGAGCCTGAATAAGCACCAGGTCCACCTGTGGATCCTGGATCCAAGAAGAAGGTTCTGGAGAAAAGATCCCCTAGTCAGGCCTTTGGGATACCCACAAAATAAGAAGAATCTTTTGGGCCTCCAGTTGGAAATCACTTGGTCTGTAATGGGGAAAGCCGTTGAGGGAAAACCAGGAGGAATATCCAACAAGAGCAAAAATATCAAGTTTAGACCCCAAAAGATTTTAGCTGTTGCAATTAATCAGACATATAATATGATTTCTGTGAAATATTTTTAAAAATAAAAAGATGAAATCACAAAAATGAGCAATAAGATTCTAAAAAGTGATTAGGCCGATCTGTGAAATATCAGTATGGCTTTTAGAAATGAAGAACTTTGTGGATGGGTTAAGCAACATACTGGACATAGATGAAGTTAGTAATAGCAAACTCGAAGATTTCTAAAGAAATAATGTTGCAAAGAGAGGTAAGAAAATAGAAACTACGACAGATGAAGAGATGGGGAGAGTAGAACCAGAGATGCAACATATGTCGTCTTGGAGTCCCGGAAGAGGAGGATCAGTGAAATGGAGGAAAGCAGTGTGTGAAGAGGTCGTTGATGTGATGTGTGATTCCACAGACACAGGAAGCACGAGCATACTGAACACATACATGAAATACCTTCCTGGGCACATCATGGGTGAACTGTGGAACAGCACAGAGAAAGGGAAAGCCTCAAGCAATTTGAAAGAAGGGAGAAGTGATGACAAATTTGCCGACATTTCACATTACATTGGCAGCAGAGGAAGCCAGAAAATGGTAGTATCTACAAAGTATTGAGAGAAAGTCGCTGTCAACTTAGAATTCTGCAACTGACAAGACTACCTTTCAAGATTAAAGGCAAAATACAGACATTCTATCCAAATAAAAACTGCGAGGGCTTACCACCAACAGGCCTTCATGAAAAGGGGTTTCCAAAAAATGGACTTCAAGGTGAAGGACTGGAATCCCAGAAAGAGTATGTGTAATGCAAGAAGAATAGTGAACCAAGAAATTGGTAAATGTGTAAGTAAATCCAAATCCTCATTAAGGTTTTAAAAAGTCCATAATTACTAGAATGTCTAATTTGTGGAATAGATTTTTTACAAAGGATGGAACTACTGGACAATGATAGTATATTAAAGGTGAAGAATTGTCCAAATATTCTGAGATCCTTGTATTTGCAGGGGAGTTAAATATTGATTAATTTTAGCCTGTGCTAGTAACTGTACATCATAAAAAAGCTCAAGGGTTCCTTCATCAAAATTGGAAACTTCTGTTCTGCAAGAGATCCTGTTAAGGGAATGAAAAGAGAAGCCAGTGACTAGTAGAATATATTTGCAAATCACATGTCTGATGAAGGATGTATCCAGAATATATAAAAAGCTCTCTAATTTCAACTGAAAGAAAACAATTCCATCAGAAAGTGCACAACAATTTGATCCGACACTCACCAAAGTAGATATATGGGTAGCAAGTAGGCTCATGAAAAGATGCCCCACAGCAGTAGCCATGAGGGAAATACACATTAAGCCCACACCGCGATGCCACTGCCTGCCGCTGAAGTGACCAAGAGGCACGGGGGTGAGGAGAAATGGCTCGCTCATGCACTGCTGTTGGGCATGTCAAATGTTACAGCCACTCTGAAAAACAGTTTTGTAGTTTCTTCAACATGTAAACATAACACTTACTATACAACACAACAGTTTCACTCCTGGGCATTTATCCTAGAGAAAGAAAAACTCATGTTCACACCAACACTTGCACACAGATGTTCATCGTGTCTTTATCTGCCATGGCCCCAAAGTGGAAAAGCCCTGCTGTGCCTCTGCAGGTGAGCAGGTGAACAGACTGCCACGGCCACACAGTGGAGTTCTACCCAGGAACAAAAGGAGCCCACTCGGAAATGCCAGCAACTCAGACGGTTCTTAAGGCATTGTGCTTAATGAAAAAGCCAGTCTCGAAAAGGCCATGCTTTGTGACTCCATTTCTGTAACATTCTCAAAAGGGCGAGATCACAGGGATGGAGGGCAGAGCGGTGGCTGGTTGTCAAGGGTTAGGGAAGTGGAGTGGGGTAGGGTGCAGTTGTAAAAGGCTGCAGGAGAGCCTTGTGGTGGTGGGACAGTTTTGTATTTTGAACATGGTGCTGGTGACATGAATCTACATATGTGATAAAATTTCATAGAACTACACACACACACAAACTGAGTAGAAAGTTAATAAGAAACTGAAGACTAAGGTAACCTAAGAGTATTAGAGTATATAACTTCCAAATCAGTAAAAATGGAATAAGAATACAATTAAACAAAAACCTATGTTGAATAGAAAGGAGAAGGCAAAAAATGCAACAAAAAGAAAAGGAGAAGCAGATAACACAGAAGAAAAATGCAGGACAGGGCGAGAACACAAAGAAGCATTTGGAACTGTCCAGTGAGCAAAATAAATGCAGACAGATTAAAAGGGCTCATCAGAGTTAAGGACTGTCAGATTGGAGGAAAAAATAACACCTTTACTATTGACAAGAGAGGCACTCCAACATAGGACCAAAGGGGCATTGGAAGGAAAGGTGTGAAGATTTGCCAGTCAAAAGCTATGCAAAAGAGAGCTTAAGTAGCAATGTTAATTTTAGACAAAATGGACTTTAAGACAAAAAGTATATATTAAGGATACACTGGAGTCACTCCAGAATGGGTTCAGCTCATCGGGAGGATGAAAAATCCTAAACCCTTCTACACTTAATAAAATACATAAAGCAAAAGTGGGTAGAATTACAGAAGGAAATCAATGAATCTATCAGGACAGCGGAAGGTTTCAGCACGTTGTTTTAGAGATTGATGGGGAGTGTCAGCAGGAAACCTAAAAATTTGAACACCAGCGCTGAACTTCACGGATGCTTACAGAACCCTCTGCTACACAAATAGAGGGCACTCATTTTCTCAGGTACAACCGGAATATTTCCAGATTTTGACCATGGACTAGGTCATAAAGCAAGAGTCAAAACATTTCAAAAGATCAGTAATGTGTAGAACACTTCAATCACTAGAAAATGCAGTTAGAAAAATGCAGCCATTAGATATTGGTGGCAAAAAATAAAAAGGTCATTGTATGTTTGGAAATTTTAAAACAGTTCTACATAACTCAGAGGTCAAAGAAGAAATCATTAAGGGATATGAAGTTAATAGCTAGGTACAAAGACATGATTGGATACTATTGAAAATACTGCATATCAAAATTTGTGGGAGACTTCAATGAAACTTAGTAGCCTTCAATGCTTATACTACCAAAGAAAGCTGAAAATTAAAATAGACATTAAAAAGACTTTTTTTAAGTAAAGGAACAACAGAATGAACCCAAAGAAATAGAAGGAAGAAACTTGTAAAGACAGGAGCAGAGTTAACTTTAACTTTAACTTGTTAAAATTTTAATGGAAGGCGCTACAAAGTCCAAAGCCAGTTCTTAGGAAGGACCATTTAAATAGTTGAACTACTAGCAACAGCAGTCCAGGAGAGAAAGAGCAGACATTTCAAAATAACAAGAGGAGTCCATGGATAATCTCATGCCAACACATGGGGAAACTCAGCTAAAAAATAGACAGATTCCTAGAAAAGTCCACTTTGCCAACATCAACTCTAAATAGCCTCAGTCATTCTTTAAAGAAATTGAATCAGTAGGAAAAATTCTTTCCATGGTGAAGACACTAAACCCAGATGATTTTTAAAGCGTATTCTACCCCACTTTCAAGGAAGAAATCCAGTCTTACACAAACCTTCCAAAGAAAAATAAAAAGAGGGGAAATTCCTAAACGCATAGGATGAGGAACAAGCACACGAGAAGGGGATGTTTGAGGCCAGTCCACCCCTTGAACTAAACCGTGGTGATCCCAAAGAAAACACTAGCAAACTGCAACCAGAAGTGTTTGGAGATACGGCATCCTCGCCAGGTTGGATTTACGCTGGAAGTGGATTTAACACTGCTTATTTATTCATTTAATCAACAGGAAACCTATAAATAGAATTCACCCCACTGGAATAGAAGAAATAAGAAAAAGCAGATGATTGCCATTTCCAGACGTCCTGAGAAAGTATTTGTTACAATTGAATACCCATTCATATTTTTAAGACTCATCAAAATAGAAAGGCAAGAATTTTCTTAACTGACCAGGATTATCTACCAAAACCTCAACAGCGAACATTCACGGTGAGATATGAGGAGCCCTCCTTTAAAAACAGAGAAAGTCGAGGGTGCTAGCTGGGCTCAGTTAGAAAGGACACCCAATCATATGTAAAGACTGGAAAAGAGGAAACACAACTGTCTTTATTCATAAAAAGAACTCCTGGACAAATTAGTAGAATTTATAAGAGAGTTTGTGAAGTGGCTCGTCTAAAGTCCACATGTTATTACAATCAAAGGCGTTTCCGTACATAGTCAATAAGTGTGTTAGTCCATTCTTGCTTTGCTGTAGAGAAATACCTGAGACTGGGTAATTTATAAAGAAAAGAGGCGTGATTGGCTCACGGTTCTGCAGGCTGTACGGGAAGCATAGCGGCTTCTGCTTCTGGGGAGGCCTCAGGGAACTTACAATCATGGTGGAAGGCGAAGGGGAAGTAGGCACGTCTTACATGCCTGGAGCAGGAGCAAGAGAGGTGGGGGAGGTGCCACACACTTTTAAACAACCAGATCTTGTGAGAACTCACTATCGCCATGACAGCACTAGGGGGATGGCATTAAACCGTGAGAAACCGGCCCTCATGATCCAGGCACCTCCCACCAGGCCTCCAACACTGAAGATTACAGTTGGACATGAGATTTGGGCGGGTACACACATCCAAACCATATTAATAAGTAAGCTGCATTGAAAAACATACCATTTATAATACCAGCAAAAATACCATGTGTAAAATAACAAAATATGAGGACAATATTTGTGGAGAAAATTATAAAGCTTTATTACAATACATAAAAAATTCTAAATAAATGGACACACACACACACACACACACACGTTCATGGATAGGAAGAGTGGGTTTTGTAAAGCTGCCAATTCCCAAATCTATAGGCTCAATGCAATTCCAATCAAAATTCTGATAGTGTTTTTCAAGGAGTTTGGCAGGCTGATTATAAAGTTTGTGAGCAAACGAAGGCCTAAAAACAGCCATGCCACCTGGAAGAAGAAGGACGAGGTAGAGAGACTGCTGTCCCACCACGGAGTCGCCGCAGGCCTGAAGGGGACTTCGGTGTCTGCTGGAGGGCTGGGCCTTGTCTTGTTACCATGAGCAGGTTGGCGTGAGCAGCTTCATGAGCCTGTGAGAGGGACACCAGGCAAGAGTTGATGGGGCTGGGAGCAGGCTGGCCCCGCCGTGGGATGGAAGGAGTGGCTGTTGGGGAGATGCCCTGGGCAGCTGTGGCCGGCAGGACTCTCCTGGGCATAAGCCCTGCTGCCCAGGTTGGACTTGGCTGGCATCTGGCACTGTGACCTGTGCCCCCAGGGCAGGTCTGAAGGACAGACTCGTAGCATGTTGGAGGAGGCTCTGCTGGGTATAGCGAGGGCAGCCTCAGACCCCTCTATGCCCGTGAGCTGCCTTGTCGGAGCTCGTGGTTTGGCAGGAAGGCCGGGAAAACGCAATCGTTAAAGGAGAATAATAACCCCCTGCACCCCCACCCCGGGGCCGTGGCCAGGATGAGGAGCAAGGAGAAATGCTGCCTTCACAGATCTTTCCTCCGCCAGGAACATCCTGGGGCTCACATGGGTCAATGCATTGAGGCATCACAGCGCCTGTGCAGTGGGAGCGGCTATAGTCTTCAAATAACTACAGAAAGCAGGGAGTGCCAGCATCCCAGCATGTGCTGAGTTCCCAGCAGGTGTTCACCACTCTCCCTCCCCGGTCCTCCCTCTCTCCTTCATCCCTCCTTCCTCTCTCCTCCCACTATCCCTCCCTCCCCCCTCTCTCCTCCATCCCTCCTCCCTCATCCTCCCACTCTCCCTCCCTCCCTCCTCCCTCTCTCCTCCATCCCTCCTTCCTCTCTCCTTCCCTCCTCCCTCCCTCTATCCTCTCTCTCTCCTTCCTTCCCTCCTCCCTCTCTCCTTCTCTCCCTCTTCCCTTCTCTCCCTCCTCCCTCTCCCCTCCCTTCCTCTCTCCTTCCTCCCACATCCTTCCCTCTCTCCTCCCTCCCTTCTACCTCTTTCCTCCTTCCCTCCCTCCTCTCTCTCTCCTTCCCTGCTCCCCCTCTCTTCCCTCCTTCCTCCTTTCCTCTCTCCTCCCTCCTGCTTCCCTCTTTCCTTCCTCCCTCCTCTTTCTCTCCTCCCTGTCTCCTCTCCTCCCTCCCCACCCCCCTCCCTCTCTCCTCCCTCCCTCCCTCCCTGACTGCTTTGTCCTCTCTGCATCCTGCCTTGCTGCTTCCCCTTAGGTCTCAGATATGTGCTTATCAGAAGATCTGCCCTCACCTTCCCTTCCCTCCCTGACCCAGCTGCAGAGGCTCTGCCCTGTGGTCTCCCTCCCTGTGGAACATTAGCTCTGGGGCAGGGCTTTAGTGCCTGAGGCAGAGCTCTGCATGCAGTAGGTGCTCAGTAAAGGCAGATCACAGAGTGCATGTGCCCTCTGTGCTTCCCCCAGGAACTGGTGAGGCTGGGGCGTCAGGATCTTTCCCGGGGGACTCAGCCGACTGCTGGGGTGAGATGAAGACATGCAGAGAGGTCTCTGGCCACATCGAAGCTTTCCAGGGGAACGGGGCTCAAGGTTCTGAGAAGTGAGGCTGGGTCAGATGGTGGCTAAAGAGTTTGGGCTTCTGAGTTAATCCAAGGCCAACAAAGGGCAAGGTTAGCTGATAACCCACCCAGCCTCCCTGGCCGTGGGCCCCGGCCAGTTTATGCCCCAAGGGAGGACAGAGGACGCCTGGCCAGGGAGGGCTGAGTCCCTTGAGAGTGGGCTGCCAGACCCGGCCCCAGTGCCCATGCTTGCTCATCTGGCCCTCAACTTCCCGACTCGCTTTTCTTCCCTCCTTCCCTTCTCTCTTTCCATCTCTAAACAGTTGTGCTTCTGTGGCTCTCAGGCTCTGAGCTAGTTGTGCTGAAATCATGATTTGACTTTTTCTACTTTCTTCCCTGTAAAATTAGGGGCCTGCCCCAGGGTAAGACGTTGCACGCTTTTCTGAGGTGGCTTCCAGGTGGCAGGCTCTGGGTTCGGGGCTGTGGAGACCGGAGGAAGGAGTTAGCCATTGGCTCTAGGGAATCAAGGGAGGCTTCCTGGAGGAAGAGACACTTAACTGTGCCTGGAAGCCAGGCCCAAGCAGAGGCGGGCTGGGGGAGTGCAGAGGGTGAGTCCTGGGCCTCTGCGGCCCGAGGGCACCTGGGCAGGGTGGGGCCAGTTTGGGAAGGTGCACCAGGCCCTGAACCACTGCCCTGTTCCTGAGGGCCAAATTTCCTCGCCACAACAGCCTTCAGGGTTTGCTACGAGGCATCCCCTAGGTGCCCCCGGGGGAAGGCGTGCCACCAAGTCTCCTTCCAGAACCCCTTAGTTGCATTCTTAGCAACTCGGTATTCTAATCCTGAGAGCTGGGAGCAGCCACGTTGCAGGCAGGGAAGTAGCAGAACGGTAGGGGAAGGGGCCTGCGCCGGTGCTGGGGTGGCAGCCCTGTAAGAGGCTGCTTGTGGGGGACGTGGGCCTGTGTCCGGGGCGAAGGAGGCTGCCTTTTAATTGGGAGGCCAAGCAGGTTAAATAAACAGCAATTGGATTTTGCTGAGGCCTGAGCTGCCTGCAGTGTCCGCGGGTACAGAGAACACTGGAGAATCTCATTTTCGTGATCAGATTGTTATAGATTCTTCCCCCAGTCTGCTGAGAAATGTAAATGTGAATTGTGTTTCCAGGTGCTGTAAAGGACAGCCTGTAGGGGTATGGGGGGCAGGGAGGGTGACCCAGTCTGAACTCGGCCCTCTCAGGCCTGGGACCCCAGAAACCGTGCCCTTTCCTGTCTACAGAAGCTCTGGCCGTGCCCACTTGACCAGTCCTTCTCTGGGAGAATGCTGAACAGAAAAATAACCCTAGGCAAAGATTTAAATCAATCTGCTGCGTCTAATAAATACCAGGCTCACAGCTGAGGGAAGGGTAGAGACAGCAGTCACGGGAGTTGGGGTGCTGTCGCCCTTCTGCCCCTCGGCCCCGTCCTCAGACAACGTGCCCATCCTCCTCACCTCACCTGGGAGTGTCCTTGGTGACTCAGGAGCAACTTCAGAGTCAGACAGACCTGGGTTCAAGGTGGGCTGTGCCACGCCTCAGCTGCAGCGTGACTGTGGCTGGATGTATCTCGCCTGAGCTTGCCGGACCGTGCAAAGCGGTGGCTCAGGGGCCCCTTGGGCTGGCGGTGGGAGTAGGGCCCCGGTGATGCTGCACCCACACACACCTTGGACACCCCTCTGTTCTGGCACCGTGCCCTGCATCTGGGGCTCTTCCAGACTCTGAGCTGGGTGGGTTCTGGGGTCTCTGAGGTGAGCAACAGAAAGGCATGCGTTCTGGCTGGGCGTGGTGGTTCACGCTTGTAATCCCAGCACTTTGGGAGGCCAAGGTGGGTGGATCACTTGAGGTCAGGAGTTTGAGACCAGCCTGGCCCAACATGGCAAAACTCTGTCTCTACTAAAAATATGATAAAAAAGCAAAACCCTGTCTCTAATACAACTACAAAAAAAATTAGCCAGGTGTGGTGGTACATGCCCGTGATCCCAGCTACTTGGGTGGCTGAGGCATGAGAATGGCTTGAACCCAGGAGGCAGAGGTTGCAGTGAGCCTAGATCACGCCACGGCACTCCAGCCTGGGCAACAGAGTGAGACACTGTCTCAAAAAAAAAAAAAAAAAAAAAAGCACAAGTTCTGCAGCTGACTGGGTCCCAACTGAGGGAAGGCAGAAGGCCCAGGGGGCGAAGAGAAGACTTGTCCAAGATACAGTAAGCACTCCCTGAGTTCCACCTACAGCGTAGGTGTGCACTCGGGGCAGCAGTGGGCGGGTGCGTGCATTTACATATGCCTGCATGCATGCATCCGTGTGTGTGTGCATTTGTGTGCATGTGTGCAGTGTGCACACGCGTGCCTTCATGTACCAGTGTGCATTCCTGTATATGTGCACAGCTTATGCACTCGTGTACTGTGTGTGCACACAGGCATCTGTGTGTGCATACAGCGTGTGTACATGTGTATCCATGTGTGCCTTCGCGTGTGCCTTCGTGCATAGGCATGTTGCATGCAGGTGTGTACGTGTGTGCATGAGCATAGGTTTTGTGTGTGCATGTGTGAGCACAAGTGCATGTGTGCATGTGTGTATAAGCACAGGTGTGTGTGTGTGAGCTTGAGTGTTGTGTCTGTGAGACAGCACGGGTGGTGTGTGTGTGTGTGAGCTTGGGTGTTGTGTGCGTATGCGTGCTCAAGCTCTTATGCTCACCCAGGGGCAGTGGGTGGGAGCACCAAGGTGAGAGTGCCTCACTTTCTGGCTGTGGGGCCAGCAGAGTGGGCAGAAAGGGCTTCTCCCGGAGGCGGCTGGATCTCCATGAAGCAGTGAGTGTCTGGCAGGGGTGGCCTGGCCAGGGTGGGTAGAGGAAGAGTAGCACCCCCAGGGCCAGGCCTCCCACCCCTGGGTCATCGCGGGGATCTTTAGAGGGACCTGAGACCCTGCCTATCAGGCCCCTGGAGTTGTAACCTGGGAGGCCAGCTTGAAGCACCTTCCCAAACTGCTTCCTCCCAGCCTGTCAGCCTGGACCCCTGCAGCGGCAGGGGAGCTGCCCAGTGTCCCGGAGCCAAGCAGCTGCCAGGGAAGCAGAGGGGAGTGGTGGGTGGAATGTGGTGGCCTACAGGGGAGGAGGCTCCCAGAGTCTCCTGGCTGGGCAAGGCACCTGCCTGGGGGTCTCCAGGAGGCAGCACCTGACATCCTGTCCAGTCCAGGTGTTCTGGCTGTCCACGGCCAGCTGTCCAGTATGCCTCGGGCTTGCGGGGAGCTCCTGCCCTCCGCAGGCCCCTCCTGAGCACCGGCCCTGCAGAGGACCTTGTCCTGTCCAATCTGCCCCTCCATCTTTGCATGCTCAGCTAGGAGGGCCTGGGAACCCCGGGCTGCTCCAGTTGGGTGGGCTGCAGTCAGAGAGAGGAGGTTCCCTGTCCAAGGTCACCCCCGAAGTGGGCACTGTGCTGAAAGTGGAGACTTGCCTCCCTCGGAGAGAGGTGATGAGGGACACCGCCCCACGTCAGGGTGTCTGTGTCTATGGTGATTGGGGGATGGGTATGTGTGCGTGGGAAGGTCCCTTTCAAGGCAGAACAAAGCAGTTTGGAAGTGGTGGGGAATTGTGGCTCCTTTTAGCAACTGTATGCAAATGGCATGCAAATGAGCCTGTTTTCCCTCCAATACCTGTGGCTCAGAGCAACAGTGTTCCCCAGGACCCCTGAGGCAGCCCCTGACCCTGGTCCTCATTCACCAAGAAAAGCCCCTGCTTCAGAAATTGTGCTGAGTAGCAGTGGCTGCCATTGTTTGCTTAACAAATGAGGATTGTCCCCAGAGTCAGGCAGAACCCGGTTCTAATCCCAGCTCTGCCAGTGACGAGTTGTGTGCAACTTCGAGCATATTGCTTAATCTCTGCTCCTCATTGCGCTCTCCTGTAAAATATAATACCAGGAATGCCTCAGGATTGCCTGTGAAAGCATGTGGCACAGTTACTTCTGCTGATTGTGGTGGTGGTGGTGGTGGTGATGATGGTGATGATAGTGATGGTGATGGTGGTGATGATGGTGATGGTGATGGTGGTGATGGTGATGGTGGTGATGGTGATGGTGATGGTTGTGGTGGTGGTGATGGTTACAGTGATGGTGATGGTGGTGGTGATAGTGATGGTGTTGGTGGTTATGGTAATGGTAGTGGTGATAGCCATGATGATGGTGGTGATAATGATGGTGGTTGCTGCTGGTGGTATTGGTGATGATGATGGTGGTGATGATGGTGGTGATAATGATGGTGATGATGATGGTGGCAAAGATGGTGATGGTGGTGATGATGGTGGTGGTGGGTGTGGTGATGATGGTAATGGTGGTGGTGATGGTGATGGTGATGATGGTGATGGTGATGGTGGTGGTGGTGATAGTGATGGTGATGGTGACAGTGGTGGTGGTGATGATGGTGGTGGTGATGGTGATGGTGGTGGTGATGGTGACAGTGGTGGTGGTGGTGACGGTGATGATGGTGGTGATGGTGATGGTGGTGGTGATGCTGACAGTGGTGGTGGTGGTGGTGATGGTGATGGTGGTGGTGATGGTGACGGTGGTGGTGACGGTGACAGTGGTGGTGGTGATGGTGATGGTGGTGGTGATGGTGACGGTGGTGGTGGTGGTGATGGTGATGGTGGTGGTGATGGTGATGATGGTGGTGATGGTGATGGTGATGGTGATGGTGGTGGTGATGGTGACAGTGGTGGTGGTGGTGGTGATGGTGATGATGGTGGTGATGGTGATGGTGGTGGTGATGGTGGTGGTGGTGGTGGTGGTGATGGTGACAGTGGTGGTGGTGGTGATGGTGATGATGGTGGTGATGGTGGTGGTGATGGTGATGGTGGTGGTGATGGTGACAGTGGTGGTGGTGGTGGTGATGGTGATGATGGTGGTGATGGTGGTGGTGATGGTGATGGTGGTGGTGGTGGTGACAGTGGTGGTGGTGGTGATGGTGATGATGGTGGTGATGGTGGTGGTGATGGTGATGGTGGTGGTGATGGTGACAGTGGTGGTGGTGGTGGTGATGGTGATGGTGGTGATGGTGATGGTGGTGGTGATGGTGATGGTGGTGGTGGTGGTGGTGATGGTGACAGTGGTGGTGGTGGTGATGATGATGGTGATGGTGGTGGTGATGGTGATGGTGATGGTGGTGGTGATGGTGACAGTGGTGGTGGTGGTGATGGTGATGGTGGTGGTGATGGTAATGGTGGTGGTAACAGCCATGATGATGGTGATGGTGATGGTGCTGTGGTGGTGGTGATGGTGGTGATAATGATGTGGCTGGTCTGGTAGGGATGGTGGTGGTGGTGACACTTGGTGATGGTAGGTATTAGGGTGATGGTGTTGAGTCCTCCATACTAGGCACTGCATAGGGCACTGGGAGAATGGGATAAAGAAAGTGACCTCTGTCTTACGGTGCTGAGTTCTTACTGACAGGTTCATGGGGCTGGGGACAGAGTCCCCACCTGCCTCACTCCCCTTCAGCCGCTGGGGGCCTCTGTATCTGAGAGCTCTCCTCTTGCCCCCTGCTGTTCTCTGTTATGGGACAGGGATCTGCCTTCCCCACCTGGCCTCAAGATCCTCAAAGGTGGCTCAAGTCTATCCCCCCAAACCACCCAGGCAGTCAGCACAAGGCTGGGCTCAGAGTGAGTGTCCAGGACCTGTTGGAGGGGCCTGGCCCAGGGAGTGGCAGGCAGGGGAGGGCATGGGGCGTGCAGCTTCAGCACCAGAGCCCCGGGTGCAGCACCACCCCTGCGAGAGACTCTCCTCCCCTTGGCCGTCCTCAGCCCAGCAGCCGCCTGCAGCACTGTCTTGTGTTGTCCTCATTCTGTGGATGTGAGACTGAAACTGGGGTGGGGCTGGGACTTGCCCCCATCATGCAGCTGGCAGGTGGTGAGGCCAGGGTTCGAGTCCAGGCCTCTCTGATGCCCCGCCTTCCCCATATGCCGGAACACCTCTCCCACAGCCAGCATGGTGGGGGAGGAAGCGTGTTCTGCCAGGGGGTGCTGGAGGGAGGGGGATGAGCCAGAGAAGGGGCCGCTCAGGGAAGAACATGAGAGGTGAAGCAAGATGGGTCCCACGGGGATCCCCTGCCACTGCTGTGTACAGAGGCGCTGCTTAAAGGCCCATCGCTTTCTGGGAACTCAGGAAGCATTTCTGTCCATCTGCAGGCTCCAGGTGGTTTGGAGTGTTGGCCAGGTGGGCTTGGGTCCTTCCTCTGAGCTGGTAGATGGGATGTCTTCTGCAGACAGCAGCAGCAGGCAGCAGGGAGAGGCCGGGGCATGGGGAGGGCCTCCGTGCCAGGAAGCATGGCCCCACGGGGCACTGGGGAAGCCAGTTGCAGCCTCTGACTCCTGGAAACCACAGCAGAACTCAGTTGGCTGTACCCTGCCTCCTGCAAACAGATATAGATCGGTTTCATTAAAAAGCCTTAACACACTGCCAGGCTTCCAGCCGGCCGGGCTCCCGGGGCCAGAGCCCACGGCTGTCTGGTGCCTTCTGCCAAGAAGAAGGTGGAAGGGAGGCACAGAGCATTTTATTGCTCTCTAAACGAAAAGCCAAGAATATCTCTGCGTGGAATTGATTTCTGTCTTCTGGAAAAGGCTTGGCGTCTTCTCTCAGCCCTGCCTTCCTCCTAGTCCAGTCTTGGGTCTGACAGGGTCTGGAGGGATCAGTGGGCAGCCCTGGGTCGGGGGAACCTGAGGGCTCCACCTCCCACCTCCCTCACCCACTGTCCTGTTCCGGGCTCGGGAGTCCATGAGGGTGGCGACACACAACATGGGCCACGTGCCGGGCCCCTGGGAAAAGGCTGGCTACGCGTTCCCACTGACCAGCCGCAGGGTCCTGCGGGAGGGGTCACCATTGCCACTTGGGGATGAAGTGATGGAGATTCAGCGAGGTCACCCATCCTGCCTGAGGCCTTGCAAGGAAGTTGGTGATGTCAGGGCAGAGTGACCTCGAGGCAGGGGCAAACACAGAGCCCAGCTGGTGACTAGGGGGTGACCGCCCTACTGCAGTGGGTCTATGCCCAGAATGGCCACTGGAGCTGGTGACTGGGGGGTGACCGCCCTACTGCAGTGGGTCTATGCCCAGAATGGCCACTGGAGCTGGTGACTGGGGGGTGACCGCCCTACCTGCAATGGGTCCCTGCCCAGAATGGCCACTGGGGGTGGTGACTCGGGGGTGACTGCACCCTCAGGGTGGCAATCAGGAAGGCCTCATGCCCGGAACCTTGTCTGTGCCTTTCCTGGACTGGGCCCTCTGACCCTGTGCAGACGCGGCACGCACGCTGGCCTGTGCCTCGCTTGTTGCTTGTGCTCGGGAGGTGGCCCAGCGGCCCTGCTTCTGCAGGCACCGCCGTCACCACTGCTGTGACTCCACGGCTACCGGCCCTCCTCCCGTACCCGTAGTGCCAGCCTGGGCTGTCGCCAGCCTGTCCACCTCCGCACTCTCACCCGTGGCAGAGCCCAGTCTCCTTGCCAGGCTGCCCGTCCGGTCTCTATCCCAGATACTGCACCCGGGAGTGGGCACATCCAGTCTGTGAACAGGCAGATGCCCTCCTGCAGGCCTGGGGAGGGGACGTGGGCAGGGCAGGGCAGAGGCTGGACCTTGTGTCCTGCTCTGAGCATCCCCACACCTGGGCCGGAGTGGACGCAGAGCAGGCGTGTCTGTGCTTTGACTCAGCCAAGCCTCATACCTGCCCCACTAGGGCAGTGGCCAGGAAGCAGTGTCCCATTGTGCAGAGGAAATGGCTGAGGGGTGGGGAGGGGAGGACCTGCCAGGTCCACAGGGGAGCCAGGATGGGGGCTCGGGGCTGAGGTCACCACGGCAGCATGCTTCCAAACTGTTGCACACAAGAATGGAGACAGCAGGGGTGGCTGGAAGTAAACAACGGCCCTCGCAGTGCTATTGGCACTTCCAGGGAAGGATAAATGCTTGGAAGTGCCCTGACCTGGGTCCTGGCTGTGTTACTTGCTTGCTGTGTGACTTTTGACAAATCGTGTTGTCTCTGAGCCATTTCTTCCTCGCCTGGAGCTTTAGGAAGATTGAGCGACACCATGCAGGTAGCTCCTGCTGGGGCGCTGGGCACAGGCGGCTGCCGCTTCTTCCCCTGACCACTGTCGCCGGCAGCACCACCTCAAACCTCAGGGCAGGACGGGGAAACCAGCCTCATTTACAGACGCGGGAAAGAGAGGCTCAGAGAGGTTCCAAGGCTTGGCCTGAGACACACAGCCAGTGGGGGGCACAGCCAGGACAGAGCCAGTGCCCTGGTACCGGGGGGGCCCGGCCCTTCCTCCTCCCACCCGCAACCCATGCATTACGAATGTAGGCCTGCTTAAGAAGATGAAGCAGCCGTCTGTTTACCTCTTGACAGCAGAAAGGGAAAACAACAAAATTAAACCAAACAAACCGCCCAGATATCAAACAAGCTCTCTCTCAACGTGCGTGCCCTGCAGACAGAGAACGCGGGCGGCGGGTACATGGTGCCCGGGCCCTGCAGATAGAGAACGCGAGCGGTGGGTACATGGTGCCCGGGCCCTGCAGATAGAGAACGTGGGCGGCGGGTACATGGTGCCCGGGCCCTGCAGATAGAGAACGCGAGTGGCGGGTACATGGTGCCCGGGCCCTGAAGACAGAGAACATGGGCGGCGGGTACATGGTGCCCGGGCCCTGCAGACAGAGAACGCGGGCGGCAGGTACATGGTGCCCGGGCCCTGAAGACAGAGAATGCGGGCGGCGGGTACATGGTGCCCGGGCCCTGCAGATAGAGAACGCGGGTGGCGGGTACATGGTGCCCGGGCCCTGAAGACAGAGAACGTGGGCGGCGGGTACATGGTGCCCGGGCCCTGCAGACAGAGATCGCGGGTGGCGGGTACATGGTGCCCGGGCCCTGCAGATAGAGAACGCGGGCGGTGGGTATATGGTGCCCAGGCCCTGGCAAGAGGCACTCAGTGAAGGGTGTCGAAGGCTCCTCTCATAAGCCGGGCCCTGTCTCCAGGCAGGAATGTGACCAGGGCCTGATGTGTGCTCTCAGAATACAGAGGGTGCCAGAGCAGTGCTGCTCGGACGGACAGGAGCCTGCCGCACCCTAACTGGGAGGACAACCTCTGCCCTGAGCTGCTCGTGGGCCCACTGCTTATGGGAGGTGTCGGGATGCTGCAGGAGGGGCATGAGCAGCAGGGCCACGCTTTGCAGCCCTTTCTCTCAACTTCCCTCAGAAGGATGAACCAAGTCTCTTTTCTTGATTGTGGCTTTTGTGGGGGGAGGGGGGCGGGGTTCTCAGCCCTAGCTGACCGGAATCTCAAACTCCGACACTGCCTGAGCCAGCAGTGTGTGGCATGGGGGGCAGGCTGCGGTGTGCAGGGGGGCCGGGGTCTGGAGACTGGGAATCTGGTGGAAGGCGGTGGGGGCCTGTAGGGAGAGTCTGGCTCTGATCCCAAATGCACTGGGCTGGAACTCCTCACTTGCCTGCCCGGTGACTCTGGGCCTCAGCATTTTCGTCTTTTAAATGGGCACATGATCCCCAGCAAACCCTCTGCCTGGCGAGCTGCACCAGAGCTCTGAGCTCCAGCACCATGGGCAGCTCCCATGACAGCCCGCTGCTCCCTGGAGGCTGAGCCGCCCTTACGGGGGTTTCCTTGGCCTTCCTTTACTGGGTCAGGCCTCGGGCCTGGACAGTGGTGATTCATGCTCATCCCTCTCCGAGAGGCACAGGCAGGGAAAGGCTAGCCCCTCGTCCGTCGGCTCCTGCGTTCAAGGCAGTCTGCACGTGGACTACGTCCATCACCACGGCAGCTCCTTGGAGCAGGCAGCCTTGACTGCAGGTCAGGGAAGCAGGGCTGGCCAGCCTTGGGGTCAGCTGCCTGTGCTGCCATGCCCTCGGTGTTGCCTTCCCCACGTCTGCAAGCGCCTGGGGCTGCAGCTCCATGCTCCCCAGCGCCTGTTGCCTAGCTGCTGCTTCAGGTGCATCCAGCAAGGGCTCATTAACGCTGCCATCAACAAGACAGATGAGAACGCTCCGAAGGAAAACAAGCGGCAGCAGGCTACTGCGATCGGGCCTGGAACCTGCTCCAGATGCCTTCACTGGCGGGTGAGTGTCCGCCTCACCAAGGAGCCCGCGACGCTGATGGCTGTTTTCCCTCTCCCCTGGCTCAGCCCCCACGCCGCTGCTTGGAAAGGGATCCGGGATTATGCAGAAGCAGGGATTATGCCTTGGCACCCACTGCTCCAACCTCGCACCCCAAGGAGCTCTAACTCGCTCCTACTCCAGGGGAGGAGGCCTCATTAGAGCGCCATTTTTAGCCTGGTGAAGAGCTCCCCCATGTCCCCCAAATTTGCATTTTTCCCTCAAAATGCTCTTGCCGCTGGCAGGAGAATGGCTGTAAAAATCCGAGAGGAGCACATGGCTGGAAGTGTGAGTGGCTGCCATGTGGATTTCATTAGCTCAGGGCCTGCCTGCATTAATGACTCCAGCACACTGCTGCGCTGCCGGCCTGGCTCCAGCAGGTCTCATGCGGCGCACTCTGAAGAAGGGCATGGGAGGCCCAGAGAGGTCTCTGGAGCTGCCCAGGACCCCTCAGCAGGTTTGCGGCAGAGCTCGGCATCCCCCGGCCCCCACTCCCCAAGCTCAGAGCTCTCGTAGCCATCAGCCCAGGCTATTAAGCTGCAGTCACAATTGCCCCCAGGTTGCGGGTGTGATTGGTGCTGGAGCTGCGAGGCCACCATGGGCCGGTCTGGCTGTGGCTTTGCTGCCATGCTTCCCACTCTGGGACCCCAGCTCTCTCGAAGACATCATGGGCTCTAGGTAGTGAGGGAGAGGGAGGAGGAGTGCCACGGTCTCCCTGAAGGGATCTGCTTGGAAACAGCACATGTCACTGCTGCTCCACGGCATTGACCAGAGCATTTCTCATGAGCCGGTCCTGACGCGGACGGCCTGCCTGCTGCAGCACCCTGGGCGGAGGAGGGAGAGGTGCCGTGAGAAGGCAGCACAGGCTTATGAACAATTATGCAACCCACTGCGTGCTTGAAACCGCTGCCTCCGCCCCAGTCAAGTCCTCTCTGTTTTGGCTCCCATCCTCCCCACTTCCTTTAGCCTCTGCCCAGGACCTGCCCTCCTCGGGGATCTTGGGAATTGCCACCCAAACCCCCCTTTCCAGGTCGGCTGTCCCCCTTCCTAGTAGCCACCTCCTGCTGGGTCAGGGCTGGGCCCCAGGCCCACCTCTCACACACGCTGGCCTCGGCAGCCTTCCCGGTGGCCCTTCCTGTTCCTTGCCGGCTGCCCAGCCCACCCTCTGCCCACAGTTCTCCTCCAGGGAGAGAAGCCGCCTGGCACAGGCCTGGGTCCACCGCCCTCACCCCGTCCGGATGACGTCCCTGGGGTTTGTAGAGCATATCTAGGCTTCTGGTCTTCAGCCCCTTCCTCATGTTATAAATTGGGGTCAAGCCAATGGCAGAGTCGTAGCGTGGCCCCGTGAGGAAGGGGCATTGGGCGCCTGCTGTGTGCGGTCTGGCGGGGGCCCGGTGTCTGCCTCAGTTTAGTTCCTGTTGGGGAGGTAGCATTACTGATGGAGACTCAGGCTTTGAGAGGTGGATGTCCTGCCCAAGGCCACAGGGCTGGCTACCTCCAAAGGCGTGGCCCTTCTAGAAGTGGAGGAGGCGTGGGTAGTGGGCGCAGCAGTGCCCTCCCTGCTGAGTACCCAGCCCTGTGAGCGAGGCCCTCAGCTGCCCCCTGCTCCCGAGAACCATCCGTGACTGGCAGGAGCCTGCAACCGAGTGATACAGGGCAGCAGGAGGCTGGCCTCTGTTCCTCCAGGTGGGAGACGTGGAGCCCCCGTGGGCCAGGCTCAGGGCAGACACTGTCTGAGCCCAGGATGCCCTGCTTCCCCTCCCTCCGGGCTTCTCAGTAGCTCCACCTCCGTAAACCAGACCCAGACCCCAGCCCAGATCTGCTCCTAGGGAGTCCACTCTCAGCGCCACGAGTCCCCAGTTTCCAGACCATCTGCAGTGCCAGGAACCTACTCTGCCCAGAGCCGGCCCCACAGGGCAGCATTTGGGAAGCACTTCCTGCCGTCTGGGGGCCGCGTTCTCAGCCTGGGAGCTAGACAGAGATCAGTGAGGCAAGAGCAATCTTTATGAGTCTGAGAGAGAGAGAACACCAGGAGCCCCGTGGGTGCTGAGTTTCTGGCTGGGGCTCTTTGTCCCGTTACTCAATCCCTTTAACTCCTCTGGGGAGCTGTGCGGGCATCCTGGAGCTGCCATGTTGGTGCTCTCAGAGCCCTCTTCTGAACTTGGGTGTCTTCATCCATTTGTGCTGCGAAACAGAACACCTGAGACTGGGTCCTTTCTAAAGAGCAGAGATTTACTTCTCACAGCACTGGAGGCTGGGAGTCCAAGGTCCAGGTGCCACATCTTGTCCGGGCAGGGTCTCCCAGCTGCGTCCTCAGGTGGCAGAAGGCAGAGGGCGAGGTGGAGGATGCTGCGTGAAGCCTTGTAAGGGCCTTGGTCCCCGTCATGAGGGAGCAGCCGCCAGGCCTCATCACCTCTCGATACCGTCACGGTGGTAACACCTGGGTTTTGGAGGGGCCATTCACACCTTTGCATTCTGTACCTAGCCCCCAAAATTCATGTCCTTCCCACATGCAAAAGAGCATCATTCCATCCCAGTATCCCCCATGCGAGCTCGTTCCAGCACTGGCCTTTAAGTCTAAAGTCTCATCCAGACACCACAAGGGTGCTGGGCATGGCGGTGGTGCCTGTAATCCCAGCTACTTGGGAGGCTGAGGCAGGAGGATCGCTTGAGTGCAGGAAGTCTGGGCCCCTCAGGTGTCCACACTAAGTTCGGATCTATATGGTGATCTCCTGGGAGCGGGGGACCACCAGGTTGCCTAAAGCGGGATGAACCAGCCCAGGTGGGAAACAGAGCAGGTCAGAGCTCTCGTGCTGATCAGTAGTGGGATTGCACCTGCGAATAGCCACCCCACTCCAGCCTGGGCAACACAGTGAGATCCCATCTCTTAAAACATCACATGGGCGAGACTCAAGACATGTTTTGTCCTGAGGCCAATTGCCCCCACCCCCCACTATGAGCTGTGAAATCAAACAAGTTATTCACTTCCAAAATACAAGGGTGAGACAGGCATAGGACAGACATTTCTACTTTGAATGAGAGAAACAGGAAAGAAGAAAGGGGTCACTGGTCCCAAGTAAGAGTCCAAAACCCAACAGACAGACAACATTACATCTGAAGCCTTGAGAATAATCTCTTTGACTCCATGTCCCACCTTCTAGACGCACCAGGGTGGGGGCTGGACCCCGAGCCTCGGGCAGTAGCGCCCCCAGAGCTTTGCTGGGCTCAGTCCAGGCAGCCGTTCTCATGGGCTGAAGTTTCGTGCCTGCAACTCTCCAGGGCTGGTGGATCTATAGGTCTGGAGTCTCGGCGGTGGGCACCCATCTGCTGCTCCCTCCCTGCTTCCCACACCTGCCCAGGCTCAGGGCTCTGCTGACACCTTTGGCTCAGGACTGGCATCGGGGTTTCTCCAGGAGGAGAGAGCTGCATGTACAGGACATCGTCTGGCCATAGCTGGTCGCAGCACCTGGCAGGCACAGATGTGTGTTCATTGAGAAGGGGAAGGATTGGAGAGACTAAGGAATGACTGAGGGCGTGCTGTGGTCACTTTCAGATGGCAGCCTTCATGATGGTCTTTGCTCATCGCTGCCTCGCACATTCTCAGGGTGGTGCTGATGTGTAGCAGGTGCTAACACAGGTTGGTGGGGATGACTGGAAGGAGGAGTGTGTCTGGCCACTCAGAAGGCAGAGGCACAGCAGGCGTTTGGGCTCAGGCCAGCCTCTGCGGCCTTGAACGGTTCTCCCGTGTCTGCGCATCTCACTTCCCAGGTCCTCGGTCATCCCTCCGTTCTGCCAGCCTCCACGGGGAAGACGAGGGGCCCAGGGCTCAGGGAAGCCAAGAGGCTTCCCCAAAGCTACACTCGAGGGGCAGAGCCAGGTTTGCACCCCGTCTGCTTGACCCTAAGTCCAAGACCCAACCTTTTAAGCAGTCCAGGCTGCCTCCTCCTCCAGGGATGAATGAATGAATGAAGCTGGGGTTGTGTCCAGGGGAGGAGGGGGCATGCCAGGGAGGGGGTGGGCAGAGGTGTGGAGGCTGGCTCCTGACTCCTCAGATGGGGGCAGGCTGGATGGTGGGGGGCAGGGACAGCCAGCAGCAGGAGGACCTGTGGCTCTGCCCAAGAAATGGGCCCTTGTGTAACTTGGAAGAGGGGACCTGGCCCACCAGCACAGTGTGGAGCCCTCAAGAGGACCCTCAGCCCAGCCCTGCCATCTCCTGGGGGTCCCCCAGCCCTGCCTTCATGGGGGTAGGGGTGGCTACAAGGTGCTGCTCTGCCCTCCCAGGGCTGGCCACTGAGGACAGGCCCTGGGTGCCCTTGGCAAGTGGACACCCTCTTTGGGACCCTTATGGGACGGGGGCTGTGGAACCGAAGAGTGGGGAACTCTCCTGCTGGGAAGTCCTTAGCTCCAAGCTCTGCTGTGCCGTGTCTTTGGATAATTGGAATTGCGGAATTAGCATGTTTGGATCTTACAGCAGTGGAATTTTGGAATTGTGGAGAAGGTTACCTGTAAGGGTTAGAGGTAAAGTCTGTACAAACCCCTAGCTTGTCTCAGTATTGTTGTTGCATGAGCTTTTCCTGATCTGTTATTCAACAGCCACACCAGGTTGTGTGTAGCGTGTATTTAGGATATAAAGGATAGTGTCTATGAACCACCTCCTAACCCAGAACCAACAGGACCACTGCTTGCTCCTGGGAGCAGCCCTGCCTCATCGCACCCTCTGCCCTCACCCCAACCTAATCTTGTCCCCAAATTGCGTGTCTGTTATTCCATTGCTCTTATGTAGTTTTAAATGGTTTTGTCTTATTTTATGCAGGAAATGTTGGTAAGATGTATTCACTACTAAACAATGTATTGTTTGGTTTTGCTTATTTTTTAGCTCCTAAAAATTGAGCCATACTATTAGTATTCTTCTGAGACTGGCCTTTTGTCATCCAGCTTTGTTTTGAAGACTCATCCATGTGCTTATGCATAGCTACAGTTCATAATTTTCGCTGATGCAGAAGATGACATTGTGTGACCCTAGCATGATTTATATCCATTCTCCTCTCAATGGATGCGTAGAGTGTTTGCAGTTTTTGGTGAAAAACCAGCACTGCTCTGAGCACACTTGTGTCGGCTGCTGCTCTGACGAGCATGTCTCCAGCTCTCTACTAAAGTGTGATCCCTGGGTCTCAGGGACGCAGTTGCTTCCCCTCTGTCAGCTGAGACTGAATTGCTTTCCAGCCATGTGGTTATTGCATTTTCACCAGCAGTAGACGAGCTCCTCTCAATCCGCTCACTGGCTATCTTGTATTCGATATTGTCAGACTCCTCGATTTTTGCCAGTCTGCTGGGTGTAAAATAGTAACTAAGTGTGGTCTCCATTTGCATTTCCCTGATTACTAACGAGGCTGGAATTTTTCATGTGTTTGTATTTGTGTTTTGTTCACTGCGAAAAGTCTGTTCATGCCTCTTGCCCATTTTCAAAATTGGATTGTTGGTTTTTTTCCGTCGTAATGATGGTGCAGCGTCTGCACACAGGTGCGTGGGCTCCGACCTCAAAGCCAACACTCTCTGAGTCTACACGTGTTGCAAATGTCCTCTCTGGCCGATGCCTTCCGCTGCAGGTGCAGGAAGGCCCCTTGCCGGTCTGCCCTGCTCCCTCTGCTCCCCTGCGAGTGGCAGGTTCTGTGCCAGCCTCCCTTTCCGCTCTGTGGGCTGCGGTAAGCGTCTCTCTCCCTGCGTCCCCGCTCACTGTCTTAGTTGCTACTCTTCCGTATGGAACGATGAGACCTGGTTGGGCTGGCCTCCACCTCCCGGATTCGTTCTAGGAGTGTCTTGGGGACGTTGGCCCTCGCTCTTCCATACGTATTTTAGAATCACCTTGTCAAGTTCCATAGATAACCCTGTTAGCATTCTTATTGGCATTGCATGGAATCTGTGGATCAATGTGGTCAGTCTTATCCTCACGATGGTGAGTCTTCTTGTCTGTGAACATAGTATATCACTCTGTTTACTGACGCCCTCTTTAATGTTTTAAAATACATGTAAGTGATGATTTTCTTTATATATCTTTCTTTTTTGACTTATTCCTAAACATATATTTTGTTTGTTTCTATAAATGATGTCTCATTTTAAAACCACATTTTCTAATTGGATGTGGCTGATATATAGAAATGTGTGTGATCTTTGTAAATTGAGTGTATAGTCAGCCAAGTGTTCATTTCTCATTATCTCTAATAATTTGCCTAAGAATTTTTTAGGTTTCCTGTGATGATAATTCTGTTATTACCAATCATGACAGTTTAATGTCGGAGTCTCGCTCTGTCGCCCAGGCTAGAGTGCAGTGGCGCGATCTCGGCTCACTGCAAGCTCCGCCTCCCGGGTTCACACCATTCTCCTGCCTCAGCTTCCTGAGTAGCTGGGACCACAGGCGCCTGCCACCACGCCCGGCTAATTTTTTGTACTTTTAGTAGAGATGGGGTTTCACCGTGTTAGCCAGATGGTCTCGATCTCCTGACCTCGTGATCCGCCTGCCTCGGCCTCCCAAATTGCTGGGATTACAGGCATGAGCCACCATGCCCGGCTTCTTTTTTGTATATTTTTAAATTGACAAATGCCAAATTGCATATATTTATGGTATACAATATAATGTTTTGACATATGTATTATTGTGGAAAAATTAAATCAAGCGAATTCACATACCCATCCCTCCACATACTTATTTTGTGATGAGAACATTTTAAATACATTCTCTTAGCAATGTTTAAGTCTACTATACATTATTATTCACTAGAGTTACCATGCTGTACGTTAGAGCACCAGAACGTATTGCTCTTGTCTGATTGAAACCTTGTACCGTTTAACCCAGATCTCCCCACCTCCTCCCCTGCTCCCCCGGCCCCTGCTAACCACCATCCCCCTCTCTGCTTCTGTGAGTTCAGGTTTTTTTTAGATTTTACGTATAAGTGAGATAACGCAGCATTTGTCTCTGTGTGCCTGGCTTACTTCACTTAAGCATGATGTCTTCCAGGTGCCTCCACGTTGTCACGAATGAGAGGATTTCCTTCTTTAAGAAGCTGAATCGTATTTCCTGGTGTATATGTACCACACTTTCTTTATCCGACTTTGGGGGGACACTTAGGCCGATTCCACGTCCTGGCTATTGTGAATAGGGCAGCGATAAACATGGGCGTGCCAGTGTCCCCTTTGACATACCGGTTTCATTTCCTTCGGATGTATACCGAGTAGTGGGATTGCTGGAACATATGATAGTTCTAGTTTTAATATTTTGAGGAACCTCTGTACTGTTTTCCATGATGGCTGCGCTAATTTACATTCCCACCAACAGTGCGCAAGGGTTCCCTTTTCCCCACGCCCTCACCAACATTGATCTTATATGTATATGTGCATGTGTACAGAAAAGCCATTCTAACAGGTGTGAGGCGATACTTCATTTTGGTTTTAATTTGCACTTTCCTGATGAATAGTGCTGTTGAGCACCTTGTCATATATCTGTTAGCTTTTTTTTTTTTTTTTTTTTTTTGAGACAGAGTTTCACTCTTGTTGCCCAGGCTGATCTCAGCTCACTGCAACCTCCACCTCCCGGGTTCAAGCAATTCTCCTGCTTCAGCCTCCTGAGTAGCTGGGATTACAGGTGCCCACCACCACGCCCAGTTAATTTTAGTATTTTTAGTAGAGACAGGGTTTCACCATGTTGGCCAGGCTGGTCTTGAACTCCTGACCTCAGGTGATCCACCCGCCTTGGCCTCCCGAAGTGCTGGGATTACAGGCATGAACCACCGTGCCCGGCCCTGTTAGCTTTTTGTATGTCTCTTTCAAGAAATGTCTATTCAGGTCCTCTGCCCATTTTAAAAATCATCAGGTCCTCTGCCTATTTTAAAAATCAGGTTATTTGTCTTCTTGCTATTGAGTTGTTTGGGTTCCTGATAGATTTTAAATTTTAACCACTTATCAGGTGTATGGTTTGGACATATTTCCTCCCATTCTGCAGGTCATCTCTTCACTCTGCTGACTGCTCCCCTTGCTGGACAGAAGCTTTTTAGTTTGATGCAATCTGTTTTGTTTATTTTTGCTTTTGTAGCTCATGCTGTTGGGGTCATATCTAACAAATCTTTACCAAGACCAGTGTTAAGAAAAGTTCTCCCTATGTTTTCTTCTAGTAGTTTTACAGTTTTAGGTCTCACATGTAAGTCTTCCATCCATTTTGAGTTGATTGTTGTATACGGCATGAGATGGAGATTGTAGTTTTAGAGTTTTAGGTCTCACATGTCGGTCTTCCATCCATTTTGAGTTGATTGTTGTATATGGCATGAGATGGAGATCGTAGGTTTAGAGTTTTAGGTCTCACATGTCGGTCTTCCATCCATTTTGAGTTGATTGTTGTATACGGCATGAGATGGAGATTGTAGTTTTAGAGTTTTAGGTCTCACATGTCGGTCTTCCATCCATTTTGAGTTGATTGTTGTATACGGCATGAGATGGAGACTGTAGTTTTAGAGTTTTAGATCTCACATGTTGGTCTTCCAGCCATTTTGAGTTGATTGTTGTATATGGCGTGAGATGGAGATCGTAGGTTTAGAGTTTTAGGTCTCACATGTCGGTCTTCCATCCATTTTGAGTTGATTGTTGTATACGGCGTGAGATGGAGATCCGTTTTTACTCTTCTGTGTGTAGATACCCGGTTTTCCCAGCACCATTTGTTGCAGAGACTGTCATATCCCCATGACGTATTGGTGACAACTTTGCCAAAGATTAGTTAACTGCAAATGCATGGATTTGTTTCTGGGCCTTCTCTTCTGTTTCATTGGTCTGTACGTCTGTTTTTGTGCCAGTACCCTGCTGTTTTGGTTACCATAGCTTTGTGGATTTTGAGATTATTTAATGTGACCTCTCCAGCTTTCATCTGTTTGCTTAGGATTGCTTTGGTTATTTGAGGTCTTTTGTGGTTCCATACAAATTTTAGATTTTTTTTCTATTTCTGTGAAAAAATGTTGGAATTTTGATAGGATTCTGTTCGATCTGTATATTGCCTTGCATAGTATAGGCATTATAACAGTATAAATTCTTCCAATCCATGAACACAGTATATCTTTCCATTTATTTGTGTCTTCTTCAATTTCTTCATTAAGGTTTTGTAATTTTCATTGTATATATCTTTCACCCCTTCCTTAAATGTACTCCTAAGTAATTTTTTATACTATTGTAAATGGGGTTGTTTTCTTGACTTCTTTTGTGGATAGTTCATTGTTAGTGTATAGAAACGTGACTGATTTTTGAATGTGGATTTTGTATCCTGCAACTTTCCTGAATTCGTTTGTTACTTCTGACAGGTTTTGTGTGGAGTCCTTGGGGTTTTCTATCAGTAAGACCATGTCGTCTGCAAACAGAGAGACAATTTAACTTCTTCCTTTCCAATTTGGATGCCTTTTACTTCTTCGTCTTGCCTAATTACACTGGCGAGGACTTTCAGTGCTGTGTTGAGTAGAAGTGATGATAGCCGGCACCCTTGTCTTGTTCCTGATCTTGGAAGAAAAGTTCTTTCCTCTAAAGTTGGACGCTTGGCCCACGAGTTTTCAGCCTTTCTTATTTTCTAACATAAGCATCTAGAGCCTATAAATCTTCCTGTAAAGGTCTGTTTATACTGCATCCTGTGTTTTGATACATAATATTTCCATTATTGTTCAGTTTAGAAACTGTATATGTCTATTATCATTTTTCTTTGACCCATTACTTAAGGAGATTATAAAATTTCTAAATGCATGGGGATTTTTAATTTACTGTTTTTTTAATTACCTTCTAACAATTGCATTTTGCTCAGAGAATTTCTTTTATGTCCAACACTGCTTCTTTGAAATTTGCCAAGACTTGCTTTATAGCCTAGAACTTTCCATCTCTGTAAATGTTCCATTTGTGCCTGAGAAGAATGTGCATTCTTTAATTAGTGCATGGAAAGTTATATTAGTGTCCCTCAAATCAAGCTTGTTAACTTTGTAGTTCAGATCTCGGTATTTTTACCTCTTTTTGGTCTGTGTGACCTATCATAAATTGAGAGGAATATGTTGAAATCTCCTACCCCACTGGTGGATTTGGAAATTTCTCCCAGTAGCTTTATAACTGTTTGCTTTATGTATTCCGTGGCTATTTCGTTAAGATTGTATACAAGTTTGGAATGTATCATCTTGGTGAAGTGAACCTTTCAGCATTATAAAGTGACCTTTCTGATGCCACATAATGCTTTTTATCTTAAATCCATGTTGTCTGCTCTTAACAGGACTATCCCAGCTTTCTTTTGATTAATGTTTTCATCATATATTTTCCTGTTATTTTTCATTTTCAGTACTTCTATGCCTCTGTGCTTTTGATATGCCTCTTGTAAATAGCAGATAGCTGGATTTAAAAAAATCCCATGTGTCAATCCCTGTCTTTTCATTGGCGAGTTTAATCCATTATTGATATATGGGGACTTGTTTCTCCCTTCTTACTTTTTGATCTGTATTTATCTTGATGTCTGAAAGCTTCTTTATTTTTTATTGCTAGAGTTTTAAACTTTTTACTTTGAAAATATTTCAAATGTACATAACAGTCGCAGAAATAGGACACCAAGCCCAGCCTCTTTGGGTCCCATCCACCATTGTTAATGCTTCCTTATCAGGATGCTCCAATCCCCAGCCCTTGAGTAGCATCAGGAGGAGCCGACATTCTCTCCCACACACCCTCAGAAGTGGTGAGTTGGCGCTAACCACGTATTTAACGTGACTCGCTAATCACAGGCCCCACTCGGGTTTTCCTGATTACTCCATTAACGCTTCCTGTTAAGTCCAGGATGGAATTCAGATGCACCTGGTGCATTCACTTTCCACGCCTCCTGAATCAATGGAGTTTTAAAAAGTTAGTTCACTTTTTCCTTACTCTATTTTTAAAACTTCTTCTACACTTTATTTCAATCTTGTATTTGTTTCCCTTGAAATGTTGCCAGGTCATTCTACTGAAATGAAGTCTCAGGTTAGACATCGTCCTAGCCCCTTCCTGAATAATGCATGGACCTTTAAACGCTTGAGCTCTGATTACTCCCTTCCAACTTCCATGCTATTGTTACCGGTTATTTTTAGTTCACACTCTCCAGGCCTGTCTTGGCTCTTACCCAAGGGGCTTTAAGGCTCCTTGTGGAAAGGGCGTGGCTGCCCCCGGCCACCTTCTTCTGCAGAAAGGAGGGGTGTCTGCTCTGGGAAGCCCACCTGGCTAAGGTTTGGCTGCTGATGGCAGCGGAGGCTCAGTGGGACCTTGAACTCAGTTTTCTGGCTGTGCCAAGCTTCCCCTGAGCCCTAGAACTTTCTCTCCTGTAGGCCTTCACCCAAACCAGTCCCCCTTCCTGGGGGCCTTTCCTGCCTGCCCTCTGGCTCCCACATCCCACCCCTAGGCCCAGCTGGTGCATCTGCACATTTGTTTACCAAGTGTCATGGAGTCTGCAGTGCCAGGGACGAGCCAGACACCACCCCTGCCCCGGTGGGATTCTGTGGAAGCCGTGCTAGCAACACCTCCCCTGGCTGGTGAGCAGAAGTCTGAGAGGCTTCCTGGAGGAGATGCCACCTGAGCTGAGGTTGGGAGACTGAGTAGGCAGGAGCCAGGTGAGGAAGGGGAGACAGGTGTTTGGCAGAGGCAGGTGTGCAGGGGTGGGTGTACAGGGGCAGGTGTGCAGGGGCGGGCGTGCAGGGGTGGGCGTGCAGGGGCGGGCGTGCAGGGGCGGGTGTGCAGGGGCAGGTGTGCATGTGCAAGTGAGCAGCAGGAGTGTGCAGGGGAGGGGCTGGGGAGGTGAGGCAGGAGGAGTGTGGCTTGGAGCCTTGAGCATGGTTCTGGCTGGAGAATGGCGTGGAGGGGAGAAATGGGGCTCTGGGGAGCAGCTGGCAGATGGTGGCAGGAGAGGTACCACGGTGTGGGGTGGAGCAGGTGTGGGGCTCCATCTCCTCAGATTCCGGCATTTGCTTCTGGCTACCAGCATCTGTCTGTCGAATGTGTCTCCCTGCTGACTGGGCTCAGCGGCAGGGTTTTATTCCTTCCGTGTCCCTAGCTCCTGACTTGTGGCAAGAGTTCAGTTAATGGTGTGGAAAGGAGGCAGGAAAGGAGGGGGAACAGGATTGCCAGATATGGAGGTGACAGGTGGTGGCCCAGGAGCCAGGAGGATGTGAGCCGCTAGGAGCCCTGGGTTGCTGCCTGCAGAGGGGCCAGGCCCAGTCGAGGCCCTGCACATTCTGAGCAACCTGGGAGGGTGGGGAATGTAGGCCGGGGTCCTGGAGACCCAGGGAGACAGACGGCACTCCTTCTCCCCAGAAAGAGGCCAACAGGGGTGCAGGGTGGAGGGGGGGCGGGTAACGCAGTCACCAGGATGCCTGACAGTCACAGCATTAGGTGAAGCGGATGTGCTTCCTGGGTCGGGTGAGGGAGCCGCTGCCTCCCTAAGTCAGATGCATGGAGACCTGGGCGGGTGGCGTGGGCAGGCGGGTGGCGTGGGCCAGCAGGGAAACGGGAGGTACAGGAGATCCTTGTCTCTGGTAGACTTGCCTTCCCCCAACCCGACGCTTCTCTAAGTCAGACGCATTAAAAAGCTGTAAGCCACCCTGCGGGGCTGGTGGACAGGACTCACGAGCAGCCACTGCAAGCATGGTTCGGGAGAGAGAGGTCCAGGAGAGATCCAGCTCATGGGCCCTCCCTCCGCATCCACCCGGGGCCTGCTGGTGGGACCGCATGACTCCATCCTTGGAGTGACAGTGTCCAAGCATGGCCCGTCCGAGCTCTGGGAAGGGGCTGTCTGCAGGAAGGAGAGTATGCCTGTGCACTCACAGCATGCGGCCACGGACCAAACGTGCAGTCATCTCTGCCATCCTCAGGAGGACTTCCTTGTCAAAATGTTCGATTGATAAGGAAACGGAGGCTCAGGGGAGGGCCCGGGTGGTTCCGCTGGCACACGGTGGAGAGAGCCAGGGCCTGTGCACTCACGGGGGCCCCTTTGTGCCAGGCCCTTTGGGTGGAGAGGCCATGAAAGGCCCTGTGGCTTCACTTGGTGGGGATATTCAGCAGGGAGGTCCACAAAACCACGAGCCGCCCGTGTGCCAGTCATTGACCCCAGCTTAGGGCTGGGGACACAGGCCTGAACAGGCCAAGACTCCTGCCCTCATGGAGCCACACACTGGTGGGCGGAGCAGTCAAGGAACAGCAGGCAGAGGAAGCCTCAGCCCCTCCAGGGAGAGAGTGGTCCACGCAGGGAGAAGCAGGAGGGGTGGCAGGCGTGTGACTGCAGGCGGCAGGTGAGTCGGGCCGCAGGAGGGGAGGCTGAGCAGGAGGTGGGCTCTGGGGAAGAACTGGGCAGAGGGAACAGCGAGCCCAGGCTACCCGCCCACCCCGCCGTTCTGGAACCTCAGGCCCCTGGCTCCGGGCTTTTGATTGCCTAAAAAGCTCCCCCCTCATAACCATGGGCTCTTCCCTTCCTGCCTTCAGGTCTGGACTCAGAAGTCACCTTGGCAGTGACGCCTTTGCTGACCAGCCCCTGCCCATTTTCCTCATCATGACCGCCGCAGGGTGCATTTCCTCTGCGCCTGCTTCCTGTGTCTGCGCCAGGGCGGGGTCTTTGTTTCCTTCCCTGACATCCCCAGCACCTAGGACAGCCCCTGCACATAGGCAATGAATATGCACCGATTAACTAATTGATACGCAACATGAGGAGAGGGACTGGGGCAGACAGGTGTGGTTGTCAGCTCTGCTCAGGGAGGGTGGGAAGAGGTGGTGGTCTGGAGGGTCAGGGATGAGCTCATCTGTGTGGAGGTGGGGTCTAGGGGAGCCTGGTGTCTTTGGGGATTTCTGAATTTTTTTAATTAATTAATTCATTCATTTATTCAGCCTCCAGTGTAAGGAGGCCTGGGGACATGGGGATCAGCCTGGGACTTCAGTCACAGAAACAGGGGAGGGGGGCCAACTTGGGGGATTTCTCATGCCTGAGGAGCCCGGGAGGTTGCTTAGCATAGGGAGGGTGCCCAGCGGATACTTGGTGCAGGAAGGAGGGTGGGGACGGTCACGCCACCTCGGGTGAGAGTCCCAGTCCTGGGCTCAGCCCTGGCCAGGCTCTTCCTGCCCCACCTGCCCCTGCCAGGCTCCCCACCTCCTGCCTCTGTCTGCCCGCCTCTGAACCTGCCCTGCCCTGAACCCGTGGCATGTATCTCGGGGGTGGGTCTGAGGAGCAGAAGCCTCTTTAAAAGGCTTCCCTCTTTGCATTTTTGTCTTCATGAGGGAGGCTCGTTGTAACAGAAGTCAAAGCAAAAGAAAGCACCCCAGGATCCCACCTCCAGAGGAAACTGACCGGGGAAACTGAAGCCTCGAATGGGCAGAGCCTCATGGCCACGCGGTGAGGCTGTGGCTGGAGCCTGGCTGCGGAGTCCTTGCCCTGAAGCTCCAGCATCCTGCACAGCCTGGGGCTAATTGGGAGAGGTGAGCCCGTCTCCCCTGGGGGACTTGCAGCCTTCTGTGCCCCCACCTCGCCAGGTGAAGCCCCTCCTGCGTGCCCACCTCCTCCTGCCCCGCCATGCTCCTCAACTTGTCCATCCCCCACCCTGCATGAAGCCCTCCCTAAAAGACAGGACTCCCGTGCCCCTGGCAGGCCCTGGCACAGAGGAAACGCTCAGGGCCGCTTCCCTTTCAGGACAGTGGACCCAACGCCATGTGCTCTCACCCGCTGCCGCCTTTGGCCTAAAGTGAGTGCCCAAGGACACAGCATTCCTGAGATCCAAGTCATAATTCTGTAATTTTCCCCAGCAGAATGCGCCCATTTCAATAATTACAGCATTTGTAATCCACTTAGAAAACATGGTATTTTTGATGTGAACATTTAAGAAACAATCCGTTCCACACCCATCTATCCAAATGGCTCCGATTTTGAATAATTCTTTTGAAATGGAGTCTAAATATATACAAATAGATGTTTCTGAAACGTCATGTGTTCTGAATGCATTTGCATGGGAAGCGGTTCCTGAGGAATGGGGGGCCAGGGTGCAGGGGGGTCAGGAGGAAGGGGCCGGGGGTAGGGGTGGGGGTGGAGGGGCAGAGGGAGGAGCAAACCAGGTGGGGACGAGGAGGCCTCATGGCCCGACGAGGGCGCTGGGGCCCGCGTTAGACATCCAGCATCCAGCCACCTGCCGGACCCTGCCTGTGGGTATCCTGGGTGAGTCACGTCCTTCTCTGGGGCCTGCGGGTATCCTGGGTGAGTCACGTCCTTCTCTGGGGCCTGCGGGTATCCTGGGTGAGTCACGTCCTTCTCTGGACCACGGGCACCAGCACCCAGGGCGCTCAGTGCAGGCAGGTTCCCCTTGGTCCCTCCAGCCCCAAGTCTGTGCCCGAATGCCTGCCCTCCCTGTGGGCTGTGCTGGCGGCTGTTTTCTCCTGCTCCGTTTCTGTGAATTTCTTTCCGTTTGTTCTGCTTCCATTCTTTTGCTGGGGGCACTCCTCAGCCATCTGGGGTCCCTAGTTTTCTGCTTGTATTTAGACTGGGGCACTCACACACTGGTGGGAAGGTGTTGCGGGGGACAAGGGGACTTTAGGAGGTGGAGTTGGGGTGAGGATGTTGTGGGGGGACGAGGGGACTTCAGGAGGTGGAGCCAGGGTGAGCCTCCCCAGATGTGTAGCCCTCTCTAGGCTTGGGCGTCTCCCCCTCTCCATGTCTGGGGTGCACTGTGGACCCTCATGTTAATGGGATGAGGGAGCAGGTGGATGGGGTGCCTATCTGTGTGCCCCACCTGACTGACAGCCCAGCATTCCTCCTTCCTCACCTGGACAGGGAGCTGCAGAGGCTGGAGGGACTGCCCTGGTCACACAGCAGGGCTGGGCTGCCCTCTGGGCAACATCTACAGAGAACTAATGGAGCCTTCCCTGAACTTGTGGTTGGGGTCATGGCGCCATCTTGAGCTTTCCCTGAACCCATGGTTGGGGTCATGGAGCTATCTTGGAGCTTTCCCTGAACCCATGGTTGGGGTCATGGCGCCATCCTGGAACCTTCCCTGAACCCGTGGTTGTGGTCATGGTGCCATCTTGGAACCTTCCCTGAACCCATGGTGGTGGTCATGGCGCCATCTTGGAACCTTCCCTGAACCCATGGTTGGGGTCATGGCGCCATCTTGGAGCTTTCCCTGAACCTGTGGTTGGGGTCATGGAGCCATCTTGGAGCTTTCCCTGAACCCGTGGTTGGGGTCATGGCGCCATCCTGGAACTTTCCCTGAACCCATGGTGGTGGTCATGGCGCCATCTTGGAACCTTCCCTGAACCCATGGTGGTGGTCATGGCACCATCTTGGAACCTTCCCTGAATGCATGGTTGGGGTCATGGAGCCATCTTGGAGCCTTCCCCGGCCTCCATGATTGGGGTCACTTGTTTTCTCCTCTCTCTTCTTGGTTACCATGTTTCCACTGAGCACCTGCCACATTCAGGATGGCTAGGGTGGCCACACCTCATCCGCCCCCCACAGCTCCACTGGGGAAGGAGGTGAGATTTGAGCTGGGAGGGTGCAGTGGTCGATTCTGTGCAGGGGGAAGCTGGGAGGGTGCAGTGGCTGGTTCTGTACAGGCGGAAGCCAAGGCTCTGGACCCTAGCGACTCAGCATGACTTGGGACATCTGGGAAGGCATCCTGGAGGTGGTGGGGCTGAAGATGGTGATGAAGAGCCAGCAGGCAGAGGGAAGAGCCCTTGCGTACGCCCTGCAGGGAGCAAGCCGCCTTCCAAAACCATAACCTAGGCACTGGTTCCCGCTGGGGGCAAGAGGCAGAGCAGACAGGGGAGGGGCTCAGCCTCCTGAGGAGGTGAGCTTGTGTCTGTGGGCCTGGTCTGGGCCTGGTCACCAGCCCTGCCCACACAATGAGTTAATTAAACACAAGCACACCGGCCCCTCCTGGCCCCGTTGCTGAGATGTTGTCAGCTGTGATCCCATGATGCAGGGAGGTCTCCCGGGTTGGCATCCTGGCATCCCCCAGCCTCCTTTCCCTCTGACACTGAGGCAGGGTAGAACCGTGCCCCAGGCAGTTCTCAAGGCTTGATGTGGATGAGGCCAGGCTTCCCCAGCACGAAGAGTGGGGGCTCTAGGTGGGCTTCTCGGCCTTGACCATCACCCGTCCAAAAACCCCGCTTGGGTCCTAGGCCCTCCCATCTGTAAAAGGGGCCTGAGCCCCAGGAAAGCTGTGCCAGCTCTTCGTGCCTCACGGGCCTGTCCTGCCCATCCTCCAGACACAGTGATATTTAACAGGAAAATTCATCTCGCCTCGTTAAGGAAGGTCCCTCTGCAGTCTACTCAGGTCATGGATGTGGTCAAAACATTTTCACTGGGGAGCCAGAAAGGTCAGCCCTATGAGTGGGGGCTGTGTGCCTGGCCGGCTGTCCCCTCCCTCAGCTTGGGGAGGGTGGCTTCTCATCTGCAGGGTGGCTGTCTGGGTGCCTGCTGGAGTGAGGAAAGGCCCAGGGGGCTGCAGTGAGCCCCAGGTCAAGGTTGGCCACAGCAGGAGCTCAGCCCCTCCGGCCAGGCAGCTCCTCCCTTCCAGGGATGTTGCTGGGCCGCAGCAGCTGATGCGGAAGTTGGGGTCGGGGAGGGGAGCTGGACAAGTCTGGGGCTGCAGAGCCCTCTTCAAAGGCCTGCCTCTGCCTCTGCCTCTGCCAACTGTCTCAGCCCCAGCATCTGGCATCCCTGGGCCCTGCCTGTCATCGCCTGCGCCCGCCTCTTCCCTTGAAGTCGGTGTCCAGATACGGAGCGGTGGCTTGGTGATGGGTAGAGAGGAGGCTGTGGAAGGGCCGGGCTTGGCAGCAGCTGGCTGGAGCTGCAGAGTGTCCCTGGGCGTCCTTTCCCTGCCTTTCTTCCGCAGGTGCTCCCTCGGGCTCCTCTGGGGCACATCCTTTGCTACATCCGGGTCCGCCCCTTTGGCCTGTCCGTTTCTGTGGTTCCAGCTTCCTTGCCTCCCTGCGGCCGCCCTCCCCTCATTTGTTGAACCCAGCGGGTTGGGGGATGGAGGGTAGAGACGTAGCGCAGGGAGACAGGCCTGACCTGGGACCACGTAAGGAGGCCCTCGGTTGGCCAACTTCAGGGCCACAGGAAGTGGCCGAGGGCCCAGTCTGGGCAGGGCATGGGCACAACACCCAACTGAAGAGGAGTATGAGGCCAGGCCGGGCCTGTCAGCTGCCTGGGGTCTGGAGCTGGGTGTGTGGATAGAGGCCCAGGGGAGTGCTTCCAGCAATGGCTACCAAGTTCTTCCCATGCACCAGCTCCTCCAGCATGCACCTCGGCCTGCAGACCAGGGCATGGCACCCCAAGTCAAAGGCCGGGAACTGCTGCTGCCGAGAGGCCCAGCACTGTGCTCAAGGCCACGGTCTGGCAGTGATGTGGAGCACAGGCCTGGAAGTGGAACTGCCTGACCTCAGCTCCTGTTTCTTTTCCATGCCCTTTGCTCCCCTCAGGTACCTGGGAGACCCCCACGCATGGTTCCTCAGGCTCCGTCTCAGGAGTGTGGGAGTAGGGCTGGCACAGGAAAATCCACCTTGCACTCTTATGGCACATACAGGGCACAGGTAACTCCAAGTGCACGGGGCTTATGGGGCAGGGTGTGGAGTCAGCAGCAGGCTCTGTGGCTGGGTGCCCAGCTCCAATCCTGGCTTTGCAGATCTCAGGCTGGTGGCTTTGGGCAGGCCACATCACCTTTCTGAGCCATCTCCTCTTCTGTAGACTGGGGGTGTTGGTGGGACCCACCTCTGTGCCGTGGTGGGGGATGATGCTTGGGAAAGGGCAGCTGTACTACTGACTGGGACGATGCTGGTGAGGGGACCATGGACCTGAGAGACACTGGCCACCCACAAACCCCAGTATCCTAAGCCATGGGCGCTGTCATGTGTCCTGAAGTTGTCCTTAATTCAGTGCGCCTTGTCCTGTGCACTGATGCAGAGCCCTGTCCCTGCCAGGAGGGTTGACTGCCCCCCCGCCAACCAGTAAGCTGAGGGCTTTGTCTGATTCACTCTTGGCCTTCTGTCCCCTTCTGGCCACCCCCCAACCCCTTATTACCCTGCCCACATCCTAGGATGTCCAGGCAGCAACATGACTTTGTGACAACACCTAGAGGGAGAGAGACCTGGACCTCAGATCTGCCACACACTGTGAAGCCTGGGAAGGTCTCTTTACCTTTTTGAGCTTCAGTGTCCTGGCCAAGAACACAGGTAGCAATGTGTTTCCCAAGGCTGGGAAGTGGTGCTGTTTCAGCAATTGGTCATTTTCAGGCCAGTATGTGGGTCCCTCTTAAGGTGCAATGACATTGAGACAGTTGAGGGAGCTGAGCTGGGGGCTGGTCATCTTGATGGACAGCTGGGTAGAAGGATGGGTGGATAGATGGGTGGGTAGATGAATGGGTGTATGTTTGGATGGATGGATGGATAGGTGGGTAGATGGATGGATGGAGAGGTGGGTAGATGGATGGATGGTTGAATGGATGGATGGATGGATGGATGGTTGGATGATGGGTGGATAGGTGGACGGATGGATGGATGGACAGATGGATAGGTGGATGGATGGATGGATGAGTGGGCTCATGGATGGATGGATGGATAGATGAATTGATGGGTAGATGGGTGGATGGATAGGTGGGTGGATGGATGGATGAGTGGGTGGATGGATGGATGGATGGATGGATGGATGGATGGATGGTTGCATTAATGGATTTTCATCCCAACATTTAACTGATGACCCAGAGGGGTAACCGAGGGGACTCATCCTTGGCTTGTCCTTTATACTTCCCTCCTCTCCCCTATCCAGTTACTCCTAGGTTCTGAGGATTCCACCTTCTGGTTTTGACTCTGTTCCATCTTACCCTCCCTTCTCTACCCTCCCCTAGGCCCCTGCCCATCTTTCATGGACACGTTAGTCTTCCGCCTGTCTGGCATCCTTGTCTCAGATCTCTTTTCTACCCATCCTCTTGTCTGGCTTCCTGAGTGCTCTCTCCAACAACACACTGCTAAACATGTCACTCTCCTGCTCTAAACTCCTGTCTTCCCTGCTGTCTAGGGGTGGTGTCTAAACTCCTTCATAATTTGCAGGACTGTCTCATCCCAATCTGTCTCCCTTCCCATTCCCTGTCCCTTGCTCCCTGCTCCCTCCTTTGGATACTTGGTACTTACCATTTCATTTAAGCTCCCGTTTTTCTCTGGGTTCTCCCTTAATCCCTTGCCTCTCACCCCCTGGTCTGCCGAGGGGTTTCCCACCCCACATTCAGGACCTGAATGAGGTATAGCCTTCTACATGAAGCCTTCAAATCCCTATCTAATCAGTCCCTTAGCACAGATCAATGTCTTTCTCTTCCATGAGACCTTTGATGGTGGGTCCAGAATTTTTTAAATTAGTAATAGCCACAAGAATATACAAGTAAGACTATCTGGTGAAGACTATATGTCTGGCATTCGCCAGGCCCCAGGCTATGTAGTTTCCAGGCATCACCTTAATTTTAAGGCTTTCAAATATCTCCATGGAGTCCATGGCATCATCTTATCCTTACAAAATAATTTAAGGTACCAAGAAGAGAAACAGCCGAGATCCCTCAGCTCAAGATGGACAAAGCATGAATCACACCCATGCCTGGCTGACTCTGGAGCTTAAGTTGAGTCTCCTGCCTCTCTCCCTTTGAACCTGGCTCCAGAGCCAGCCCAGAGCAGTTATTCAATAAACAGTCATGCTAGCTCAGGACAGAGCCCCTTGAAAGACACAGGTTCTCTCTGGACCCTGCCCCAGGGTGGACTCAGCCCCTGCATGCCACAGCCCAAAGTATGCACAAGCCAAATGCCCCTGAGGATGGGAGGTTGGAGGACCAGGATATGGAAACAACCTCTCTCTCTCTCCCAGCTCCAGAGACACAAGATCAAGTGCTGCTTCCTATCAGCTGGAGTCACTGCCCTGCTTGTCATCATCATCATCATCGCCACCTCTGTCCGAAAGTGATGCTACCCGTGGTGAGTACCCCACCTACCCGTACACCATCCATTCATCTGCACATCCACCATCCATTCATTCACCTATCCACCATCCATCTAACCATCCACCATCCATCCATCTATCCATCCACCCATTTATCCACCTGTCTACCGTCCATCTGTCCATCCATCTACCCATCCACCATCCATCCATCCATCTATCCATCTGCCATCCATCCATCCACCCATCCACCATCCATCCATTCATCCATCCATCATCCATCCATCCACCCACCATCCACCCTTCTATCCACCCATTCACCATCTGTCCATCCATCCACCCTCCATTCATCCATCCACCTTCCACCCATCTATCCACCCACCATCCATTTATCCATCCATCCTTCCATCCATCCATCCATTCATCCATCCATCCACCCACCCACCATTTATCCATCTATCCACTCATCCACCCATCCATCCATCCATCCATCAACTCATCCACCCATCTATCCACCATCTGTCCATCCATCTACCTTCCATTCATCACCCATCTATCCATCCATCCACAATCTGTTCACACATCCACCTAGCTACCATCCACCCATGCACCTGTACACCATCTGTTCGTCCATTATCCACCCATCCACCATTCATCCTTCCACCCATCCATTCATCTATCACCTATCCACCCATCATCCATCTTTCCATCCTTCCTTCCTTGCATCCATTCATTCTTCCTTCCTTCATCATCCTCTATGTGTTTGTTGAGCATCTCCTTTGTGTTAGGCATGGGATGGGCTCTAGGGACCCAGTGGTGCACATGGCAGAGGGGTGCCCTGTGTTCTTGCAACTCAGAGCCACTGGGGCAAGGCCACCCTGAAGCCTCTCTTTTCCTAGGCACTGACCTCCAGAAGTTTATGACTGGCAATTTCTCTGGGGCTAGCAGTCAGTGCACAGAACATGTTGGGCCATGTGGTGAGTGTGCATTCGGACCGGAGAGGAGAGGAATGAGGCGTCAGTGAGGAGAGCTCATCAGGAAGCTTCACCAGCTCCTGTAGGCAGGGAGGAATGGGTACTGAGACACATGGCTGGCACTGGAGCATGGCTGTCCCCAGGGCACAGGGCCCTGGGCTGCAGCCGGGCAGGGCTGGGACAGAACATGGGAAGGCCCTTAGTGTCCGTGGAGCCTCTGAAACATGTTAAGCAGGTATATCCATTACTGGTACTGCATGCCAAGTTAGCTTAAAGCTTAGTGGCTGAAACCAAATCAATGTTTGTTATCTCACAGTTTCTGTGAGTCAAGATTTGGAAGCGGCTTAGCTGGGTGGCTCTGGCTCTGGGTCTCTTGTGAGACTGTAGGTAGATGTTGGCCATTGCTGCATCATCTGAAGACTCAACTGCGGCTGAAGGATCCATTCAAAGCTGGATCTGCGTGTGGCTGACACTGGTGCTGGTTGCTGGTGGAATGGAGGCTCAGTGCCTCTCCATGTAAACTCCGGGAAGGCTGGCAAGGGAACAGGGTGGATGCCACCCTTGCTCAGTTCTGCAGTACTCGGCTGCTCACTCAAGGCTGCCCTACTTGAGTCTTACTGAGCACTGGAGACTCCCATGGTTGGTCTACTGTGTGCCAGGCCATGTGTTGTACATCCATTATCTAAATTTATCCTGTAGCCTCCTGAGGAATGCGGAGGCAGAGCCCAGCCTTCAGGGCCAGCATGGCCAGGACAGCATGGACTGAACAGGTCTTGGATTTGTGTGAAGACACACTGTGAACCTTCCAGATGTTGTTTCGCATCCCTGGGGTCTCCCCAGTCAGCTCGTCCCGCAACAGCAGGGCTTCTGTGTGTTCACATTAGGCAGGGCATGTGAAGACCCCAGGTGGCCTTACCTCATTTGGGTCAGCCGAGGTCTTGCTACTAAAATCCTGGATGGCAAAGAGAACTCCTGGTATCCAGAGCTGCTGGTGTTGGGGTTGTGGGCAGAATGGGGGGCCTGGCTGTCACTGGGGTTATGGGCAGGAATGGGGGCCTGGCTGCCATTGTGGTTGTGGGTGCAGTGGAGGTCCTGGCTGCCACTGGGGTTGTGGGCAGGTTGGGGCTCCTGGCTGTCACTGGGGCTATTGGCAGGATGGGGGTCCTGGCTGTCACTGGGGCTATGGGCAGGATGGGGGTCCTGGCTATCACTGGAGTTGTGGGCAGGAAGGGGGTCCTGGCTGTCACTGTTGTGTGGGTGCAGTGGAGGTCCTGGCTGTCACTGTGATTGTGGGCAGGATGTAGGGCCTGGCTGTCACTAGGGTTGTGGATGCAGTGGAGGTCCTCACTGTCACTGGGGTGTGGGCACAGTGGAGGTCCTGGCTGTCACTGGGGTGTGGGTGCAGTGGGGGTTCTGGCTGTCACTATTGTGTGGGTGCAGTGGGGTTCCTGGCTGTCACTGCTGTGTGGGTGCAGTGGGGGGCCTGGCTGTCACTGCTGTGTGGGTGCAGTGGGGGGCTTGGCTGTCACTGCTGTGTGGGTGCAGTGGGGGGCCTTGCTGTCACTGCCGTGTGGGTGCAGTGGTGGTCCTGGCTGTCACTGGGGTTGTGGGTGCAGTGGGGGACTTGTTATTGTGTCCATTTTCCAGATGAGGCTCAGCAGCTTGCCCAGGGAGCAGGTGAGGTGGGGCAGGGCCCACAGGAAGGGAAGGGGCCTTTGAGCCCTAGGAAGGGCCCTGCCATGGGGAGCCCTTCTTGACCCCTGCTGCTTCCTTATGCCGGGAACTGCTGTGGTCTTGCCAGGCTCTGTCTGGAGGTCCTGCCCTGGGGAGCCCAGTCTTCTGCCTCTATTAAGCCTGGGCTTGGGGCAGTGACCCCATTCCTCCAGCCCCCCAGGACTCCAGAGCCAGTGCTCTTTAGCCAGAGGAGTGGGGCTGAGCAGAGTGGGTTGCCTGAGGGGGCTCTGAGTGTGGAGTCTGGACAGAATCCTGTCTCTGGGGGCCACCAGGGTCCCCCTCCCAGCTCTGAGTCCTCGTAGCAAAGGTTCTCTGGGAGAGGATCCACGGAAGAACAAGCAATAGGGGCAGACGCAAGCAGGACAGCGTGGGCTGAGAGGTGGGCGGGAGGCGCCAACCGTAGCTCGATTGCAGGAGCCGGGCTGCAGAGAGGACCCCCGCCTGCTGCCAGTGTCGCCTCTGTGACGCAGGCTGCATGTATGCGCAAGCCCATGCGTGTGCCCGGCCACACTCTGAGCAGTGCCCACCCCTCTCGCCCACACTGGTGCAGCCCCAAGCCAGCCGGAAACCAGCCCTGGTAATAGTAATAGTTACTGTGGCGATGGTGATGACCCCTGTACAGAGCTGACTTAGTCCCTCTAAATCAGGGTCTCCACCCCAGCACCTGTGAACATGGCCTTATTTGGGAACAGGGTCTTTGCAGATGTAATGAGTTAAGATAAGGTCTTAACGGGTTATGGTGGGCCCTAAATCAGACAGCTGGTGTCCTGAGAGGAAGAGAGGACACAGAAGCACCCAGAGGAGAAGGCCAAGTGGAGAGGGAGCAGGAATGAGGTGATGCAGCCACCAGCCTAGAAACACCTGGCACCACCAGAAGCTGGACAGGGCAAGGAAGGACCCACCCTGGCATGCACGGCCCTGCCAACTCCTCCATCCCAGACTTCACCTCCCGGGCTATGAGAGAACACATGGCTGTTGTTTAGAGCACCGCCCGCATACGGTACTTGGTTGTAGCAGCCATAGGAAGCCAGTACATCTGAGTGACAGGTTGTGGTTTGCATACGTTACCTGTGTTGGCCTCATCACGGGCCATGGGGCAGGCATCACTGGTACCACTGTCCCAGACTGCAGAGGAGATGGGCCTAGGCAGCACATGGTTTGCCTGTAGTCACTTGCAAGGAGGTATGGAGCTGCTCTGAGGTGTGGCGGCCCAGCTGCACCCATGCCCTGTGGTCAGAAGGCAGAGGGGAGGAGCCAGCAGCGGGACTGCAGAGGGCCCAGGAGTGCCCGACCTCCCAGCAGGAGAGATAGATGGAAATGGACAGTTAAGGTACAGCCCGCATGTGAGCACCTGGCAGGGGAGGGTTAGGGGAGGGAGGGGAGGGTTAGGAGAGGCAGGGGAGGTGGCTGAGCCAGGGGCAGGGAGCACTGCAGCCCTGATGCTGTGTGAGTGGAGAGGTCCCAGCAGGGCCAGGGCCAAGGAGCAGAGAAGGTGGTTAGGCAGCAGCAGAAGCCAGACCAGGAGAGCCCTGGGGTCTCGCTGGAGATTCAGAGTGTGGAGTATTCCAAGGGCAGGCGAAGCCGTGGAGGGTGGGAGTGAGGGCAAGCCGTGTCCACATCTGCATGGGTGAGGAGGGTCTGGGGGGAGGGGGGAGGCAGGGCAACCATCGGGGGCTGACAGCAGGGAGAGGTTGGAGGGGCACAGTGGGCCTTGGGGCCAAGCAGGGGAACTCCTGGCAGTTTGGATGTAGGCTGAAGGGAGGCGAACAGGCCTGCAGCCACGCCTCCCTTGGCTCTGTTGCTGGAGTGGGAGCAGCTCCCAGCCTGCAGGCTCAGGTGGGGAAGGGATTTGCTGGCCCCGCCTTCACTCCTCTGCTAGGGATCAATCAGGGCTACCCAGCCCCGCCCTCTGCCCCACTCCCCGCGGGCTCAGCCTCATCAGCATCCTGACTGCTCTGCCCAGACCCACCAAGACTGTGGTGAATGAAACCACAGGCACCTGGTCTGGACACATCCCATTCAGAGTGGCGGGTGAGGCCATGCCAGCCTGGGAGCTCCAAGAGGCCAGCCCCCAGAGCACCCCTCCCTGGCTCTGACAGCCACAACCCAGCTTGGGCTCAGCTCTGCCAGGATCTTGGAAGTCCACCTCCTGCCTGGCCCTCACAGGAGCCTGGAAGCAATCAAGACAGGGACCTCCTTTGACAAGGGAGCAGTGGCTGCACCAAGTAGGCCCTGGCAAGTGCTGTGAGTCTCCACGGTGAGGAGGGACCGCACCCAGCCAGCCTCACTCATCTGCAGGTCCCAGGACCCAATTCACAACTAATGTGAAGGCTTGTCTGGCATCAGGGGCAGGGCCCAGCCTGTGGTGAGGGTCAGAAGTCAGCATGTGGCTAGGGTCAGAGGTCAGCATATGGTGAGGGTCAGGGCTCCATATGTGATCAGGGTCAGAGGTCAGTGTGTGGCCAGGGTCCATAGTCAGGCTTGGGGCATCCTCAGTCATGACAGGCATTAGGGCAAAGCCCGCCTGCCGCACTCGATGGAGCCATTCCGGGTCCCAGCTCTGGTCTCTGTATTGGAGCCTCCCCTTTTCCCACCAGCCACCCCGCCCAGGCCTGTGCCAGTGTTTCCAGAAGCCTCTCCAGGCCCCATTGCTTGGTGAGGAGGCCTCTTGCTGTAGATGAAGGATCTGGGCCGGGCTCAGCGTAATGGGGACAGAGACCCTGCACACCAGGATGAGGAGGATGCTTTGGTGGTGGTGCATCCCCCAGGACTGCACCGATAGCTCTCAGAGGATGAAATGGCCCCGAGCAGTCTCTTCAGAAAGCCCTGCCTGGGCTCCCTTGGCAGAAAGCCCTCCCCTGGGTGGCCAGGACGTGGCATTGTCCAGGTTTCTCAGATGTGGCTGTTGCAGAAATGAGCTGGTGGGACCTTGTAGAAGCGAGGTGAGCCCTTGGGATCTGGGTTTTGGGCACCTCCTCTCTCCTTATCCATGATCTCCCCACTCTGGATCCCAGGACCCAAGCCCCTGCACCTGCAGAAGCACCTTCCACATTGGTCTTTGGTAGCTGTTGACTTGTCTGTGAACTCCTGGGGATGTGATCTCTCTGCAGGAAAGGATGGAATGAGTGAGTGAATGAGTGAGTGAGAGTGAATGAGTGAGAGAATGAGTGAATGAGTGAGTGAGTGAGTGGATAAATGAGTGAGTGAGTGAATGAGTGAGTGGATGAGTTAGTGAATGAGTGAGTGAGTGAATGAGTGAGTGAATGAGTGAATGAGTGAGTGAGTGAGTGGATAAATGAGTGAGTGAGTGAATGAGTGAGTGGATGAGTTAGTGAATGAGTGAATGAGCGAATGAGTGAATTAGTGAGTGAGTGAATGAGTATGAGTGAGTGAGTGAACGAGTGAATGAGTGAATACTTGAGTGAGTGAATGAGTGGATGAGTGAGTGAGTGAATGAGTGAATGAGTGAACGAGTGAGTGAATGAGTGAGTGAATGAGTGAGTGGTTGAGTGAGTATGAGTGAGTGACTGAATGAGTGAGTGAGTGAATGAGTGAGTGAGTGGATGAATGAGTGAGTGGATGAATGAGTGAATGAGTATGAGTGAGTGAACGAGTGAATGAGTGAATACTTGAGTGAGTGAGTGAATGAGTGAGTGGATGAGTGAATGAGTGAATGAGTGAATGAGTGAACGAGTGAGTGAATGAGTGGATGAATGAGTGAATGAGTATGAGCGAGTAAGTGAATGAGTGAATGAGTGAGTGAGTGAATGAGTGAGTGGCTGAGTGAGTGAGTAAATGAGTGAATGAGAGAGTGAGTGAATGAGTGAGTGAGTGAATGAGTGAGTGAGTGGATGAGTGAGTGAATGAGTGGATGAGTGAATGAGTGAATGAGTGGATGAGTAAGTGAATGAGTGAGTGGATGAGTAAGTGAATGAGTGAGTGGATGAGTGAGTGGATGAATGAGTGAGTGAATGAGTGAGTGAGTGAGTGAATGAGTGAGTGAGTGGATGAGTGAGTGAGTGAGTGGATGAGTGAATGAGTGAGTGAGTGGATGAGTGAGTGAGTGAGTGGATGAGTGAGTGAGTGGATGAGTGAGTGAGTGGATGAGTGAGTGAGTGGATGAGTGGATGAGTGAGTGAGTGAATGAGTGGATGAGTAAGTGAATGAGTGAGTGGATGAGTGAGTGGATGAATGAGTGAGTGGATGAATGAGTGAGTGAATGAGTGGCTGAGTGAGTGAATGAGTGAGTGAGTGAGTGAATGAGTGAGTGAGTGAGTGGATGAGTGAGTGAGTGAGTGGATGAGTGAGTGGATGAGTGAGTGAGTGAGTGGATGAGTGGATGAGTGAGTGAGTGAGTGAATTAGTGGATGAGTGAGTGAGTGAATGAGTGAGTGAGTGAATGAGTGAGTGGATGACTGAGTGAGTGAGTGAATTAGTGGATGAGTGAGTGAGTGAGTGGATGAGTGAGCGAGTGAGTGAATTAGTGGATGAGTGAGTGAGTGAATGAGTGAGAGTGAATGAGTGGATGAGTGAGTGAGTGGATGAGTGGATGAGTGAGTGAGTGAATGAGTGGATGAGTGAGTGAATGAGCGGATGAGTGAGTGAGTGAATGAGTGAGTGGATGAGTGAGTGAGTGGATGAGTGGATGAGTGAGTGAGTGAATGAGTGGATGAGTGAGTGAATGAGTGGATGAGTGAGTGGAGTGGATGAGTGAGTGAAGGAGTGAGTGAGTGAGTGAATCAGTGAGTGAGTGAGTGGATGAGTGGATGAGTGAGTGGATGAGTGAGTGAGTGAGTGAATCAGTGAGTGAGTGAATGAGTGAGTGAGTGGATGAGTGGATGAGTGAGTGGATGAGTGAGTGAGTGAATGAGTGGATGAGTGAGTGAATGAGTGAGTGGATGAGTGAGTGAATGAGTGGATGAGTGAGTGAGTGAATGAGTGAGTGGATGAGTGAGTGAATGAGTGGATGAGTGAGTGAGTGAATGAGTGAGTGGATGAGTGAGTGAATGAGTGGATGAGTGAGTGAATGAGTGAGTGAGTGAGTGAATGAGTGAGTGAGTGAGTGAATGAGTGAGTGAATGAGTGAGTGAGTGGATGAGTGAGTGGATGAGTGAGTGAGTGGATGAGTGGATGAGTGAGTGAGTGAGTGGATGAATGAACGAGTCAATGAGTTTGTGAATGAGTGAGTGAGGGCCCCAGGGAGCAAATCCCTGTCTGAGGGCTCCTGGCTCCTGGAGCCACAAGGCTGGGCCTCAGTAAATAGAAAATTACAGTATCCAGGCAACGATCAATCAAGTATTTTTCATAAGCACAAAACATTTAAGGGGCTAAGTGGAGGAGCATAGCAGGTCAGGGTTTTAATGTTTTCTGAAAGCTGTGAGATATCAGCCTCAAAGCCATTGATTTCCATTTGGGAAGTGTGTGGCGGGACCTTTGCGTGCTTCCTGGCATGGCCTTTGTGTTATGTGCCTGCGTGTGTGTGCACATACTTGCATGTGGCAGACTTGCGCTGGCTATCCCAGAAGGGTGGGGACAACTGTGGTTCCTCCATGTTATCTTCTGTCTGCCAAGCACTTAGTAGGTGCTTTAATGGGCATTCTCTCACTGACTCCTCGCCACAGCGCCACAAAGAAGGTGCTGTGAGGTCCCCATTTCTCAGATGAGAAAACCGAGGTGCAGAGATGAGAGGATTTGCTCAGAAGCCAGGCACGGTGGAGTGAGGCAGGATCTCTCTCTCACTGACCACTCCATCTGGGGCTGAGGCACAGGAGTGCAGCGTTCACACACCAGGCATTTACGGGACGTGACAATGCACCACATTCATAGCTGCCATTTATTGAGTGCTTGCTGTATGCCAGCAGGGAGTGAGTACTTTACACGGATTCTGTCCTCAGTCCTTCATTTCACAGAATCTTCTGTGGTACTGCCAGGGAAACTGCTGGCCAGGAGGTACAGTATTCAGCCCGAGGTTGCACAGCTAGCGGGTGCCAGGCCAGGTTTTTAGCTTGGGTCTGGTGACCCTGAGACCTGGTGGGCTGCACTGCCTGCCGGCTGGGGCGCTGTGCGAGGGTCTGTTTGCCTTTTGGTGGCCCAGGACAGTTCAGTGCCTGCTGCCTTTGGGGCGTGACCATAGTGGCGCCTTTCACTCAGAAGCCTGAGAGATAACGTAGATGCCCCTCTGTGCTGAGCGGATCAGAAGCCCGAGAGGGCCTGGTTCCCTGGTTCCAGGTCGGAATCTGGAGGCCCTCCCTCCCTGGCCTAACCTGGAGGCCACCCGGGCCTGACCCTGCCCTCAGGGTGTGAGAGGCTCCCCGAGGTCTCCTGTGGCTCTCTAGAGGCTTCTCCATCAAGATCTCTCCCCTGGGACCCAGACCCAGCCTCCCTGAGCTCCAGGCAGATGGAGTTTGCCCTGAGGACCACCGCTGAGGGCAGAATCTGGCAAGTGGGCTGGAGGCAGAGCTGGGCAGCAGAGGGTGCTGTGCAGCAGAGGCCTCCTCACCGTGGGGCCTCTGCATGGGGCTTCCCCTCTCTGAGCCTCAGTTTCCTCATCTGTGAAATGGGACATGCGTGCTACCTTGCAGGGCCACTGAGCATTAGGGATGAAGGCCTGCAGCCCACCCGGTGTCTAGCCTCACTCAGTCATGGCCGTGGAGCTCACTGCCCGTCTCTACTACTCTTGCGGGCTGCGTTACTGTTACCCTGCAGGCACTCTGCTTTGCGGACCTGAGACCCAAGGCGGGACACAGCGGCGGTTTCTTTCTGGGGCTCCCACATGGCCCTCGGGCCAGCAGGACACTGGGGCAGAGTGGCTGGCCCCAGTGGACCCCTGACCCCACCTTTCCCCTCCGTCTCTTCCTCACCTCCTGCTGTTCCCAGCTGGCATGTGACTCTCAGCTCTGGGCTGGCACCCATCCACAGTGGGCTGGAGCAAACACACAGCAGCCCATGGGTTGTCCTGGGCAGCGGGCCTTCGGGGTGAAGGAGGCTGGGAGGCCGGGAGCCAGAAGGACGGCTGAGGCCTGGAGGGGCAGGGGGGAAGGGCAGAGCCATCCTCATAGGCAGGGCTCAGGGTCATCCCGGGCATCCAGTCCTGCCTCCCCATTCCCCCAGGACCTCTGCTCTTCCCCCAGGAAATGGACAGGCAGGAAGGCAGGTGAGGGGAGGGGGCCCTGGGGCTTAACTGTGGGCAGCTGCGACCTTTCCAGTAGCAGGGCCACGTGTCGGTCAGGAGACCTCATCCCTGTGGCCCATGGCCCTGGGTTTGAGTCCCCACCTGGCCGGGTCCACCTGGGTGCCCAGGGACAGATCACCACATTTCCTGGAGCTTTGGTACCAGAATCTGTAAAGGGCGACAGCCTCTCCCTGAGGGCAAGGCTGCAGATACCGGGACCCGACCTGCAGGGCCGGATTAGAAGCTGTGCCTGGGGGTGGTAGTGAAAACAAGGCCCCCACTCCTCTCCCTTCCTCCTCCCCTCCCTCCTCGTCATCTCCTGCCATCCTTCTCTCCCTAAGCTTTCCTTCTCCTTCCTCGTCTCTCCCTCCTTCCTCCTGCCTGTCTGGGCAGTGGACCCCAGCATGATATGGAAGGAAGAAATGGGGGTGCTGCCTTCAGGGTTCCCCTCTTAGCAGAAACAGGGATTCTGGCCCCACCCCAGGGAAGCACCACCCAGGAGGTGACACTCAGGGAACAGAAAGCATCTTCAGCCAGCCCTGACAGGGAAAAGAAGTTTTGTTTTCTAACCGCAGCAAGAGAGACTTCAGTGGGACACAAGGAGGAATCCCCAGGGGTGAAGGCTGCAAAGCTCGTTCTGAAATTGAGATGGGCTTGGCAAGACTCCTGCCTCCTTGACTGTCTCCTCTGCTCAAAGCAAGCAATTTTGCTTCCGGGTGCTTTTCAGTAATTGCAATAATAAATTGAATAATTAAGTTAAATCCACAGAAGAGAGTTAAATATTAATTTCTAATAAGCTATTTGGAAAGTGTCAGCAGTGGAATGTGAATGTGCTGGGTGCTCCAGTTGCCCAAGCAGAGAAGGGCCTCAAGGCTCCAGGGCCACCCAGGGTGGGGCGGGGAGGGCTCAGGGCCACACATGCCCAGCTTCTCACAGGGGGCTGGCAGCCAGGCATTTGGACCCTGAGTGTGTCGGGTGTCGGCCTGTGGGTCTGGCCTCAGGCAGTCAACAGGGGCAGATGCCTGCTTGGGCTGGGCTCACAGCTCCCTGGCAGCTGAGGCTCTTCATCGAGGGGTGGCCCATGCTATTTGGCAGAGTGGTGAGTGGGATGAGAGGGGGACATGTCTGAGGGACATTGGCAGTGAGCTGAGGGATGGGCACTGTTCCCAACCAGACCAGGCTCTGAGTGGTCTGTGCTCCAAGAAGGCCTAGAAACCCACACAGTGAAGCTCCAGGGAGCCCACAAAGTGGTCTGGCCCTCGTGGTGCCTCAACAGGCAGCTCTCCAGGGTGGACACTGGATATGACCTGGTCACACGCTGAGCCCTGACCCTGGCCACACCCTGAGCCCTGACCCTGGCCACACCCTGAGCCTGATCCCGGTCACACTGAACCCAGATCTTGGTCACACGTTAAGCCCTGACTCTGGTCACACTCTGAGTCCTGATCCTGGTCACACTGAGGCCTGACCCTGGCCACACACTGAGCCTGATCCTGGTCACACGGAGCCCTGATCCTGGTCACACACTGAGCCCTGACCTGGCCACTCTCTGAACCCTGATCCTGCTCACACTCTGAGCCCTGATCCTGGTCACATACTGGGCCCTGATCCTGGCCACACACTGAGCCCTGATCCTGCTCATACTCTGAGCCCTGATCCTGGTCACACACTGAGCCCTGATCCTGCTCATACTCTGAGCCCTGATCCTGTTCACACTCTGAGCCCTGATCCTGGTCACACACTGAGCCCTGATCCTGGCCACACACTGAGCCCTGATCCTGCTCACACACTGAGCCCTGATCCTGCTCACACCCTGAACGCTGATCCTGGCCACACCCTGAACGCTGATCCTGGTCACAAACTAAGCTCTGATCCTGGTCACACACTGACCCTAATTCTAGTTACATTTTGAGCCCTGACCTTGGTCACAGGCTGAACCTAAACCTGGCTATGGACTAGCCCTGACCCTTCATTGATGAGGCCAGAAAGCATGGTGCATGCACACTGTTTCCCTGGAGCAAAAAGTTGATGCTGACGTAGCTGAAGTGAGTAGGTCAGAGTCACCTTTTAGGTGATAAACCCAGTTCAAGGGCTCACCCCTGCCCATGACCACCTGCCCCTGCCTGCCTGCTGGCTCTCGCCTCTGGCCAGCATTCAAGATCTCAGCACCATGGACAGCAGCAGAGGGGCCCAAGCCTCTTGTGGGGTCAGCCATTCCTTACGCCGTTGCTTGCTTGCTTTTTCTTTCTTTCCCTTTTTTCTTTCTTTCTTTCTTTCTTTCTTTCTTTCTTTCTTTCTTTCTTTCTTTCTTTCTTTCTTTCTTTCTTTTTCTTTCTTTCTTTCTTCTTTTTATTTTATTATTTTATTTTATTTTATTATTTTATTTTTGAGACAGAGTCTTGCTCTGTTGCCCAGGTTGGAGTGCAGTGGCCCTATCTCGGCTCACTGCAACCTCCACCTCCCAGGGTTCAAGTGATTCTCTTGCCTCAGCCTCCTGAGTAGCTGGGATTACAGGCATGTGCCACCATGCCTTGCTAATTTTTTGTATTTTTAGTAGAGTCAAGGTTTCACTGTGTTAGCCAGGATAGTCTTGATCTCCTGACCTCGTGATCTGCCTGCCTCGGCCTCCCAAAGTGCTGGGATTACAGGTGTGAGCCACCGCGCCCGGTCCTTAGGCAGTTTCTCCACGACTGTTCACCTACCGTCTCCTCTCCCTGTTTCATCTCCCCTCTGATGGGGGCTGAAACCCCGGTTCCCCTGCTGTCTGGTGTCCAGCCCAGTGTGGGGCCCAGGGATGTCCGAGGCAGATTTGTCGACTGAGAGGAGGATAAACAACCAGGCAGGGTCGGTGCCAAGTATCTGCCCATTTTACAGATATGAGGACAGCTCAGAGGGGTTGATCCTTGCCAAGGACTTTGGGCCGGCCTGAGTCTGTGCCTCTGCTCGTCCCCCACCCCAGGCTTTGCTCCTCTCAGGCAGGAGGGAGAGGATGGAGTGAGGCAGAGCCCTGTGCCCCGTGCCCAGGCTGCTGACCAGTGCGGGGAGGGGTGGGGTGGGACAGGGGGTGCTATGCTGCTGTGCCAGGCCGGGAGGCCGACACCCTCCAGCCTCATCTCCCTGAGAGCCAATTTCCATAACCCTGCAGTAGCATCTTCCTGGAGACCCCTCTTGGGCCCCCGAGCGTGTGGCCAGAGGACGCCAGAGCCCAGGCAGCTCCTCAAGTCCCAGTGATTATACCTGTGCTACTCAGCTGATCAGGGAGAGCCCAGGCCTCATCCTTCCCAGCCCCACACCCCCAGCCCCTGCCTCTCTGCACTGCACCAGCGTCCGCCCATCTGTTCCAATCCAAAGATCTCCCCAGCAGCATTCATTTCAGTGCCATATGGCTGAGGCTCAGCCCTCAGAGGAGGGGCGGGGGCACCATGGCAGAGGTGGGAGCTTCTTCTACACCGGGCCCTGGGGGTGAAGAGACCCAGCTAGGGGTCTGGAGGAGCTGGGGCTGAGGGGCGGCAGGGAGTGGGGAAGGCTCATGGCTTGGGCCTAGAGGATGCCATGGGAACCTTTCCCCCTCAGATCTGCCCCATCACAGGGCCACTCAGCCGGCAGATGCCACATGCCATCTGCTGAGGCAGGCAGAGGCTGGGCTGAATTTGCACAGGGCCCGAGGGCCATCCATCCCTGTATCCCCAGCCAGGCCTCACCCCGAATTCCATGGCACCACAAAGCCAGCCTGGGGTGCAGGCGGAGGGTTGGCCCATTGACCTTCAAGCCTCCAGAGCTCAGGGGAATGTGGCCTGCACTAGATGCTGAAGGGCGTGTCCAGGCCCAGCTGGGTGGGGCTGAGCTGGCAGCCTCAGCAAAGGTGCCCACATGGGGCTGCCACTGCCAGCTGGCCTCTCACAGGTGTGTACTGGGTGGGGCAGGGACTTCCCTCCCAGGCTGCTGCCCCCTTGGCCTGCCCTTCCCCTCTCTCGGCTCAGTCTGCCCTCCAGGTGTGAGGGCAGGGAGGACTCCCTGGTAGGTCACGGGGGACAGCTCTCCTGGGGGTTCTCAGGTTCGAGGCTGGGCCCTGCTGCCCTGGCTTGGACAGAGTGTGTGTGGGGAGGCTGAGGGGTGGTGGTGGACAAGGGCAATGGATGAGACCCAGTTCCCAATCTTGGGGGACACATGTGGGGATGGGAGGGGCAGTTCTGGCCAGAAGATGGGGGCATCAGGCACTGCAAGGCTGCTCCCTGACCACCATTGCTGCCACCTCGCATTAGACCCTGTCCACTGACACCAGGACACTGCGTTGTGTTGAGGGGCACGCTGAGCACCACCATCCTTGGGGCGCCCCCACCCTCATCCCCAGGCAGCTAGGAAGTGGGGGGTGCCTCCGAACACAGCTGGATCCTGGTCTGGCAGTCACTCTGCCAGAGCAGTGCAGTGCCTGGGAGTTGGAAACAGCCGTGCACATCACAGATTTGTTCACTCGATCAATACGCATTCATGGTGTCCGTGCGGGCCCTGGCCTGGGCCCGGGGACACCTCTGTGGACACCTCCATGGACAGGACAGGTCTCTGCCTGCAGGTGCAACTGTCTGGCTAGGAGCATGGACAGAGTGTGATGAGGCCAGAGGTGAAGCCCCTGAGGTGGGAAGCGCTGGGGGAGGGAGCCCTTGTCGGTGAGGGGTCCTTATCAGCTCAGCTGCTGTAACCAAGCACCACAGGCGGCTTCTACCACAGAAGAAACTGCTCTTTGCCCTGGAGGCTGGAAGTCCCAGATCAGGGTGCCGCCAGGGCTGGGTTCTGATAGGGCCCTTCTGGGCTGCTGAGGGTGACCTCTCCTACATCCTCACGTGGCGGAGGGAGGGCGGGAGCTCTTGGGGCCTGGATCCCACCAGGAGGCTGCACCCTCAGGACCACGGCACTTCCCAGAGGCCCCACCCTTCACAGCATCACCCTGGGGGTTATTTTCGCCTTTGAGTTTTGGAGGAACACAAGCACTCAGACCGTAGCAGGGGCTGGAATGAGGCTGGTTGTGATTTTAAACAGGCCTCACCGAGAGTGGGGTGCAGGGAAAATCATTCCAGCAGAGGGAACAGCCCAGGCCCAGCGCAAGGTAGACCTTGGGCCTGGCAGAGCCCAGAGTTCTGGGCAGGAAGTGAGGGGCCAAGTTTTGGGGATGACTGGAGAACTATCCCGAGGGATCCAGGGACTGGGTGCAGTGGGGCACAGACGGGCACCATCCCAAATCCGGGGTGGCGGGGAGAGGAGGTGGCAGGGGTGGGGCAGCCCCAAGGGGATTCTGGATGTGCCAAGGCCGAGCCCCATGGCGGAATGAAGGGTCCAGGGAGGCCCTGTGGTGTGGATGGGGCCAGGCTGGAGCTGTGGGTGGGGAGCGGGGTCTGCCCTGACTCCAGCTGCAGCCCTGCAGTGGCCGCCCATCCTCCTTTCTGGGTTCCCAGGGCCAGGCGGGCCGCACCCAGCGTCATCGCCTGCTCCCTGGACCTTGGCTATGTCAGAGTCGGCCAGTCCCTGAGCCCTGAGGCCCTCAGACCCTGGCCATGCCTCTTGCCAGCCCTGAGGACCCCCTCATACCAGCTATGGAAAGCCTTGGGGGCAGGACAGGTGTCTCCAGGGACTGGCATTTTGGGGACAATCCTGGAAAGGCCAGGGCTTCCCGGGGGGGCTGGCTCTGATGGGGAGCCCCACAGCACCGGGTGCCTTTTGGGGAGAATCCTGGAAAGGCCAGGGCTTCCTGGGGGGCTGGGCTCTGATGGGGAGCCCCACAGCACCAGGTGCCTTGGCTCAGCTCCGCCCTGCAGGAGCCGCCTGCACATCACGTGGGCCACCTGCTGGGCACCTGGCTCAGCACCCAAGAGGCCCCTCACTGGCCCAGGCCCACAGCCTCACCCTCCCCTCGCCTCCCTGCTTCCTGTGGTAATTGGATTTCGGGGAGCCAGCAGTGAGTGTGCCACCAAGTCCTGAGGGGCCCCCTCCCCAGCTGCCTCCTTCCTCTGCTCCTCCAGAAGGCCCTGGCCTTTTGCTCCTGGCCGCAGGGAGTTTGCCGCCCACAGCCCTGTCTCCAGCTGCCTCTGCCCACGGCCAGGCAACTGGCGTTTGTCCTTATTGGACTTTTATAGGGGTTTTCAGTTTTTTGTTTTGAAAGTAGATTTATTGGTTGTGCAAAAATGATACATGCTTGCTGCAAAAAAGTCATCATGGAAAAGTACAGAGAAGCAGCAACTGCCCCCTTGCCATCTGCCCAAGGCTAGAGGGGCACGTGATGGGGCCTCAGGAGCAAGTGGCCTGCTCCCCAGGAGAGGGGCTGGAGGAGGGGCATTCTCCCCAGCCCCGGAGTCCGCACAGGATTTCCCTGGCAGGGAAGGATTAGAGAGGAGGGGAGGGAGGGCAGAGTCGGAGGGGAGAGAGGGAGGCGGAGGGGGTAGGGAAGGGGGAGAGGAAGAGGGGAGGGAGGGGAGAGAGGGAGGGGAGAGGAAGGGAGGGGGAAAAGGAAGGATTGGAGAGAAGGTGGGGAGGGGGAGGGAGGGAAAAGAGAGGGAGAGTGAGGGAGGGGAGACAGGAAGGTGGAGGGGGAAGGGAGGGGGAGGAGGAAGGATTAGAGAGAGGGAGGAGGAGGGAGGGGGAGGAGGAAGGATTGGAGAGAAGGAGCAGAGGGGGAGGGAGAGGAGAGAGGGAGGAGAAAGGATGGGAGAGAGGGAGGGGGAGGGAGGGAAGAGAGGGACCGGGCAGGAGAGAGGGAAGGGGAGGAAGGATTGGAGAAAGGCGGGGAGGGAGGGAAGAGAAGGAGAGGGGACAGGAGAGGGAGGGACAGGGGGGGGAAGGATTGGAGAGAAGGAGGAGGAGGGGAGAGGGAGGGGCCAGGGAAGAGGTAGGGTCGTCTCGTGGGCTTGGAAGTCAGGTGGAAGCGTGCCCAGGAGAGGGAGGGCCGGTGGGTGCGCCAGGCAGGGCCTGCTGTACTGGGCCTGGGGAGCTCCGGTGGACTCGGGAAGGCTCTAGCTGCAGGAGTCCGCAGCCTGGGCACATGGATGCGGCCAGGAAGGATGGACTGGGCAGGGATGGAGTGCAGGGCAGGGGATGGTGCTGAGCGTGGGGATGGGTGACCGAGGCCTGCGTGGAGCCTGACCAGGGCCAGGAGAGTCTGGTCTGGCCCCTGCAGCTGCAGGTGGCCACTCCCCTCTCAGGGCCCTACCTCCATGGACACTGTCAGCCCCCAGACCAGGCCCAGGTGCTTCCCACCCCACCCTCTGGCACTCTGAGCTCTCCCTGTCACCTGGTCAGGGCCCTGACTGAGCCTCCACTTTCTCATCTGCAGCATCGGCCGCTGAACCGTCAGCTGGCTGTGGTGTGGGCTCTCCAGCCCCGAGCACCCCTCCTGGCCCGGAGCTGGGAGCTGATGGAGTCCGCTGCGTTGTCAGCTGATGCCGTCACTTGGCCTGCAATGGACCCGAGAGCTTCACAGCTGCCTGCTGTCCTCCCCTGCACTGACCCCACTCGCCCCTGTGTCGGCCCCAGCTGAGCACCCGAATAAACCGCTGTGGCTTATCCAGCCACGTGCCTGTCTTCACCTGTCAGGGACCCCTGAGATGAAGCCTGGGTGGGATGTGGATGGGAATGGAGGCCAACAGGACTGCAGGCGGCAGGCTGGGGCTTGCTGGGGAGTGAGTGTGGCTGTGTGTGAGCTTGTGTATGAACATGAACCTGTGCTCACAGCTGGGGAGGGGCATGCTGGGGGCTTTGCTGTGGTGGAGGGGTGGGAAGCTGGCTTGGTGCTGCGTGGAGCCAGGGCACTGCTCCTTGCCTGGGGCTGTCCCAGCCCCCACCAAGAGGGGCTTCCCCGAGGAGGAGGCTGCCTGAGTGGCCTGGAATGCCACACTGAGCCCTTGATGGGCGGAGGTCGTTTGTCTTCCTCCCTGAGGGCCTAGGACAAGCCCTTGCCCCTCCTGAGACCTCAGCTTCCCACTCCGAAAGCAAAGGGCTGGCTTTGGCCCTGGCTGCTCCCAGGCTGTGGCCTCTCTGCTGCTTGCCACCCAGCTCCACGTTGGGGGCATGAAGGGGGTCCCTGGCAGGGTACAGCCTGCTCTATGGCAATCCCAGGCTCCTCTTCTCTGCACCTGTTCCCCCAGGAGTAGGGAGTAGGACCCCCAAGAACAGGAGGGTCCATGCAGAGTGGCTGCTCCGCCCACCGTGGCACAGAGGGCACCAGGTGGGCAGTGCACTGAGGGCAAAGCGTCTCACCAGCTGCCCCAGGCTGCGTCAGCACAGCGGCCAGCACTGAGGCGTCCCTAGCACCCTCCTCAGCCAAGGACTGAGGGTGGGGGCCCACAACAGACCCTGCAGGGCAGGCAGAGTCTGTGACCCCCCCAGGAGACAGTGCGCCCCCTTCCACGCGCATCCAGCTAGGTCTGCAGATGCTGGTTCCTGCTCAGGCAGAGGGAGGAGATGGCCCCAGCCTCTCCCTGCCCCACGCCCTCCGCCAAGGCCTGAAACCCCCACAAAGCCAGCACCACACATGGTGCTTCAGGGTTTTAGAGATTCTGTGAAGCTATTTCTCAACAATTTTCTTCCCAGGGGCCTGAGAAACACACCACTGAGGCAGCACTGCTGGGCTCAGTGATAGGTAGGGGAGCTGGGCAGACGGTCCGCCCCCGAGCTGCTGCCACCTTCTCAGATTTGCTGCTGCAGCAGGCGGGCCCCAGGATGTCCGAGGAGGTGTCAGGGAGCAAATTGGATTTGGCACCTCCTGGCTGCAGGTGTGAGGGCTCCAGAGGCTGAGGAGCCCAGACTCAGTCCAGGCAGGCCGCATTTGCTGGGAGGCTCATGATGAGGCTGAGGGAGGAGGCTCTGGGGGCAGGGCAGGCCGAGAATTGATGGTGGAGGGGCCAGGTGCTCACCACCCAATTGTCTCCTACGCAGCTGGGAGACAGCCCGTGGGCCGGGGTCACGTGCACAGTTTACAGATGAGGAAATGGAGCCGGGAGAGGAGGGGCTTGCCTGCAGGGAGATGCCTGAGCCAGGCTGCCAGGGAGGGAGGACCAGGCTGGGGGCTCTGCCTTCGCTCTCTGTGAGCTGCGTGACCTTGGAGGCTATGTGGGAGGTCAGCCCACTGTGGAATGCAGCCCTGTGACTGGCTGCCCTGAGCCCCTGCCCCGTCAGCACTTCCCCGGGGTGGGCCCTGGGTGGGAGCAGGTGTTCTGGGGTGAGGAGTTCAGTCTGAGAGCCAGCAGGAGGGGAAGCCAGGACAGTGCTGCCTTGGCAGCAGCTGCTACCACCTGGCCAGACGCGGCCTCCCCACTCAGGACTGAAGGGTCACAGTCACCTTCAGGTCCCCTGTCTGGAGCAGCAGGAGGCTGAGAGCCCTGCCCGCTGTCCCAGCCAAGCAGCCGCAGCCAGACAGGCCCACCTGGCAGGTGTCCATCTGGTGCCAGGACAGGACAGGATAGGAGAAGGGGTGGACGGGAGGGCAGTGCCACGGTAGCACCTCGGGAGGCAGCAGGCCACTGAGGGAGGGCGTCTGTGCACCTTCACTAGCCCCCTCCTTCTTGAGAGGCCAAGGCCCAGAGAGAGACTGGGCTTCCCCAAAGTCGTACAGCACCTCCATGGCAGAGCTCGAATGAAAATGGGTCTTCTGGTTCCCAGGCTGGACACAATTTATGGGAACCCAAAGGTCAGAATTGTTGAACTTCTGGGGAAAGTTCCCCTGATAGGTGATGGAAAGAACATGACGTTGGTGCATAGTCAGTGGACCAGAGGTGTCTGTCCAGTGGGTATCATGTGCCAGGCCAGGGCTCAGGAGTCTGTGGCCCTCTCTCTCCTGCCCTCCTTGCTGGCTGTCTCTGGTACGATGGAGACAGCATGGATCACACACCTCTGCCTCAAATCCTGCCCGGGAGGGTGACATGGACAAGCTTGCAGGGCGTGGAGGCTCAGGCTGCTGTGGGAGGGTTGGACCTGGCACCCTCCTCATGTGGGAGCTGTGGGGACCGTGCCTTGGGGAACCCACTGCCCAGGAACTTCCCGGCTGCTGGCCTTAGGGCCCCAGGACACTGCTGGGCCCCTTGAGCTCTGAGCCATGGATCTGCCGAGGGAGCTCACTGGAGAAGTCCCTTCCGCTCAGCAGCAGCCACAGGATTTGGGGGTCCCAGTGCAAAATGAAAATGCAGGGCCTGGACCAGGGCAGGAACATGGGTCCTCTCTTCCCTTTGGCCCTACATATCCCTAGTCTTACTCACCCTGCCAGCCTCCTGCCCCCCAGGTTTGGCTCAAAGGCTTGGGGCTGGAATCACCTGAAGCCTCACTCAGTCACATGCTTCCTGGTTGATGCTGGCTGTCTGCTGGGACCTAAGCTGGGGCTGAGGATCCAACACCCACACTTTTCCTCTCCATGTGGATTGGGCTTCCTTACAAGATGGCAGCTGGCTCCTGGGGGAGCATTTCAAGAGAGTGAGCCAGGCAGAAACTGCATCCTTTTTATGACTTCTCCTCAGAAGTCACATGGCATCACCTCCATCACATTCTCTTGGTTGGAGCAGTCACAAGCTCCCTAGGTTCCAGAGGAGGGGAAGGAGACTCTGCTTGTCTTAGTCTGCTTGTGCTACTATAACCAAATACCCAAGACTGAATACTTCATATCGAACAGAGATTTATTTCTTACAGTTCTGGAGGCTGGGAAGTCCAAGGTCCAGGGACCGGCATCTTTCAAGAGCCTTCTTGCTCCATGATCTTATGGCAGAAGGACAAGAGCACATGTGAGAAAGAGGGAAAGGCTGTACCCATTCTCTCATCAGGAACCCACTCCCTCAACAATGACAATCCATTCATGAGGGCAGAGCCATCAGCACCTAATCACCCTTGCGATAGTGTTGAAAGGTCCCACCATTCAACACTATTGCATTTGTGTTTACGTAAAGTTTTCAGCGCATGAACTTTGGGGGACACATTCAAACCATAGCACCACCTCTTGATGGAATAGTGGTAAGGTGACCATTTTCGGAAAATGCAATTTGCCACAATTCCCCTTTTCTTCTTGCTCAGCTTGTTGGAAGTTATTTTACTGGTGGTGTGAGTCAAACCATCACTCTGAGGCTTTCAGGCTTGGAGGTCCCTCCTGAATGGGGTTGTGGTGTCTTCCACTGGACATCATGGTAACACAGCTGTATCCAGGAGATCCTCTGGGTTGTGGGCACTCTCTTCATGTGGTTCTTCAGGCCTCCTATCCTTGATAATCAGGGTTGATTCCCCAGCCACTGCCTTCATGCTGCTTTGCTTGTTAACTTGGTGGCACCAGACAGGTGGCCAACTCAGCCCCCAGGGCAGCAGAGCCATTCCTGTGACCCCTGGTGGAAACATTCCTGCACTGGGCATTATCTTGGGCAGTCCCTAGAAGGGGAATGTGAACTGGTGGAGAATGTAACCATGAGAGACACCACCCCATAGGTTCTGCCTGGGGGAGAAGGAGCTCCAGATATAAGTCCCTCGTTCTCAGCACACACCCCATCCTGTAGGACAGCACCCCCTCCGCATGGGGCATTGTTTCTAACTGGGGTCTTCAGGCACCCTCTTCATTGCACAGGAGGCCACCTGCTTCAGGGTGATGGAGGAAGCCAGGGAATTCTGGAGGCCTCAGGTGTGACTCTGCTTTTTTTTTTTTTTTTTTTTTGCTACAAAATAGTTTCCTTGTTGGAAGATTTAAAAAGGGCTCTGGAATCTCAGGTCCAAAGTTCTTGCAGAGGGGGAGAAATGGCTACCTGCTGTCAATACCTTAGTCTTTTAAGTCTGTTTAAGCATCTCTCCATCCCCCATCCATCCTCCCATTCCCCATCCATCCATGCATCCATTTATCCCTCTAACCCCCATCCATCCATCCACCTATCTATCCATTCCTCCCCATCCATCCATTTATCCATCTATCCTTCCATCCCCCATCTATTCATCCATTCCCCATCCATCTACCCATCCATCTACCCATACCCCCATCCATCCACCCACCCATCTATCCCTCTAACCTCCATCCATCCATCCATCCACCTGTCCATCCATTCTTCCCCATCATCAATTTATCCATCTATCCTTCCATCCATTCATCCATTCCCCATCAATCCACCCACCCACCCATCTATCCCTCTAACCCCCATCCATCCACCTATCCATCCATTCAGCCATCTATTCTTCCATCCCCTATCTATTCACCCATTCCCCATCCATCCACCCACCCACCCACCCATCCACCCACCCATCTATCCCTCCAATGCCTATCCATCCACGTATCCATCCATTCCTCCCCATCTAGCCATTTATCCATCTATCCCTCCATCTCCCATTTATCCATCCATTCCCCATCCATCCACTCACCCACCCACCTACCTGTCCATCTATCTCTCCAAGCCCCATCTATCCATCCACTCATCCATCCCCATCCATCCCCCATCTATGCATCCATCTATCCATCCCCTACCCACCCATCCATCCATTCACCCATCCATTCCCCAGACATTTGCCCATCTTTCCCCCATTCACCCATCCATCTATTCATCCAATTCCCCCATTCATCTACCATCCACCCATCCATTCCCTATCCAGCTCCCATCCATCCACCCACCCATCTATCCACCCATCCACCAACCCACTCATCCATCCATCCATCCCCTATCTATGCATTCATTCATTCATTTCGCCACCTGTCCCCCACATATCCACCCATTCATTCATTTGCTCTCTGGACAGCTGCCTTCTAAGCACCCCCACCCCACCTACCTGGGCTCAACATAGGAAGTAAAGCAGGACTCCTGTGCCCCAGAAGCTCCCAGTGTGGTGGGAGTGCATCCATGTAGACAGAGAAGCCACATTCACCATGGGCGGCACAGAGGAGGACACAGGAACAAAGGTGTCACAGGTCAGGTAACATTGCTGGGGTCTAGGTAGCTTCCAGATGGGGTGACCTTGACCTGCAGGCAGGGAGGAGCTGGTGACCTCCCTCCCATCTAGGGTCACCTGCACAGTCCTGTAGCAGCCAGACACCTAGAACCAATTTTTGGCCTGACGTTTTCAGTTCTCCCTTTAACCAAATCATTGCTCCTTTTCCCGGCGAGTTTCCAATTTAGATACCCAAATTGTTTACTTGCTGAAATCAATCGACAAGGGACCAGCTTGTATTTGTGATTCAATTGACTATGATACACTGTATTACAATTACACCTCGAATGGATTTCTTTTTAATTTATTTTTCTCTTAACGGTCTCCTCCGCGGTAATTCCAAGACTAATTGTCCTCCTGATCATCCTCATCAGCTGGAGGAAGGATAATGAATTGCTGCAGTTCATAGAGGATGCCGGCCAGGAGCTGCCGGGTCCCCAGCCCTCCCAGCACCCCTTCCCTGGGTCCTCCCTTTCAGGCCGGCCCACGTGCTGTGAGCTGAAGTCCTCCCAGGCGAGGCTTCACTGTCAACGGTTTCATCTGTTCGGCTCAAGATGGGGCGAGTCCCAGAGGAAGACGGCAGACCCTGCCCCTGCCCCTGCCCCTGCCCCTTCCGCTGTCTCGTGGCTGCTCTGCGAGTTCCCATCTGGCAGGGAGCAGCCTGGAGGCCCGTCGAGTTCTGAGGGTCTGTGATCTGCTGCGTATTCCTGAATGAACCTCTTCTCCCTGGGCCTTGGTTTCCCCATCTGTGAGATGGGCCCCCCGGTCTCTAGAGCCCCTTTGGCTGAGACCTTCTGTGAGTCTGTTTAGGGCTCGGGGAAAGGAGTGCTGGGCAGTGCGTCCTGCATGACTCTGGCTCAGAGCCTGCCTCTGCTGTCACCTGTCCTTCCCCCTTCCCCTCACATCCCACCGTCCACTCTGGGGTCTGTGTGCCCGTGTGCCTGGTGCCAGCTTGGCACCAGGTGTTGGACTGGCTTGGCTGTGCAGATGGGCATCATTGCCAACCCCACTTTCCAGATGGGAATATGGGAGGCCCTCAGGTACCAGGGGCCTTCAGCCCAAGAGCCGGGCTTCACCCCAGAGCCATGTGGCCATGGAGGCGCTGCTCCAGCTGTGCCCCACTGAGGGCGCTTGCCTGTGCTCCCTTGGGAGAGGCTTCCCTGAGCCCTGCATCCACCCTGGGGCTTGCTTCGGTGAACAAGCCACACCCTGCCCTGGCATGTCCTGTAGCCGGGAGAGGGGAGGCGAGGTCTCGCCAGGGCTCAGGTGGGGCCCCCAACACCACCAAGTGGAGACCCCTGCAGGAGAGGCCACCAGAGGCAGAGATGCCACAACCCCCTGAGAAGTGCTTCCCGGTGTGTAAGTGCCTGTGTGTGTTTGTGTGTGTCTTGCTTCGGTGTGAGCATGTGTGTGTGTATATGTATGTGAGCATGTGTGTGTGCATATGTATGTGAGCATGTGTGAGCATGTGTGTGCATGTGTGTGCATATGTGTGTGAGCATGTGTATGTGTGCATGCACGTGTTCCTTGCGCATGTGCATATATCTGCATTGTGGTGTCTGTGTGTACCTGTGTGTCCATGTGTGTCTCTGTGCACATATGTGCCTGTGTGTGTGTCCATGTGTCTCCGTGTGTGTCTGTGTATATGCGTGTTTGTGTGTGTGCATGTGTGTTCACGTGTGTGTGTCCATGTGTCTCCATATGTCTGTGTATATGCGTGTTTGTGTGTGTGTGCATATGTCTGTGCACGTGTGTGTGTCCATGTGTGTCTCTGTGTGTGCATATGTGTGCATGTGTTGGCACGAGGGAGCCACTCACAGAGCCTGAAGCAATGGGGTCCTGGCCCCTGTCCACCTGATGCCTTCCTGACCGGGCCTCAGTTTCTCATTTGTGATGTGGGGTGAGGGTGAGAGGCATCTGTGTGGCCCTTTAGAGGTGACCAGATGCCTTTGTCCGTCCTTTGTCCTCTGACCTTCACACAAGTGAGGGGTGTGGGGGGTGTATTTAATGACCCCCCTCAGCACCTGGCAGCCTCCATGGTGGACCCAGCATCTGGGCCTCTGCCCCTGCCCCCCACCCCCGGCGCTCCCTCCACGCTCTGACACATGGGAGACGCACAGCTCCCCAGGCTTCCACATGGATTGATTTGGCGGCCCCAGGAATAGATGTGTCCATACATTAGGTGCATGTGGAAACATGGCCCCAATAACCCCAGCCCGCATGCCTCTGTCTGAAGCATTCTCGCACCATGGGAATTATTTTGCTATTTTGGGGTATAGATCCTTGCAGGAGCTGAGATGCCATTTCCATCGTGGGTGCCACGATCATGAAAAGGAGAATCAATGACAGGGTGCGAGGCGGGATGAGGGAGGGGAGCCCCAGCTGTGTCTGGTGCCGGAGTCAGCCCCCAGGCTTCCAGAAAGGTCCAGGTGCCGAGGGCACCCAGCTGGAGTCAGCCCCCAGGCTTCTAGAAGGTCCAGGTGCCAAGGGCACCCAGCTGAAGTCAGCCCTGGGCTTCCAGAAAGGTTTGGCTGCCAAGGGCACCCAGCCTGCACCTCCTGGCCTCTCTGAATCCGCCAGAGGTGAGGTCAGCGAGGATGTCCAGCCACAGGAACCAGGAGCTCAGATGACCTTGTGGACTGGAGGGGACAGGAGACCTCCCAAGGCCACGTGGCAGCTGGACACGGGCAGGGTCTTGCCCAATCACTTGAGTTTCTGCCCCACAAATACACCAACCAGAGGGAGACAGCGCCCCCTGCACATGCAGACCCTGTAGACCCCGAAAGCTCCTGTTTGTGGAGTCCCCGCCCCTGGCCCCGCCCCTGCTGACCACCCTGGCCCCGCCCCTGCTGACCACCCTGGAGCAGCCCCTTGGGCTTCATCTCAGATGCACGAGAGGTCGTGGGTCTGGGTTCTGACTCTGGTTTCAAATCAAGCTTGGTGGTTCAAACTTAGGAAGGTCGTTTCCTTGACTTCAGACTCCTCATTTATACAATGAGCCAATAATACCTTCCCCCGAAGGTTCTGAGTAGCTGGCATTTTGATATCTTAGGGAGGGGCCTGGTAAATGCAGCACTTTTGGCTCTGTGGGTCTGTACTGTCTGCAATGGGCTGGGCCGCTCAGAGGCAGTGAGTGTGCAGGCAGAGAGTGGGGGCTGGGCCGCTCAGAGGCAGTGAGTGTGCAGGCAGAGAGTGGGGGCTGGGCCGCTCAGAGGCAGTGAGTGTGCAGGCAGAGAGGGGGCCCACTGCTCAGGTGTGGGAGGCTGGGTGAAAAGGCTCTGAGGTCTCTTCAAATAGAGTTGAGACAGAATGGCAAGGATGCCCAGGATCCGAATCACCCAGCCACGCCTAGAACTGCAGACGTCCTTCCGGAGCTGCACCCCGGTGCCGCAGCCAGGAGGCACGTTCTCCCTGCCCCTACCCCTGTCCCAGGGGAGGGGGCTGAGGTTCCCAGCAGCACCTGCCATGCACTGAGATGCCAGGGAGCCTGAATTCAATTATGCACCAGGTGTTATGTATGTGGCATCCCACGGATGCATTGATTTCTCAGGTTGACAGATCGGTTATGAATCAGGTAATAGACCAGCTTGTAACTGAAATATATTGGATTGTGCAGGCGGCCTGGCTGAGTATCGGCTTGAGGGAAATAGGGCAGATTTACGAGCCTGGGAGGGTGGCTGGGGCATCAGCCGTTCACCCTGCACAGTCACAGCTGCTAGCCTCACACCTGTGCCCAGGGAGCCGGGAAATAGAGAGTTGATCTGGGAGAGGAGGAGGGAACAGCACGGAGAAGGGTCCACAGGCGGGAGGGCCCAGGAAGGGGGCACAGAGCAGGGCAGGGAGGCTGTGGGCCCTTGAGAGACCCTGGGGGCAGCATGGGAGGATCACGGGTCTGGAGTCCAGGGCAGTGTGGCGCTCCTAGGACCTGATCATGGTTGTGTTCCCTTTCATGAGGGCTTCATGCCCCGGGAACTTGTCAGTGATTGCCTGGGTCCCCTCCGATGACACTCACAGCCCAGGAGTCAGATGCCGTCATCATCCCCTTGCAGCTAGGCAGGCCAAGCTCTGAGATGGCAAGAAACCTCTCTGTGCCATGCAGCCGAGGGGAGGCCAAGATTGCAAAGCCAGACAGGCTGACTTTGTGCCTTTTGCTTCCCCGTTCAGCTCTTCTGAACCATGACAAGCAGGAGTGAGGCCCCATGGAGGGGGCCCTGCCCTGCCACTCAGGGAGTGCACCCCAGGCCCCCGGTGCTCAGCCTGTTCGACCTCAGCCTCTACACACAGCAGACCAGGACAGGGGCCCCGCTCAGAGGTGGGAGCAGTGCTCTGATCTGCCTGGCAGAGGGCGGAGACGGCGGCTGGAGGGCTCTCAGGGTCAGAGCTGGAGGCCTGGGCATGGGAGGGCAGGGAGAGCCGGGCTGGGGACTCCCGTCATCCACAGTACTTGGCTGATATCACTGTTCAGGTGTTGCCTCCCTGCGGGGAGTCAAATGCCCTGAGGACAGGGGGCCTTTCTTTCCATATGCAGAGCCCAGCCAGGGCCCGGCCTGTGAGAAGCTCAGAGAGAGGGCAGCGTGAGCGGATGTGGTGGACATCTGGGAGCACCCACAGTCCTGGAGCTTGGACCCGCCTGAGATGAGACACCAGGGCTCAGGACTCAGCCTCCAGTCACAGTCCGCCTTCAGTATGTGACCTTGGTCAGAGCTCAGACTGTGACCAGAGCAGGGCTCAGTTTGGGGCCAGAATCATGGCTTAGACTTTGCCTAGGATGAGGCTTGGATTATGACCTGGGTTAGGACTCAGTGTATGGCTATGATCGGGGCTCCGTGTGCGGCCCAGATCAGGGCTCGGGGTGCGGCCCTTAGAGGAAAGGAGATGCCTAGGCCGCTGGAGAACAGAGCTGTCATCCCCTGGGTCCCTTCGCTCCACGCTTTCACCAAGGACCCGATCAAGACCATTAACGGATGCACAGAAGCTTCTGGATCTGCTCAGGCCCCTCTGTGGTGGGAACCCCCCGGCCCCCCTCTCCCTGCTGTGGGTCTCTGTCACTGAGTGGCCCCGTGAGCATCTCTAATGAGCTCCTTCCAGGGGGAGGCTGGGGGGGTGGAGGGGGCCCAATTTATCTCTATTTATGCCTCTCCTTATAGCTCCACCAGCTTCTCAGTAATCTTTATGGGGTTCAATTATTGTATCTTCAATTGATATGAGTGATTTCAATGGTTCTTGATGTTCCGTGTTAAATCTCCAGTGGAAAATATCTTCAACGTTCAGCATAAAACACCTAGTCATTGCCGGCAATGCAGCCACGGAGGCCTCGCCGGGAGATGTGGGCCCGGTTCTGGGTGGCAGGTGAGGTGTCCTCACCCCTGGGCCCACAAATCAGTGTGGGGTGACACCCCCTCCTCCACCCTGGCAGCTAGAGCACCTCATGGTGAGAACTTAGCTTTTATGGGAAAATAGAGCTGGGGCTTGAGGCTGGGAGCGACCCGACATACCGGTTTCCTGTTTCTGTTGTAATAACTAACCACCAACCCGTGACTTCAACCAACAGAAGTTCGTTTCTCACAGCTCCAGAGTCAGAAATCCAGAAGGAGAGTTAGGGGCTCCATCTAGGCGTCGGCAGAGCAGGCTCCTCCCAGAGGCCCCATGGGAGGCTCCCTCCTGGCCTCTGCAGGCTTCTGGAGACCTTCTGCTTTCCTCGAAGCCTCTGTCTCGCAGCCCTTCCCCTCCTCACACCTGTCTCCTGCCTCCCTCTCTTTTTCTTTTTTGAGATTGGGTCTCGCTTTGTCACCCGCGCTTGAATGCAGGGCTGGAGTGCAGTGGTGCCATCATGCTTCACTGCAGCCCCCATCTCCTGGGCTCAGGTGATCCTCCTGCTTCAGCCTCCCGGGTAGCTGAGACTACAGGGGCACGCCACTATGCCCGGCTAATTTTTAATTTTTTTCTGTAGAGACGAGGTCTTGCTATTTTGCCCAGGCTGGCCTTGGCCTCAAGTGACCCTCTCACCTCGGTCTCCCAAAGTGCTGGGATTATAGGCATAAGCCTGGCCACCTGCCTTCCTCTTAAAAGGACCCTTGAAGTGACATTTAGGACCCACCTGGGTCCCCCAGGATTGTCACACATCTCCTGGTCCTTCACATCCGCACATCCCTTTTGCCACGTAGGGGGCATATCCGCAGGGTAAGGTCCATGCATGGTGTGTTTCCATGGTAACATGGTAAGAGGGAAACACGCAAGGACAGGTCCTCACCACGCCTGTGAAAGCCCCAAGGCTGCCCTGATAGTTGCAAGGGGTGCGGCTGCCAACCCTACCTCTTGTGTTTGCATCACTACCATCCTCCCCCAGTAAGAGCAGCTGATGCCCCTGCCCAGCCCACACAGGAACTCCTTGTAAACACACTTTGCTTTGCCGCAGCTTGTATGCATCTTAAAGGAAGTTTCTACTGAGCCGTGTCCCCTCCTCAATGTCGTTCAGTCATGCAACAAACACCTGTGCATACAGAAGGAAACAGAGGTGGGTCAGACACCAGGGACGCTCAGCGGGAGGAGGCCGGTGAGCAAACGCATCTCACAATTCGGCAAACGAAGGCTGCAAGGTGCCTTCCAGGAAGTCTGGACCGTGGACTGAAGGGAGGATGGTGGCAGGGTGGTCTGGAAGTGGCCAGGAGTAGCGGCGACCTCGGCCTGCCTCCAGGTTCTGCCTCTATCTCGTGCCATGGACTGCAGGCAGCCCCACTCAGCAGGACAGGCTGTGCTGATGCTGGCTGTGCAGTCCGGTGGGCTCCGGGATGGGCAGGAGGGAGATGGGCATGGCGAGGAATGTGCAGAAACGGATGAGGGCGGGAGAGTCATGGGTGACCTGGAGTCGGGAGAATAGGCCTGATGAGATGTTTCGAGTGGTGTCAGGCTGGAGCCCTGTGGGAGGCGGGTGGGAATGGGGATACCCTTTTACCTCTGATGAAGGGGCTAGGGCCCTTGGCCAGTCCCAGGGTGAAGGCCTGCCATCGCACAGGGTTACTCGAGGTCTGGATCCTGCATCACAACAGCAGCCCACATCCCACAATAAACAAAGGTGTTGTTATTAGGAGAGCTTGGCATCCCTCGCGGGCTCCGTTTCCTGGGGTTTCACTCTGTGAGTGCAGGAGCTCTTCAAATGTTTTGCCAATTAGACTGAAAGACCCATGAGAGGGCAGATGCCAGGAATCCCCAGGCAGGGACCTGCCCAGAGCCACAGGCCCAGCAGGATGAGAAATGCTGTGGGGGTGAGTTGGGCTGTGGGCTCAGGCCACTGCCAGAAATAAGAGCAGTGGACAGAGGGCAGGTGACCCCATGGAAGTGTGGGCAGCCCAGGGGGTTTGTGGCAACCCAGGGGGGTCAGGCAGCCCAGGGGGGTTGTGGCAGCACCACAGTGAAGCCCAGGCTCCTTTCCTCCTGTTTCTCTGCTGTCCTCGACACACAGCTTCCATCTGTGGCCAAGGTGGCTGCTCTTGCTCCGGCCATCACATCTATCCTCTGGCCAGCAGGGAGGGGAGAATGGACCAGGGTGGCCGGCTCCTTCCTGTTAGCAACTTAGCCCAGAGGCTTCCCTCGTCCCATCCCTCCATCCTACTGGCCATATGTTGGTCCCAGGACTACCCCTGCTGAAGGGTGGCTGGAAAACAGAGTCTTTAGCCAGACAGCCAGAAGCCCTCCAAAACTGGGGGAAAAAATCGCAGGCTCTGCTACACTTAGCTGTTGTTAGTGAGGGAGGCGTCCAGGACGGGCCGAGAGGGCAGGCTGTTAGTGAGGGGGCAGGTGGGAGGTGAGTCTAGAATGTTCTCTGACAGAGTGTCTGGCAGAGTGCCCCCCCTTCCTTGTCAGGCCTTTCCAAGGACCCTTCAGGGAGTGTCCTGGGGTGTCTGGGAGTTTCCAGGTGTACGGGAGGGACACCCTCCGATTCTCACAGTCTATGGAGGGAGCAGCCTCACCCACGTCTCAGCGAAAACCCTCCCTCTGCTCACCCCAGCCACACGGCTGGAACTCCAGCCCACTTCTGCTGCCTGTGAAGTGAGTGAGGGCGTGAGGGCTGAGGGCAGTGGGCAGCTGGAGGCTGGGCTGGGCAGGGGTGGAGGGGTCTGAGGGCCCTCGGGAGAAGGCAGCTTCCGGCCTCGTGGCGCTGGGACCAGGTGGCCTGAGCTAAGTGGGCTGTAGCTGCCGCCCCTCTCTCTGCACTCACCTGGGAGCTGGGGAACCTGGGGGCTGGTCCCTGGCGCTGACTTACCCAACGCACTCGCTCTTGGGAGAAGAGAACCTGGGCCTCAGAGTGGGGCAGCAGCCGGACAGGAGAGAGGCAGGGGCTTGCTGCTGGGGCCATGGGGACTCTCCCCCTTCCTGCCCCAGCCCAGCAGCTGCTAGGGGCAGAGCTGGTGCTCAGAGCCCGCCTTCCCACAGAGCCCTCCAATGAGAGGTCTTGCCCCTCCTCCCTGGGGGCGGGGTCTGGAGAGGGGCGGAGCCTTTCTCCCAACAAGCGAGTCAGAAAGAGGTGCCCAGTTTAGGAGCTGAAGCAGCTGAGTCCCAGGGCCTGACAGTCAACAGGACCCGGTAGCGATGAGGCTGCATTGTTCTGGGTGCACAGTCAGCCTGACAGCCCTGCGCGTGCGAAAGTCGACTCCTTTGGGTGATGGAGGCTGTGGGCTGCCTTCTCCCTGCACTGGGAAGGGGCGAGGCTCCCGGCTACACCAGCTCTGTTGTGGGTTGGGGACACTGCCCCTTCCCGAGCCCAGTGCCTGTGGGACCTACAGTCCTCCCTGAGAATCCTGCAGCCCTTGAGTGACCCCAGCCTGGAGATCAAGGACCTTACCTTGGCACCCAGGCCTGGTATGAGCTCTGACTTCAAAGTCTGAGCGCTCTACCCCCCCGGGGCCACGCACTCTGTCACCCTAAGCGTTCTCCCCCAGCCCCTGCTGTCCTGCAGATGTCCTTGCAAACTCAATTTTCCTTCTGTATGCAATTCTCTTGCACCTCTATTCCATCGGCAAACTCCTGTTAGTGCGTCAAGACAGAATCCTGATGTCTCCTCCTCCAGGAAGCTTTCCCTGGTTGCACTCACTCCCTGCCACCTCCTCTCCTACCCTCCACATGCAGGGGTGGTTGTTGCCTCCCTATAAGCAGCTGCCCTGGCCTTTCTAGGGGTGGCTCCCCACTGGGTTCAGTGCGGCTTGTCCTGTGCAGCCGGGCTGGTCCTCAGGAAATTGATGCTTCCCATCACTCGCCTGTCTTCTTGGAACAACTTCAGGGTTTATTGAATCTGGAAAGAAAGAAGAGCAAAAAAAGGGAACCATGTACATCGCACAAATCAGTTGTTCTGACAGTTTTATTAAATAATGGGGCGGTTCAATCATGTTGTGAAACAAGGCTCTGGGGAGGAGGCAAGAGGCAGGATCTGGGGCTGGAATTTCTGGAAGAAGTCTAGCATCTTCCGGAATTGATCGAGCCTCCTTCATACTGTGGAAGATGTGGGTTCAGACCCAGGCTTTCCACCAGCAGCGGGGTGGCTGGGAGCCTCGCCCTCCCTGCTCCCACCTGCTTGCTTCCCAGAGGGTCAGGTGCTGGTGCTCCAGGCCTGCTTGCTGTGGGAGGGAGTCGCTGAGGAGAGCCAGGGAGCCATGAGAATTCCCTCTTCAGGGCCTTTTCTAGGAGGGCAAGAGGAGGCCGAGGCCCTGAGAGAGCCAATATGGGGTCTGGGCCCTCGGCTGGGAGGGTGGAGGCGGTGGAGGAGACACGTCTATTTGACTCCACCTGCCGGGAGCTGGGTGGCTTGTGCTAGGAGACCCTGGCAAGCCCCCCAGCCCCTGCACCGCCCTCCCCACCCGGCCCAAGCTCCTGGCCTTCAGCATCCAGAGCTCCCAATGAACTTCCCAGGTCTCCCCAGGATTCCCAAGGAACCTTCATGCAAGATGCAGTGGACTCAGATAGAGAGGGCCCAGCCAGGCACGCCCTGAGGCCTCTTCCTGGGGCTTCCACAGGTCTCCTGCAGCTGCTGGACACTGAGGGACGCTGGCCACTGTGGGCAGTACAGCATGGTGCTTGGCAGGCGGGGCCTGGAGCCTGCCGGGTCTCTCCTCCTCCAGCCTCGGCTGCCGTCCACAGAATGGGAAATACCTGTGACTTCCTGGGACAGGATGGGATGTGGTGGCTGCGTGGATGTGCACCATGAGCTTCCGGGCCACCCTGCTCGGCGCTGACCAGTCCTTACCAGGTGGGTGTCACTTGCTTTACAGCGGGGCTCAGAGGCCACACCGAGGGGCAGCAGTGCCGTTGGCTCTGGGAAGAGGTCCCACCCAGGCAGGGGTCTGGCCCCTCTCCTCCCAGGCCCTTGCCCTGCCTGCTACGGGCTGACTTTCAACATCTTTCTCTGGGCTCAGCTGCTCGAGGCTGCTACTCAGGGGCTGGGCCTGTTCCATGAGCCCGGCAGCCCTGTCTCCCTCTGTCTCTCAGGCTCTGCCACCCTGGCCTTTCCACCTGCTCCTGGCTGCCAGCTCTCCGACACCTTCATCCTTGGGTTTGGCTTTGGACCCTGACTGGGTCAGCAGCCTGGGTTAGGAGGCCTTCCATTGCCCTCCAGGGACTCCTGGGGCACCCGCCATGTGCTGGGGCTCTGAGGGCGCTGGGGAGCCGAGGGCATGCAGTGGGGGGTTGGGCCCAGGTATGGGAGCTGAGGGCAGCACGGCCATGGGAGGGGACCTGGGGGATCTCTGGATATCAGGGCAGTGTCTTTGCACTGAGGGATGGCACTCCTGGAGGTTCACTGCTGGTTCCAGAGCACAGAGGTGTGACTCCTGGAGGGTGGCCAGCCCTGCGGGGGGTCAGAAGATGATGGGGACAGTGCGGGGCGAGGCAGAGGCTCTCAGGTCCCCTACCGGACTTCAGGACGAATCACGTGAACCCGCCAGCATTTCACAGTTTTGACCTACAGAGCCAGCAATGTCACATCGCCGACCCCAAACACCTCAAGGGTGTCACCACCAGGCTGGGCTTGGGCTGCATCCCGTGGTGCCCAGGAGTGTGAGTTTCCACCCTGCAGATGCTGTGCCAGCTGGGCAGGGTGAGGACGAACTAGAGAAGCAGGGGCAGAGCAGGGCCCGGCCCCAAGCCCTGGACGCCCTCGCAGGTGGGACAGGGTCAGCGTAGCTCTGCAGGGCAGGTGGCCCTGGATGGAGCTCCAGCCCTGCCCTCGTTAGCGGGGTGCCCTCATGGGAGTGGCCTTGCCTCTGGGTGCCTTGTCTTTTGAGGGGGCATAAGAGTCTCATCTGCCTCCTGAGCTCTGCTGAGGAGGAGGAGCCGAGCTGTTTCGTGCGGGCGCTGGCAGGGCCTGGCGTGTGTGCAGCAGGCATCTTTGCTCCAGGCAGGGCGCGGGGCAACGGGAATGCGGTGACCCCAGGCTTCTGAGTTGGGATCAGACGAAAACCTTAGGGGGCTGGTGCCGGGATGGACCTCAAAGCAGGGGGTGGGGTGGGGGTCAGGGAGCCCTGGAGGGTGGGAGGCCAAGGGAACACCTGACCAGGCACCAAGGCCCCTGCCCTTGGGGACAGCTGGGGAGAGGGTGGAGCGACCCCGGCGTCGAGTGTGGATAAAGCTGTCATCCATCTACCCCAGTCCTGCTTCTGAGGGGCCCCCTCTCCTTCCCCACACTGGTCAGGCCATGAGCAAGGAGGGGCACCCCACAGGGAAGAGGGGGCCTCTTGCCCGGCGGCTGGGCTGACCTCCAACCTCTGACCCCTGACGGGCTGGAGCACCCCACATGAACAAGGCACCTGTGCAGCAGAGACCTGAAAAAGAAGCAAAAGAAACCCTCGGGGAGAAGCAGTGCCCCTCCCGTGCGGCTCCTGCCCCTGGCAGGCCTTCTTTCTCCAAATAGACCAAACATGGTAATTTTATGTACAAATCAAGCCACGCATTATACGTTTTTATGTTCTTATGTTAACAAAGTGACTTTGGATCCATCAAAGGCACGAGAAAAAGGCATTCCATTTATTTTTGCCCCCTGAACAGCCCTCCTGTCCATCATCCTCCCCGTCATGGCCCTGGCTGCACCTCCGGATGGATCCAGCCCAAGCCCCGTCACACAGCAGTGGCCCGGTCCCCCTTGGAATGGCGAGCCTGACCCTCCACCGCCAACCTCCTCTGACCTTCCGAGGCCCCTCTGACGCTCACACTGGTGAGTCCTTGGCCTGACACTCGGAGGCCGAAGAGGCTGTCACCTTCCACACCCCCATGCCAGGCCCTCTGCACAAGCCTGTCTCATTCCTCTCCCTTCCTTGAATATTTCCTGCCTCTTTGTTTCTACTCAAAATGCCCCTCACCTGCTCTCTGAACCCCCTGGTGAACTCCTACACATTCTTCAAAACCCGACTTGAAGCCCCCCTCCTCTGTGAAATCTCCCATCAGGGAGCTGACAAGTGCTATTACTGAGCACACTTTATGTGTGTCCTCTCTCAAAGCCAAAAGGGCACCTTGTACTGCCAGACAGGCAGGAGCTCAGAGCTGGGAGGAGGGGCCAAGGTGTGGGGAGGAATGGTGGGATTCCGTCCGTGGGTCAGGGTGAGCGGATGCAGAGGGAGGGGCTGCGCCTGCATGTGGGAGGTGCCCTGCTTTGGGGCGCAGTCAGTAGAGACCAGACCACAGAGGGCCCAAGGGCCCTGCATTCCGTTACACTTAGCAGGTCCTGTCCGTGGTCCCAAAGTGGCTGTGTCCTGGAGACCCTCACGGGCCCCAATGCTGACCTGCTGCCCTCCCCCTGAAGGCCCTCCTTGGGTCCTGGGCTGAGGACATTGGTGAGGAAGGGACGGGGACCGATACCAGGAGGCTGGGGCATGACCATGGCCAATACCCTCCTTATCTGGCTGCCCCCTGGGGAGAGCTTGTGGTTCCTGTTCAGATCCTGGCTGCCCTGGCCAGCTGTGTGACCTAGGGCAGGAGACGGGCCTCTCAGAGCCTGAGGTCATCGAGTTTCTGGGAGTGTGGTGTTGCCTTGCAGGGTGGCGGGGCGGCTGGTCCCGTGTGTAGGCTGTGATCCAGGATCCAGGCTGGCGGGAGGCGGGCCACCATCTGGATGTGCGTTTCTTGGTTTCTGTAAAATGAAGACGTGAGCCGGTGTGGCCCATGCGATGCATGAGTCTGGGGCATCCGTCGTCTCTTTGACCTCTGAGTGGGGGAGACACTCTTGCTAATGGTGGGCATTTTGACAGCCGGCAGAGTCTGGAGCCGGAGGCCAGGTGGGCCTGAAGCTGGCACAGAGCAGATTGGGTCCCCGAGGCCCGGGTGGGGTTAACTGTGGGTCAGGAGGCCTCTGTTGTCTGCTGCTGTGGGCTGGGCTGGGCTCCTGATGACAAAGGCACCTCCCAGCGCGCTTCCAACTGGGTCAGGGTGCATGGCAGTGGGGGGTGGCTGAGGGTGGGAGGGAAAGGCGGGGTGCCCAGCTCTCTGCTTGGGCTTAGTTTACTGGCTCCCACAGAGTGGCTCCGTTTTGCACCAGTGAGCCCAGTCCCCCACTCCTCCCTCCCTGCTCTCTCCTCCCTCCCGCTCCTCCCTTCTCCCTGCTCTCTCCTCTCTCCTGTTCCTTCCTCCTCCCTGCTCTCCCCTCCCTCCTGCTCCTTTTTCCTCCCTGCTCTCTCCTCCCTTCTGCTCCTCCCCCCTCCCTGCTCCTCCCTCCCACTCTCCTTCATCCCTGCCCTCCCCTCGCTCCTGCTCGTTTCTCCTACCTACTCCTCCCTTCCTCCTGCTCCTCCCTGTTCTATGCTCCTCCCTCCTTTCTGCTCCTCCCTCCTCCCTGCTCCTCCCCCTCCCTGCTCCTCCCCGTCCCTGCTCCTCCCTCCCACTCCCTCTTCATCCCTGCTCTCCCCTCCCTCCTGCTCGTTTCTCCTCCCTGCTCCTCCCTCCCTTCTGCTCCTCCCTGTTCTATGCTCCTCCCTCCTCCCTGCTCCTCCCCCTCCCTGCTCCTCCCTCCCTCTCACTCTTCTCTCTCCCTCTTCCTTCCCTCCCTCCTGCTCCTCCCTCCCTCTCCCTCCTCCTTCCCTCCTTCCTGCTCTTCATCTTCCTTTCATGGCTTTGGCTGTAGTTCCATCCCTGGGCTGAGTCCTCACTGTGAAACAGATGGTGCCAGTGCTGAGGCTGCCTTCATGGGGACCCCTGGTGGTTTGCCCCCGAGTGTGTCCCCTGTAGACCCCGCTCAGGGACAGGGCCCAGCACGAGCCAGGTGTGAGGAAGGGTTCTCTCCTGACCTGGGAGCTGGAGAGCAGAGGACTGTTGGGACCCAGGTTGGGAGCTAGGTCCACCCAGGAAAGGGGGCTGGTGGGAAGAGACAGCAGTGGCCACAGCCCCTCACGTTAAACCTGGAGGTTCCCCACAGACTGCAGCCCCCTTCACCCAAGGAAAGTGGCTCTAGAGTGCGGGGGAGGGGATCACTGGGATCCCTTATACAAGGACAGGTTTGTGGAAGTTACAAAGGGATGTCCTAGCTAGTGGCATGTTCAGAGTATGGATGTTTCAACTGGAAAGACCTGGGTTTGAGTCCTGGCTCTGCCATTTAAGAGTGGTGTAAGCTTGGGCGACGACTCAGCCTCTGTGAGAAGTGAATCATCAGCCTGTCTGTGTACACAGAGGCTTTATCCCACAAGACACTCTTTTCAAGGACTCCTACTTACCCTTCAAAACCCTGTTGCCAGGCCGCCTCATTCAGGAACCTGGTTAGAGGACTGGGCTCCCCGCCTCTGCCCCTTGTTACCTTGCACCTGGCTGCTATTATCACTCTTTGGCCTTCTTTCTCTCCCACCAAGCTTCATCCTGAAGTGAGGGGCTGTGACCTACTCATCCCTACATTCACCACCTCCGGTGCAGACCCGGGTCCAGAGCTCACGTTTAACACATGTGCTGAGCGCAGCCGAGCCACAGACCTCACCGGATCATCCCATGTGTGGATCACCCCCGACTGGCCAGCGCTGTGCACTGCCCTTTCCAGGACACACCCAGGCCCTCCAGGGCCCCCCTTCCCTGTCTCTACATGACAGAGTCCATCACAGGCCTGGATACTCAGTAGCTGCTCAAGAAAGACACTCTCTTTCAATCCCATCCCTAGCTGATCTTCCACTTAATCATCGAGGATTTGTTGGGCGTCTTGTGACAGGTGTGACTCTCCTGAAAGATGCAAAAGGGAAGAAAGCGGGAGCCTGGACCAACAAAGACCTGAGATGAATGAGACTGAGTGTTTGTCCCAATGGCTGTCATCACAGGGCCCTGGACAGCCCAGGGATGAGAGAGACAGAGACAGGGAGAGACAGTGGCAGGGAGAGCCAGAGAGAGGGAGAGACAGAGCCAGAGAGAGACAGAGACAGGGAGAGATATAGAGAGAGAGACAGCTAGGGAGAGTCAGAGACAGACAGAGCCAGAGACAGAGAGAGACAGAGCCAGAGAGAGACAGATACAGGGAGAGCCAGAGACAGATACAGGGAGAGCCAGAGACAGAGACAGACAGAGCCAGAGCCAGAGAGAGACAGAGACAGGGAGAGCCAGAGACAGGGAGAGACAGAGCCAGAAAGAGACAGAGCCAGAGAGAGCCAGAGAGAGGGAGAGACATAACCAGAGAGAGACAGATACAGGGAGAGCCAGAGACAGAGATAGGGAGAGCCAGAGACAGAGAGAGCCAGAGACAGGGAGAGCCAGAGACAGAGAGAACAGAGAGAGACAGAGACAGGGAGAAACAGAGACAGAGAGAGCCAGAGACAGAGAAAGACAGAGACAGGGAGAGCCAGAGACAGACAGAGTCAGAGTTAGGGAGAGACAGAGACAGGGAGAGCCACAGAGAGCCAGAGCCAGGGAGATACAGAGACAGGGAGAGACAGAGACAGGGAGAGATAGAGACAGGGAGAGACAGAGACAGAATGACAGAGACAGAGAGAGCCGGAGCCGGGAAGAGCAGAGCACAGCGCATGGGGAGAGAGCAGAGTGGCCTTGTTAGCCATTTAGGCACCAGGTTTTGGGAGTGGTTTCCATGCATTGTTTCTTCGACTGTTATTGGAACCCCAGGAGGTGGATGCCGTAGTCACCATTCTCTAGGTGTGAGGGTGGAGGTCCGGCGACTGGCCGCAGCTCAGGAATTGCGTGCATGGGGTCTGCATGGCCTCGGAGCCTGTGCTTTGAACTCATTGCTGTTCCCCCTGATAATGCATGTGTGTGCACACGTATCTCTGCATGCACGAACTGCCCGTGTGCACAGGTGTACACATATGTGGGCCTGTATATGTCTGCCTAGGTTCATTGATGTGTGTGTGCATGTTTGTCATGCCTTTGTGCACATGTGTGAGTGCGCATATACATACGTGTGTGTGTGCATGAATGAGTGTGTGGGTGTGCATGCATGTGCACATATGTGTGGGGGAGCATGGGGCCATACAGGTGTTTGCGTGTGCATGTGTGTACGTGTGGGGCACCTGCACGTGTGTGAATGTGTGTGTGTACCCACCTTGTGGACAGGCCCCATCAGGAGCAGGAAGTCGGCACTCAGCGGCCTCAGGTGAGGAGACAGGATAGAGAGAGACAGCAGCGGGGCCTGCAGGGCCCAGCCGGTGCCTGAAGCTGCCTGATGAGCCCGTCAGTTCCCCTTTGGGCCTCGCATAGGTTGGTTGGAGTTTCCATCCCTTGCACCCAGGAGCCGTGTCTAGGACAAGGCTGTCTTTACCCTGCCTGGACAGCCCCCACGGTCACATGTGGCTGTAAAGGAGGCTGGGAAATGTGGTCTTTGGCTGGGCAGACATTGCTCAGAGGAAACTGTGTTTCTATAGAAAGAGGAGAGAACGGAAATCAAGGGGACAACCAGCCATTCTGCCACCCCCCACGCAGGACTTGACAATCTAGCTCCTGCTGGCATTGCTGCCTCCCTGCGGAGCCTGTGAGTCTCCAGCGGCTGGTCTGCCTGGTGCCTCCCGGCCCGGTCTTCCACATGCAGCAGGCCCTCTTCCTGGAGCAGGTTTCAGCTCACACAAATCTGCACAAACCCTGGTCATCCTTAAAGCCCAGCTGAAGCACTCTCATTCCAGGCAGCTGGCCCTAACGCCCTCATCTGAGATAGCCACTCCCTGCTCATGGCTCCTGACAAATCTTTTCCTTCCTCTGCTCTCGCACAGCTGAACTTCACAAGAACTTGGAGCATCCCTTTCAAATGGAAGGGCCGGATCCTGCAGGTGGGTGCTGCGGCTTCTCACAGGGGCTTAGAACTCAAGGTCACTGCAGGTCTCTGGTGGAGGGGCAAGCTCTTAGGTGTCCCCATCTCACCCCTCCCGCAGCCTCCAATCCAAAGAGGAATTCGAGCTTGACTTGTTCTGGTTCCAGGACCACGAGGAGCCTCATTTGCTAGTGGGTAGAGTCACTGCCTGGGGAGGGACTGCTCTTCTCGGAGTCTGTCGGGTGCCTGACCTCTCTTGAGGCAGGTGGCGTTTGTCAAGACTCCATATTTTTGGTTGGGACTTAGGGACGGCCTCTAGATCTCCAGCTGGGACCCAGTGAGCAGCTGCACAACCTGAACTGGAGGCCCAGGCTTAAGCCCAGCCGAGGATGCATGGACATTCGCTCTCAAGGCGTGTGTCTCCCTTATGGGCCTTCATGGGGGAGGCCCGGGGTCTGAGCATTCCTGGGTCCTTTGCTGCCCCCTGGCTAAGAGCGGTCTGTCCTACCATGTTTCCCAATAGTAAATAGGCATCAAATAGTTGTTGAATGAATGATTGAGGAAATGATTGTTTCACTGAATTAATCCACTGCAGGATGACTTTGGTGAATGAATGAGCAGGTGACTGTGGGAATCCATGTGCAGGCGTGTGTCATATAGGCATGTGCCCTGCAGACGTGTGCCATATAGGCATGTGCTGTGCAGGCGTGTGCCATGTACAGGTGTGTGCCATGTACAGGTGTGTGCCATGTGCAGGTATGTGCCATATAGGCACGTGCTGTGCAGGTGTGTCCCATGTGCAGGCGTGTGGCATATAGGAGTGTGCCGTGTACAGGTGTGTGCCATGTGCAGGCGTGTGGCATATAGGCGTGTGCTGTGCAGGTGTGTGCCATATAGGCATGTGCTGTGCAGGCACGTGCTGTGCAGGTGTGTCCCATGTGCAGGCGTGTGCCATATAGGAGTGTGCCATGTACAGGTGTGTGCCATGTGCAGGCATGTGCCTTATAGGCGTGTGCCCTGTAGGCGTGTGCTGTGTAGGTGAGTGTCACACATAGGTGTGTGCCATGTACAGGCATGTGTTGTGCCGGTGTGTGCTGTGTGCAGACAAGTCCATATAGGAGTGTGCCATGCAGGCATGTGCCATGTGCAGGTGTGTGCTACGGGATGCTCCTGGCTACCTTGTTCCCACCCAGCAAGGCCCTGTCCTGGGCTTGTAGCTGAGCTCCAGGCCTCACCACCTGTTTGGAGATGCTTCCTTGGAGAAGCCGGACGCAGCTGCCCTGAGGGTCTGGCTGCCTTTCTGGGCACTAAGCCTGGATACTTCTGGTTCCCGGGGTCTCCATCACAAGCTTCGTATTGTTTCCCATAAATTACATTATTTACCTGCTAAGAGCTCTTCCTCCTGCAGGCCCCTGAGGAGGCTCTGGTGAACAAGCTGCCTTCACCTCCCAGCAGAGCTCGAACCTGCAGCCACCGTGGGGAGAGGCAGTGGCCTTGGTGGAAAGCACAGCTGGGAGGTCAGTCAGGCAGGGCTGTGAGGAGGCCCCAACACTCTGGGACTTAGGCAGGCTCACCTGGCCTCCATAGCCAGTTGTGGTAGGAGCCCAGGTGTGGGAGGGCGTGTGCACGGGTGCCAGCCCAACCTCCTATCCACGTTCCATTCCCCGCAAATCACGGCAGGATGTTGTTAAAACCTCCTCATGATGGGACTAACTCTCAGAACTGCCCAGTCAGGCAGCCTGTGCTGCTAATCCTGGCCCATGAGGATGATGCCCTCGTGGGGATGCCCTGGGACTTCTGCAGAGTCCCAGGAGCCCCTTCAGACAAGCAGTCCTTAAGGGGAGCCCAGCTCTGTTCCCCAGGTGGCCCCTAAGCTGAATCCTAATCCTATGCAGTTTGCTCTGCCGAGTGCCGCAGTGTGCTAGGGCCCAGGTGCCCCGGCCCCCAGAGGAGCAGGCTGTGCCACCCTGTGCAGTCCAGGGCCCAGCAGCAGCGGCACCCCTGGGAACCTGGGCCTGCCCAGACCCACCGCATCCCAGCCTGCACTGTCTGCGATGGGGTGTACAGGACCCAAGGGCACCTTAAAGTTTGGGGGGCTCTTGCCCCTTACAGCCCAGTTGGCAACTGTCAGAGAAACAGATGGTCATAATCTCAGGGTGCAGGGAGCCCCAGAAGCCCCTTGCCCTGTGTCCCCAGTGGAGACTTCCCACTCTTGCCTCTGGGGAATGTCGTGGCAATGGGCTCCCCATGGCCGGATGGGAGGTGAACGCTGCTAGGGCTGAGTCCCTTGTCAGTGGGGAGCCCAGGTGGGCTCTTGAACTCTGTAGGCCTGGCTGGAGTGGGCTCCCCTCCTGTGGGTCTCTCCCAGGTCTTCCTGATACTTCTCCTGGTCGGGTTCCCTCCCTCTGCCAGGATCCTGGGTATTGGCACCCTGGCCCACTCCCTGACAGCCCGGCCACACCCTGGCCCAGGGCAAGTGCAAGAACAGAAGCAGACCACGATCTGTGCCTCCACCTGTGCCTCCGTGCAGCCCTCGCCCTGGCTGTGCCTCCGTGCAGCCCTCGCCCTGGGGTTCCACCTGATGTCCATCCTTCACCTTGCCTGCCCTGAGGGGGATTCAGAGAGCCCCTCTGAGCTTCAATTGTGTGTACCTACTGGGTGCAGACCCTATGCTGGGTGACAACCCACGGTGCAGCTCTTCCTCCCAGAGCCTACACAGGTGGAAGGTCGCAGGGCTGGAGGCGCAGGAGGTGGGTAGGGAGCCAGGTGGCAGGAGGTGGACCAATGCCTAACCCAGGTGGGCAGAATCACACTCTCACCCCTTCCCGCCCCTCCTGGGAACAGCCTAAGTAGGGCTGGCCTGGGGAGGAGGTGGGGCCACAGAGGAGCCCTTCCTTTCGGCAGAGGCCATGGAGGAGGGGCTGGGCTCCTGAGAGCCCAGGGGAACGTTCAGAGAGGCCAGGGAAGGTCTGGGTTGGGCGGACAGGAGCAGGGGCCTGGCCCTGATGGGACCTGAGCCCCAGCCCCCTCAGTAGCCCCACTCTCCTCATCTCTAACGTGGGCTAATGTTGACAACAGCTCTGCGGACTGCTTTGCAGCCAGGGCAAAGCAGGGAGGGCCTGCATGGGCAGCTGAAGGTGCCTGTGTCTGGGGCCCCCATGCTCCTGCTGGGGGCATGGCCAGTCCCCCATTCAGGTAGGAAAGAACAGAACTTCAGCCTGGTAGTGGCAATGGGATTTCTTGTTTGTATCTTCCTTTGATCTTTCAATCATTCATTAAGGTTTATTGAGAATTTTCTATATGTGGCACAGTGTTCTAGATCTTGAGGATTCTCCCTCAACTGGGAGAGAAAAGAAAGAAGATGGGCAATGCATAGGCCATCAGCGTCCTGTGAATATGCTGGAAGGGTTAGAGGCTGGCTGGTGTCATTGGAGGTCAGGGGAAGCCTCTCGGAGGAGGAGACATTTAAGCTGAGTCCTGAGTCCAGGCACGTTAGGATCTGGTGGGCTGGAAAGTTGCAATGAGATGGAGGCTCTGGGAACACCTGTGGGGGTCATGATCATGGTGCTGGTGATAGTGGAGGTGTTGATGGTAACGATAGTGGTGGTAATAATGGATGAAGATGATGATAGTGATGGTGATGGTAATGATGGTGATGAGGTAGTATTGATGGTGATGTTATGGTGGTGGTGATGACATTAATGGTGATGATAATAGTGATGATAGTGCTGGTGGGAATGGTGGTGTTGATAGTGATGCTGGTGGTGAGGGTGGTGATGATGGTGAAGATTATGTGGGTGATGATGATGATGATAGTGGTGGTGGTAGTGGGTATAATGGCAAATGCAGTGGTAATCATTGCAGTGGTAGAAGCTATTTATTGACCTTAAATAAATGGCAGCTCTGTGCCAAATACTTTGTTATGTATCAACTCATTTAATCCCCACAATGAGATAGATGCTAATATTTACTCATTTTACAGATTAGGAGACTGAGTCCCAAAGAGGGGCAGTCGCTTGCCCAAGGCCATGTGGCTGTTAGTGTTGGAGTCAGAATTTGAAGCCAGGGAGGCTGATCTTGGAACACCTGCTGTCAACAGAAACTTCTGACAAAATACAGAGGACTGCCATGCCTTCCGGGGTGTTCTCCCAGAGATGCCCCTTCTGCTATCCTGCCTGTGCTGCTGCCCTGATCATTACTGCAAATGGCTGGATTCATCTTTGTCAAGTTTGCACTTTCACCAAAGTTTGAATTAACGTCGACATTAATTTGCTGATGAAGCGCCTGCAGTAGGTCATATAGCGTGAGCACCTGTGATTTCCAAGGAAATTATTGTAATGTGCTAAATGGGAGATTTAAAGGTTAGTTGTTCCCCTGCAATCTATGAACTGTTATATGAAAAAGTCATAACTGAAATAATTGAAGTGTCAGAAAGAAAAAAAAGGATAAGAAATCCAATCAACAATTCTCTTATCCCTTACCTATCATCCTGATTTTATTTGGTATTTTGGCACTGCACCAATGCTGGAATATTGCTGTGGGCAGAGGGTGAGGGGAGGAGGGAGAGAACCTCAGAAGCACAAGTGATGTAGCTGGGAGCCTGGTTACTAGAGCCTGGTTGTTGGAGCCTGGTTACTGGAGCCTGGTTACTAGAGCCTGGTTATTGGAGCCTGGTTACTAGAGCCTGGTTATTGGAGCCTGGTTACTAGAGCCTGGTTATTGGAGCCTCGTTACTGGAGCCTGATTACTGGAGCCTGGTTATTGGAGCTTGGTTATTGGTGCCTGGGCTCTGGTTTTGTGCAGGCAGTAGGCCCCTTATCCCTGGAGGTATTCCGGAGTCCCACGGGTGGTCTCCTGGACGAGGTGCTGTGGTTGGTGACCTGGGAGATGCCCAAGGTGCTTTCTAGCTTTGAGCTTTTAGGGTTTTGGAGTTTTAGGGTCTGTTCCAGAGAAACAAAGTGGCTTCTCCGTGGCCAACACAGCAACATCAGCATGGGGTCCAGGCCTTGGCAAGTCCAGTCCTGGCTCATTCTGGCTGAGTACAGGGAAGAGGAGCTGGGGAGAAGTGTGGCAGGTGGGCGGGGGTCAGGCATGCTGGGGAGCGGGAGAGGCTGGAGACCAGCCTGGGCTGAGTGCAGGATGAGGAGGAGGGCACGTGTGCTCAGGAGCTTTGAGGAGTTAGCACTGCAATTCACGGAAATGAATAATACATTAAAGGAACATTAAATGGCATCAAAGCCAGAAATGATATCTGGCCAGGAGCCCAGAATCTATAAACAGCTTGGCTTGGTCTTGGGGCCAGGTTTCCAGAGAATCCAGGTCCGGGCAGAGCACATCTGGCCTGAGGCTCTGGGCTCCCAGAGGCCAGCATTACAGGTGAGTAGAGGCAGGCAGCCAGCGGTGGGGCGTGACACCAGCTGACACCGGCAGCCCCCACTGAATGCTCAAACCTCTTTCCTGCCAGGGCCCGACTCTTCACCATTCCTGGATTTGGGGGCAGGGCTGTGGACAGTAGGGGATTCAGCATGGCCCTGCGCAGCTGCCTCCTAACCTCGGCGTTCAGAAGCGTCTGAGGGTCTTGTAAATGGGCAGCTTCTCACTCAGCAGGGCAGGCGGGCCTGGGATGCTGCAATCTAATGCCCGCCCAGGTGGTGCTGGCTCTGCCGGTCCTCAGACCACACTGAGTGGTGAGTCCGATGAAGGACCCACCAACTAACACAGTTTTTCTGGATTCTTTGCCACTTTAGACAGGAGAGCTTGTAGTTTCTAAAGCCATTGGTGTCAAGCTGCTAAGATGTGCAGTCTGAAGGTTCTGGGAGCCGGAGAACAGATTTGTCTTGGAGGGGGCGTGAAAGGAGAGTGGGGGCCGGGGCAGTAGAGCTCTGGGTTCGTATTTTGGTTGTCTTTTTCTTGCTGTGTGTCCCAGGGCAAGGTAATTAACCTGCCTGAACCGTCTTTTTCTCATCTGCGTGGCGTATGTGATACTGACGTATAATATTACCTAATACTATAGAACAGTAACAGCTAAGCCGAGTCACAGTGATGCCTGAGCCACAGGTGGTGGGAGGAGAATAAGGAGTCCCTGGGGATGTAACCGCGAGGCAGGGAGATGAGAGCTGGTTCTCGGGGCTGCCTTAGGGGGGCTCCCAGGGGAGAGGGCCTCTGCCCCGAGAGTCTGGCAGGATCTGCCTTGGTGCCTGGACAGGGTCTGGGAGGGTGGCAGGCCGCCCCGCTCAGTCACCAGCCCCCTCGTGTCATGGCAGTCAGGGTCACTGGGGGGCTTCCAGCCAGGAGCTGCCTGACGTGGGCTCAGGAGGGAACCCAGAGAAGGGGGCCCATCTGCAAGTCCACTCTAGGGTTCCAGCAGCTCCAATGAAAGCCCCCTCTGACCTCCCCGCAAGCCCCTTCCCCTCACCAGCACCCCACTGTCATTGCAGACATGACAATGTCACATTGTCCCTAACAGGGTTTGATTCTACTTTGAGTGCCTGTATCCTGACTGCAAATGAAAAGGCTCCTATTTCTTATTTATTTATTTTTCCCATAAATAGAAGGAAACAGTAAAACGAAACCCGGTGAAAACAAACCAGCTTACTTCATTCTGGCCTGGGGCTTTGGCCTCTGAAGCCTCCCAGCTGGAGGGGAGAAGCCCAGAAAGGGACTCCCTCTTGGATGAGGCTGAGCAGTCATTCAGGTTACTCAGGGACCTGGCAGGGTCCCGCCCACCTGGTGGAAAGCCTGCGTCCACTCCTGCCAGGTTCAGAAAAGGCCCAGCCCTGCCAGCCAAGAGTGCCTCTGTACCCCCACCCTTGCCCCACACTCCCCTGCTATGACTCACACCAGGCCTTTCCCGGTGCCCTCCCCACGGTGGCCTCTAAAGCAGGAGACAGGGGCCCACGGTGAACTCTGGGGCTACAGAGGTGAGTTCAGGCCCAGACTGCAGGGCAGGTGGGGGAGAAACAGGAAGGCACCTGCCCCTGCCTGCCCCACAGCGGACCCAGGGCCAGCCCCCGAGCCACGGCCGGCGGTGGGGAGGGGAGGCATGCGGCTCTCGGGTTCCTCCCTCTCACCGTCCACAGCCACAGCATGGCCACCGGGCCCCAGGTGGCAGCTAGTGAGCCCAGCCAGTGTGCGTTCCCCTGCCTTCTACCTGCAGGGCGTCCACACCCCTGCCACCCCCAGGCCCAGGCCCTGACCTTTCAGGCTGTGGTCTGGGGCCTTATGAGTTTGCTGAAGCAGACGCCAGGCCCAGCTGCACTCTCTTCCCACTTTCCAGATGGGGAGACTGAGGCCAGGGGAGGTGAAGAAATGGCTTAGCTCATGTCCCACACTGGAGCGGGGTGGGCTGAGGGCAAAGCTGGGGTCCTGAGAACAGGGGTCCATGGAAGATGGGAGGCAGAGATCAGGGCTGATGGTGGCCCCCAACTGCCTGGCTGCATATCTCAATGTCAAGGTCAGACGTGGCTTCTGCAGGAAGATTCCAGGTCCCTGGGGCAGTGGCAGGCCCCTCACCCTGGGTGCCCTGTATTCCAGGCCCACCTCCTCGACGAAGTGTGTGAGGGCTCCTGGTGGCAGATCCTGCCCCTGAGAGCTGGGCAGTCCTGGATAGAGGCAGGATGGCAGAGCCAGGGAGAGGAGCGTGGGGACCACGGTGGAGGGGCGGCCACGGGCCCTCCGAGAGCTCTGGGACGGGAGGGACAGGCCTCTCATCTGCTGTGGTCTGTGGAGGCTGCAGCCAGCTCGGCCAGGGCTTGGCCTGTCCCTTCTAGATCCGTGTGCCATGTGCAGTCAGGTGGGCCTGGGCTTGCATCTGTGCTGGGTGACCAGAGCCAAGTCACTCAGCTCCTCAGAGCCTCAGTTTTCCCACCTCTACAATGAGGCAGAACATCCGTTCTCTATCACGGCGTCGCAAGTTATCCCAAAGCTCATGGTTCGAAACAGGCAGCGAGTGTGGAGCAGGAGTCCAGCTCTGAGGTGGCTGTGGATCACTGTCTCTCGTGGGCTGGGCAGAGCCGTGGGACTGGAGCCTTGGGCTTATCCGAAGGCTCAGCTTGGGGGATTTGCTCCCAAACTCACTCGCAGGGCTGTCGACTTAGCTCCTCGACACCTGGGCTTGTCCACAGGGCTTCCCCCCAGTGCAGCAGCTGGCACCACCCAGGATTCCAGAGAGAACCAGACAGCATGACCACGTTGGAGCCACAGGCTTTGCAACCGGATCTCAGGAGCCACATCGCATCTTCTCTGCTCCTTCCATCCCTAGAATCCAGTCCTGAGTCACGCAGTCCAGCCCACATCAGGGACAGGGGACTGCGCTGGCTATGAGCACTGGGGGCCACCCCTAAGGTACCCACTGTGGCGGCAGCAGCGCCCTACTACGCAGAGTGGCCTTGAGAAATGAGAATCTGCGGCTCAGTGCCCAGCCTCCCAGCGCTCGCGGCTCAGCGAGTGTGAGAACCAGCTCCTCCTGTGTGTGCCTCCTCCTGCTGAATCACAGCTTAATTCCTCAATGTCGATGCCTCCCATATCCCAGGCTCTCTCTCTGGTGTTGAGGGACACTCAGATGAATGAGATGTGGCCCCTGACCTGGAGAATCCCACAATTAAAGTGGGGCGTGGCAGGTGCTTTGATGTGGGGGAGGCAAAGGGGAGGCGTCCCGCAGCAGGGAGCAGCATCGCATGTGCCCGGGGGCCCCCAGGTGGGCATCCTCCTGTCAGAGCCCCTCCGGTGAGCCCAGACGCAATGGGATGATTAACCCGTGTTCAGCACTACCGAGCCGTGAATCTCGATGAGCCGGTGTGTGCTGCCTGTAAGTGAGCCTTATGTAACAGGGATGCTGGAGCAGCTGGCGCCCGCACACAGCCCTTCTTTTAAAATAGATTGCTTGTCTTTATATAGCCCAATGATTCTTTCTTCTGGCTCTGCCGTCTTACAGAGGCGCTGATGTAGGTCAAATATTGCTCGGTGAGAATTAATTAATCTATAATTGTATTGAAGGAAGGGGAGAAAAACAAGTAGATGCTCAGTGCGCTATACGGGTCGGGGAATAAGCTTTGCAGAGGAAGTTTTAGGAGAGCCGCGGCCACTGCTCTCTCAGACTTGCTGGCCCTCGCCCTGCCCACCGCCCGCCCAGGGCCCCCAGAGAGTACGGGGCTTGGAGTTAGCTCTGAGCTCCAGAGGCTCCGCAGTCCCCAGCCCCAGCAGGAGCATCACTTGGCCTGCTCTGGACCACCCGTGACAGGAGGCCTGGGCTCCCCTGTCACCGCCCGGGTCCTGCTCCTCACCGAGCTGTCCCCTCCCGTCTGCCCTGCCCCTCCTCCCTCTCACCCCTGAACCCACCTGGCCAGGTGTTTGATCCATGGGGACATCCTAAGAGCACTGCTGACCTCCTGCTGCCCGAGTCCCAGGCCCATTCCCGGCTCTCATCTCCACCAGCTCCCCGGCTCCTTCTGGCCCACAGCAGCCCCAGGTCTCCCACGTGCCCATCTCAGACCCTCTGTCCCCTTCCCCGCTGAAATCCTGCAAGCTGCCCCTGGGGCCACCTGTGGCCCAGGCTGGGAGAGACTTGCTCTTGGAGTCAGGTGCACTCTGGGAGGCTGAGGTCCAGGAAGTCCTGGCGTCTGAGTGGGGGGCCTGCTCTGGGGAGGCCCACACCTTCTCACAGGAGCAGGGCCAAGGGGGCGCTGGGGTGGAGGCACTGCCTCCTTTCTCGGTGAAGCCCCATCCAGGCTGCCCACATTTGGCACTGAGACGCCCCTTTCCCAGCCTCTCGCCTGAGCGCCATGGCCCTGGCACTCATTCAGCAGTCCCTGACTGGGTTCTGAGGATGTGTCACCAGGGGCCTGCTGGCTTCAGAGAGGGTCCGGAACCTTCTGTTACTACTCAAAGCACCAATGAATCCAGGCTGAGCATGGGGGCCTCAGGGGCGACAGCAGGGAAATGGCCGCACTGAACATGGACCAGGGCCGGGTCTGTATCTCCCAGTGAGGCCCTCAGGTAGCCAGTGCCAGTGTTCCCAGGGACCCAGGGACATGTGTTGAATGCCCGTCCCCCGGCCCCACTCCAGGCCTTCCATGCCCAGGACAAAGCACGGGGGCCCAGCTCACAATGAAGGATCCTGGGATTCTTGAGAGCTGAGGTGGTGGGTGCTCCTGATTCCGGGGGAAGGTTCTGGTTCCTGCAGCTTTGACAAACCCCAGGGCCAGGCCTCACCCCCAAGCCACAGAGGCAGCCCCTCTGGGAGCAAGTCCGGGGCCGGAGGCTCGGGGGTCACCTCGTGCTTTTCCATCGCAGCTTGGGCTCGGGGCCGTGGGCCTGTGGCCTGGCTGGTGAGCTGCGGCCAACCCCCAGGCCTGCCCCAAGTGGAGTGTGGACCCACAGAGGAGCCTCCCCAGGCTTCTGTCTCCTCCTCAAGACCCAGGCCTGGCCCCTAGCAGGAGGCAAAGGCAGAGACCCCTCCCTCCCCTGGTGTCTGGCAAGGTCTCGTACCTTCCCCGGGTTGCTGATCCCGGGGAATGCTCCTGCTTCTGGCGACACTTGTTGCCTTGTCTTACACAGAACCCCAAACCCAAAGACGCCCATGAGAGACACAAGCTCATTGCCATGGTGGGTTGTGGTGGGTTGAGGCAGGAGGCGTCGCTGGCACCAGCTGTGTGCTGCTGGCTGAGGCCTCACCGGGATCTGCTTCAGTACCCGAAGCTTCACCCTCAGACACACCTCTTGGTGAGGACAGCTCCTGAAGGCCCCCATGGCATGCGGGTCCCACATAGAACAGGTGGCCGCCCGTCTGCAGGAGGCCTGTGCAGGGTTTTCTCTACCTGGCCCAGTGGAGTTGCTTCCAGAGCAACTCAGCACCTCAGAGCTGCTCATCCTGCTTTAACAAGTGGGGAAACTGAGGCTTGGGAGTGAGAATTGCCCCAAGGCCTCACGGCTGGCAAGTGGCAGAGCTGGGGTGGGATCATCCCACCCTTGGACATGAAGTCTGGTTCTTTCCTCTGTAAAGGGGTGCAGTGTCAACTGCTGTCTGCATGGAAGTAGAGTCTGGATGCAATGGCCGCGGGGCTGGGGGGGACTCAGGTGAGGGGATACACTGGCTGGTGGGGGGGTGCCCAGGTGAGGGGATGCACTGGCTGGTGGTGGGGTGCCCAGGTGAGGAGATGCACTGGCCACAGTGGGACTCAGGTGAGGGGATGAACTGGCTGGTGCTGGGGGGTACTCAGATGAAGGGATGCACTGGCCCGGCCAGCTCAGGGCCCTCAGGTGAGCGGCCGCCCAGGCCTTCACACTTTGGGAGTGGCTGTTCCTTGGCCAAGGGGAATTCTCCTATTGAATCAGCCGTGAGTGCTCCTGTAGAATTGCGGACCCTGTGAGAGAATGTTTTTATCCAGAACAAATTGAGAGGCTCCCCACCACGTGCCTTTCCAGTCACTTCTCCCATTTCAGCCTCAGTTTCCCTCCCTGTAAAACGGGGCTGTTGGAAGGACGAGGGAGACCTGGGCCCGGAGCGGTGGTCGTGGTGGCTGCCCACGCTGTCTTCTCTGCGTGCACCTCCTCTCTGGAGGCCAGGCCCAGGGTCCTGCCTTCCTCCTCCTCCTTCCTCCTCCAACAGGGAGACTCCGCAGCGCCAGGCCGTGCCTCCTCCCAGGAGTTTCGTTCTTGTTCACTGTGGTACAAATGTCAGGGAAGAATTTAAATGAGGGAAACCGTCTCAGAGAGTGTGTTCTGGCAGGATTTCAGGACACTTGTAATTAAGGGTGCAGCGAGGAGGGACCGACCCCACAGCGAAGGGAGGGCTGGCGCCGGCAGGCGGGGCCCTCAGCTGCCTCTGCTTCCTCTCGGTGCCACCGTGACCCCAGCCTCCGGTCTGCGGCTGAGCTGCCCCTCTGAGCTCTGGAGCGGAAGTGGGGGTCTGATGGAGGGGGCTGGCCACGCAGTCCCCTCAGACCCTGCCCATCACTTGCCCCTCCCTGACCCCTCCAGACCCCCCTTGGGGTCTCTCTAGGCAGCCCTGCTAGAGGGGCCCACCTGTGCGCAGCCTTTGGCCATGGCCTCTGCTTGGCGGACCTGAATTCTGGAGCCCCTCCCACCCTGCTCCGGAGCGGTCGCCAGCGCCCCGGGCCCCTGTCCCTCCAGTGACAGCGGCTGTCTCTTCAGGGTCAGAGGGTCGGGCCCCCTACCTGCAGCAGCCTGTTCTCCCCAGGCCCAGGGGCAGCCTTGGAGGGGCATGGAGACCCAGCTCCGGAAACCCTGGGGGCCGGGAATGGGAAGGGGCAGGCCGGGAAAGGGATGTGGACATCTATTTAGCGCTTACTGCATGCTGCCCTGTGTTTGGCACGCATCGTCTCATTAATCCCTCAGTCTTGGGCGTGGCTCCTAGTCAACCCATCTTACAGGGGAGAAAATGGAGGCCCAGAGGGGCTTCAGGTACTGGTCCAAGGACACTCAGAGGCTGGGCAGGGTGGAAGGTCACTGACTGAATGCCTACTGTGTGCAAGGTTCTTCTGCTCTGGTTCATCGTTGGAGTCTGGCTCTGTCCCGGGGCTCAGGTGTGGAGCTTGCGGTCTTCCTCCAGCTCGTTCAGGGGCTGTGGTGAGTTTTGTGGTTTGGGGGTGGCTGGATGCTAGCCTCAATCTCGAGGGGCTCATGGTCTAGAGTGGATGACCGGCTGCCATAACACCCTGTGGGGATAGAAGTCAGGGAGGAGCCCAGGGTTCTAGGGTGTTCGTGGAGCAGAGAAGAGGGCCCGGCAGGCTGCCTGGAGGAGGTGAGCTCTGAGCAGAGTCCTGGAAGACCACAGGGACTGTGGGTAGAATGTTTATGGGTGTGCAGGGAGTGGGGAAAAGGACGGGGGCAGGGAGCCCGTGTTGGGGCCTGACCAGGGCTCCACCGCAGCAATTATGAGCAGCCGGGATTGGAATTCTGGACGGTCGCCTTCCAAAATCCCCCAGGTGCCGCAGCCCCACCTTCCAAAGAAGGAAATGAGAATCCGAGAAGGGCCGGGATTTGTCCAGATCAGGGACAGATCTGACCCGAGTTAAGATCTGAGTTGAGGCTCAAGGCTCTCCCTTGTGAAAATTAAATGAGATTTAAACCAACTCAGCCTTAAAAAAACAAAAACAACACCCCCCACCCTGCCCCTGAGCTGTCTTCAGCCCCATTAGGGAGAGTGAGAGAGCAAGGGTCTGCCAGTGAGGAGATGGGGCTCCGTGAATGTAATTAATCACTTTTCAATTAGTATTCAGGAGCTTTTGTCTGAGGACTTGAAGCAGGTTAGTTCCAGATTGCAGCGCCAGGGTTTTCGGATGCATTTTTATAAATGTTGTGAGCCGAAATAGAACGCTGGGAGCTGAGCAGGCAGCCCCAACCAAAGGGAACAGAAATGAAGCCCCACAATGAGAGAAGTGATTGGGAACGGGGGCGTCTCGCCTGACACTCTGCAAATTCCTGAGCCGCAGTGCAGGAAGGGCTGGGCCTGCAGCCTGGGAAGACTCTGGGATTCAGTCGGTGCTCCATAAACGCTCCTGGAGTGCTGAATGCTCCCCACAGGGAGATGGGTAGGGTATTCTTGGCGGCTCTCAGGGAAGGTTTGGGATTTCGGAAAGGCTGTTCTGAGGGTGCGGGAGCTGGTGGTCCCTGGCTGTCAACCACGTGCCAGGAACTGTGTGGGGTGATATTGACCACATCTCTTAAATCTCCAAGGATGGAGGGTCCCGTGAGTACCAGAGACGCAGGCACTGCTATCCCATTTCACAGATGGCAGGCTCAGGGTCCGGCGCCCTTCAGGGAGGGAGAGTTGATCCTCGGTGAGAAAGAGCATCCGGTGAGTGCCAGGCAGTGGGTCTGGCTGGAGGACAAGTGCCTGCCGGGAATCGGGGGCCACACACGTTCCACTCTATCCAGCTGGCTGTGAGATCCTGGGGACCTCCCCTGGCCTCTCTGGGCCTGGGCCTGTAACATGGGAGTAGCTAGGGGCCCCTGGAAGCACCAGAGCCAGAGCAGGTGCAGGGATCACCCATAGCCTCGCCCTGCAGAGCGAGCTCCCTGTGTCCAGGCATCCCTGCAGGTGCTGGGTGGCACTCTGCTGCCCGAGAGGACAGAAGCACTGCTTGGGTGGCACTCTGCTGTTGGAGGGGACAGAAGCACTGCCCAGGTGGCACTCTGGGCCAGGTCATGTCAAGAATCCCTCTCTGTCCTGAGACTCAGCTTCTCCAGGCATGATGCAAAAGGACAAACAAATAAGATGCACCCTCCACCCTGACCCCTGCGGATGGTTTCTCCACCCGTAGCCACCCCAGCTCCCCCTAGCCAGGTGGTCTGTCTGATACCACAGGGCCCCAGCACCAGGCTGGGGCTGTTTCTGTTCTTTTCCAGTGGTCGGGTAGCTGGGCCTGTGAGTTCAGGGGACGATGGCCATGGGGGATGTCATGGACTGAATTGTGTTCCCCAAGTTCACATGTTGAAGTCATAGCTCCCCCTAACTCAGAATGGGATGTTATTTGGAAATAGGGTCATTACAGATGTAATGAGTTCGGATGAGGTCACTAGGGTGGGCTCTAACCTAGTGTGACTGTGTTCTTATAAAAAAGGGCAATTTGGGGACAGGCATGTATGTAGAGAGATGCCATGGGAAGATGGAGGCAGAGGTAGGGGTGAGGCTTCCACGAGCTACCGAGTGACAAAGATGGCCTGCAAGGCCCAGAAGCCGGAGTGGGGGGCCTGGGACAGTGTCCCTCATGGCCCCAAAGGAAGCGGCTAACCCCTGCTTATGCCTCGTTCTTGGACTTCCAGCCCCCAGGTTGGGAGACAATCAGCTTTGTTGCCTGAGCTTCCCATTGTGGGCCACTTTATTACAACGGCCCCAGGAGACGAAGGCAGCCAGGTGTGCAAGCCCGGGGGTCCGGGTGGGCAGGGACCGAGGGACAGCTTCCCAGCAGGGGAGTGGGAAAGCAGGCACTTCCAGCAGGAAGGTTTTTGGTCTGGGCACCCCTGGCCTAGGGCCAGCCCTGAGAAGCAGGCAGCAGAGGGGCCAAGCCAGGCTGCACTGTTGGCTGCAGGGTCGAGGGAGGGGGCAGCACCCACAGAGTCCAGGCTTCCGGGCACTCGGGCTCCTCCCTTAGGGCACACACGACCCCCAACAAAGGATCCTGATGAGTCATTGTGGGAGTCGCAGCCACTGGGCTGCCTGCAGAGTAACACGGGCCGGGGGTTGCACAGCAGCAGCGCACTTCTCACAGCCTGGTCAGCTCCGCCTCTCTAGTTTGGGAGTGCCCAGGCCCCTGCAGCAAAGGGCCCATCGATCCCTTGTCTCCGAGTTATTTGTGCATTTGTATTCTCAAGATGGAGTTTGACCTTTCGGTTTAACAGCTCATTTAGTTAATCACCGCTGCAGAAGACCTGACAAGTTCTTTGTGGTCCTAGCCGGGATGCCAGGGCCAGACGCCTCTCCTGCCTTCCTCGCCGGAGCTCCAAGTCTGACTTTCCACGTTAATTTCCTCATTACCAGGAATTAGTTTGTAAACAGCGGAGGAAACTTCAAGGTCTTTGTCTTCTTAAGGACACTCATTATTCCCCATCGAAATTCAGAGCAGGGATTTGGACAGTGTCCCAATGCTGAACACTCACCAGCGTCGCGATTATTAATTCTTTTATAAATAACTCGATCTTCATCATGGCCGCATATTATTTATGATAACTGTTATATTATTTAGATGTCATCGGCTCCATATTAATTACAGCTGCTGGCAGGGTTGTCAGCTGCAGAGAGAGGTGGCCTCTTCTGTCTGGGATCAAGGTGATTCCAGCCCCTGAAGTCCTTTCTCCTCTGTCCTTCCCATAGTTTCTGCTCTCGTCGCCCAGTTTTGGGGGTTCCCAAGCAGCAGACAGCCAGCTGACATTGTGCAGCAAATAAGAGGGTCTTCCTAACTGATGGCGTCAGGAGGGTCTTTCTCTGCTGTCCGGGGCTGGCCCGGGGCTCACAACCCTGAAATTCCTGGGATGCAAGATGGCAGACTCAGGTGGGTGAGGCTGGACCGAGCTCTTGTTGTGAGGACAGCTGTCTGTGTCCACGGAGGCCCAGCCTCCAGGTTGGTGTGTGAGTCTCCTTTACAGCCTTGTTGGGTGGAGCCTCGCCCATCACCATCACAAGCGGGTCCCAGCTGGTCGCCTAGCACCATCTCCTTCCCCCTGAGCCATCCTCCAAAGAGCTACCGGGGACCCGGTAAGACCTCACCGTCCAGGGAGCCGGCCACTAGCACACGTGAACACTTCAGTTGACATGGAAATTAATTCATTTTAAATTCAGTAACAGAAGAGATGGCTGGGAAGCTGGGTTTGTACCCTGGTGCCATCCTTCTCCTCGTGAGCCTGCTCCGGCCCGGGGCCTTGTCTTTTGTCATTTCCTTCAATACCAGCTGCGGCCCCGTGAGGTGAGGCCTTGTGTGAGTCGCCGCTATTGGGCTGTGTACACAGTAACACCGCCCGGGCGGCTTACACAGCAGCAACATGCTTCTCAGGGCCCTGGAGCCGGCAAGTCCGGCATCACGGCACTGGCAGGGCTGGTTCCTCCTGGGGCCTCTCTCCTTGGCGTGTGGACCACGTCTTCTCCCTGAATCCTCACACGGTCGTCTCTGCATGTGTGTCCTCATCTCCTGTCCTTATGAGGACCGTGGTCGGATTGGGTTAGGCCCCTCTGACCCCTGTATGACCTCATTTTAACCTAAGTACCTCTGTAAAGACCCCAGCTCCAAATGCAGTCACATTCTGAGGGACTGGGGAGGAGGCTGCAGCCTTGGAGTTTGTTGAGCATGGTGGGCACAGCCTCCCCCCAGCAGTCATGTTGCCCGTTATGGGTAGAGGGTGGTCTCAGGAAGAGAAGTGACCAGGGCTGCTGAGTTAGGAGGCAGGACTGGATGCAGGTGCAGTTTCCAGTGAACGTGCTGCCTCCCTGAACCCAGACCCCATGCTTCAGGCCTCAGTTTCCCCACCTACAACACAGGTGCATTATTACCTCTTTCACCTGCCAGCTTTGGGATTCGATGAATGATTCACCCAATTTCTCAAAGGTCTTTCTCCTTCGCTCCCTTGCTCACTCCCTTAGTGTGCGTGGAGCCGCCCTGATGTGCAGGCATCGCCCTGGGCACAGGGACCCCTGGGGCGAGCAGTGAGGGCTCCTGCCCTTTTGGGTTTACTGACCAGCAGACGCGGCAAATGGGCCAACAGTGGCTCAGGAGAGTGGACAGTGCCAGACAGCCTCATCCTCACAGACACAGGGACACAGCATGGGTGAGGGCTTCCCAGAGGAGGCATCCTCCATGGGGATCAGAGCAGTGGGTCTGGAACCCAGGCCTCTTTATGTGGGAGGAAGGTGGAGTGCTGCCAGCCGCTCTGGGCCCAAGGCGAGGACTCACCCTGGGAACGCAGGGGCGTCCTGAGAAGAGGGTGGCCCAGCCAGCCTGTGGGTGCCCCAGCTGGGTACACTGTGTGGGTGGCCGTGGGTCAGCTGGGCTTCCCGGGGCAGATCTGGGCAGGCCTCTCCCCCCCTGCAGAGCCTCCACCCTCACCCTTCTGAGTCATTTGAGGAATTTGCATGCATTGTTCCTGATGAACCTTGATTGTTCCGGAGCCAGGTTCTGAATCGCAATGATATGCACCGGCGCGGCCTCTTACTGAAGAATCCCCACCAAGATCCCACCTGGCATCCCCAGCGAGCGTCTGGCCCCTCTGCCTCCTCTTATTCCTCATTATCAGGGGCCCAGGGTGAGGGTTGCTAGCTCTGCTCCTCCTCCCTCGCTGAGCGGCGTGCCCTCTGTGGGTGCTGGGGGCTGGCCAGCCTTTGACAGCCCTGGAAAAGCGGAGGGATTCCATTATGGAGGGCGACACCTGGGCGTCCCCTGATGGCAGGCGTCTGCCACCCCAGCAGGCCATATGCCTGTTCTGGAAGCTTCCTGGGCTTCAGATGGGGAGGAAGGCTGTGAAGGAGAGTGGGGAGGGTGGCTAGTGCTTCCCGAGACACAGGCGAGAAAACCCAGGCTTAGGGAAGCCCGGCAACCAGCTGCCCCCCAGGCCCTGGCCATGGGGACTATGCCCGTCACCCTCACTGTGTGCTCCGAGAGGGCTAAATCAGGGGTGCTCATCCCTACCCCAGAAAGGGACTGCATGTGGCTCGGGCCTGGAGCTGTCAGGTGAGAAAGGCTACAGGGGCTGCAGCTGCAGGAGGGTTTGGAGAAGAGGCTGCTGTGTCTCTCCCCAGCTCCAACGCCCTCCATGACTCCTTATTGCTAACAGACCAAGTCTCCACTCCCTGGTCAGCACCCCAGGGCCTGTCCCCCAGGCTCTGCCCCACGGCACCTCTACCTCAGATGCCGAATGGGATTCATGTCTGCTGAGCTCATCCCCCCGGACCCTCAAGCACGGATGCTACTACTCCCGTTTTATAGGGGAGGTCTCAGCTTGACCTCGCAGCTGACATGGGATGTGGGCCAACGGCAGCTCTGGAGAGTGGACAGTGCCAGACAGCCTCGTCCTCACAGATGCAGGGACACAGCACCGGTGAGGGCTTCCCGGAAGAGGCATCCTTCATCAGGATTGGAGAACCGTGTCTGGACCCAGGCGGCATGGTTGGACCTGAGGGGTTGGCAGACAGTGGTGGCGTGGAAGTGTCCAGGGAGAGATCACACCCAGACTGATGCAGGGCTCCCAATGGACAATGGTGCTTTGCCTGCCCAGGCCCACGCCCCTCTCATCTGTGGCCCTTCATCAAGGTCCCTGCCCTCCCTGGACAGAAGGCCTGCAGGATGGAGAGGGGACACCTGGGCTTGCACGTGGCGCTGTCTTTTCTGGGATGCACGGCACAAGCGAGTCACTTGTGGGCTTACCTGTGGCCAGCCATGGTGGTCCTGGAGGGAGGGGACAGCCCTCCAGCGAGGAACTGAAGCAGTTTTTGATGTCCCCCTCTCTAGGGGGGCCGCCAAGGGGCTCGATGGAGACTTCCGTGGGGAGACATGGGTGGCGTGGTGGCCTTCAGAGCCCTTTCCCCCCAAGGGAGCCCCGTCCACTGGAGTAAGGCTTGCCAGGTGCTGATCACATGCCGGAGCGCTGAGCTAAGCAAGGTGTGGCTTGTCACCAGGGGGCCTGCTGCGTGGCCGGCAGGGCACAGCTGAGGGCCCTCCTCCTCCAGGAAGCCCTCCTGGCCACGCTGGCACACATCCCTTTCTCCTGGATCTCCCGTAGCGCTCAGGCCTGGCCTGGGGCGCTGGTTACAGGGCATTGGCACATGGACACCTAGTGAGACTGGCCATGCCACACCCTCTCCATGTCCTCCAGATGCTTCATGGATCCGGTCTGGTGAGTGCAAACAACAGAAAACCCTTTTCTGTGCAGAGAGGGAAGGAAATGGGCAGCTCTGACTAGCTCGAGGAATTGAGGGGAGCCAGAAGGAGGGGCTCTAGAAAGGGCAGAGAGCCCCTGAGCTGTGGCAGCAGGAACCCAGCAGCTGCTCAGGCCCCCGGGGTGAATTCACTCCCCTCTTCATGTTGAGGGTGTCTGGCCCCTGGGGGTGAGTTCGCTCCCCTCTCCCTCCATGTTGAGGGTGTCAGGCCCCCGGGGGTGAATTCGCTCCCCTCTCCCTCCATGCTGAGGGTGTCAGGCCCCCGGGGGTGAATTCGCTCCCCTCTCCCTCCATGCTGAGGGTGTCAGGCCCCCGGGGGTGAATTCGCTCCCCTCTCCCTCCATGCTGAGGGTGTCAGGCCCTCGGGGGTGAATTCGCTCCCCTCTCCCTCCATGTTGAGGGTGTCAGGCCCCCGGGGTGAATTCGCTCCCCTCTCCCTCCATGTTGAATGTGTCAGGCCCCTGGGGGTGAATTCGCTCCCCTCTCCCTCCATGTTGAGGGTGTCTGGAGAGGATATCTCTCTGGTGGAATGGGGTGGCAGTGCTGGTCCCCTCTCCAGGGAGGGTGGGGACCTTGAGGAAGGGCCTGCTGAGGAGAGGGGCCTCGGACTAAGTGGGCAAAGTGCCATCCGTCCATCGGGAGCACTGTGTCCATCTGGGTGTGTTCTCTCCCTGGGCCTGTCCATGCCACCACTATCTGACCTGATTCAGCCCTGCCGCTGGAAGGTACCACGCAGGGCCGCTTAGCACCAGGGAGGCCTCTGGCTAACTGTCAGCTCACGTGTGGGCAGGTGCTGTGGGCTCCCCACAGGCCCCCAGCTTCCCTGCTATGGACTTTCTAAGACAGGCTCAGCAAATCCGTCGGCAGGCCAGGGCGGTGGGGCTGTGTCTCCCTTCCCACCTGCCTGCTCTGGGGGGCCTTGGCCTGGCTAAGGGGCAGGCACACCCACTCCTCTTTCCCACGGACCCCCGGTGCTTCCCTTTGCTGCTGACCCTGGAAGTTCATTTAGGTTTTACTTGTAATTTACGTGAGTGCACTCGTGTGCTAAAGTCACAGTGGGCGGATTCTCTCTTTAAATTGTGCAAAGTACGTATCTTAAGTTACCACCTTAAGCCTTTTTCTGCGTACAGAGTGGTAGATAGTGCCCAGCACACCGTCATCACTGCGCCACCGCCTCCACCGTCCACCTCCAGACACTTCTCATCTTGTAAAACTGAAACTTTGCCCCACTCAACACCAACTGCCTGTTCCCCCACCGCCAGCCCTGGTCCCGCCATGGTCCTCTGTCTCTATTGACTTTGACGACTCTGGGAAGCCTCGATGCCAGGAATCACACCACATTTGTCCTTGTGTCCCGCTTATGTCACTCAGCACAATGTCCTCCCGGTTCATGCACGTCGGCGCGGGGTCGGAATTTCCCTTTCTGAAGGCTGAATGATGCTCGCTGTCCATGTATCCCACATTTTGCTGATCCCTTTGTGTGTGGATGGAGACCTGGGTTGCTCCCGCTTTGACGGTTGCGAATCATGTGCCATGAATGTTGTTTGAGTCTCTGCTTCCCATGCTTTTGGGTGTACATCTGGAAGTGGGACTGCTGGGGCGTAAGGGGATTCTGTGTTGAATGGTTTTGAGGAACTGCCATGCCGTTTTCTACAGTGGCTGCACCATTTTTCATTCCAACTGGCAGTGCACAAGGCTTCTAATTTCTCCACATCCTCGCCGACACTTGCTGCTGTCTGTTTTTTGTTGGTAGCCGTCCCAGTGGGTGTGAGTGGCGTCTCACTGTGGTTCGATCTGCATTTCCCTGTGCTTAGTGATGTCGGGTGTCTTCCCACCTGCACGCTGGCCACATGTGCATCTCTCTGGAGAAAGGTCTAGTCAAGTCCTTTGTCCCTTTCTAAATTGTGCCTGTTGTTTCCCTGTTGGACTGTCTGCCAGGTTCCTTTTGGCCCTTCCCTCTAACGGTGAGCTGGGGTGCAGGGGTGGGCCCTGGGGCCCTGCCCATGTGGTGGCAGTGGTTGTGGTGGGCCGGGGTGATGGTGGGGGGGATGACACTGTGGCCGTGGTAAGAGGGGAGGGAGGGGTGACTCAGGTGGCGGTGCTGATGATGAGGATGGTAGGGATGGTGAGGAGGTGACGAGGTGACAGCGAGGGGGCTGCCATTGATCCAAGTGTGTCCACCTGGTCCCTGGCCTCACAGAAGCTTTGAGTGCGTTGGGGGAGGATTAAGGGCCCTGCAGCTGTGATCAAACCAGGGGGACAGGGACAAACCGGGCAGGTGCAGAGGGAGGAAGGATTTATTGAGCAATGGGCTGGACAAGCTGACTCCTCTAGCTTCAGAGGAAAGTATAGACTATCCATCAAGTGTGGCTACTGACTGAAGCTGAGACCAAGGCTGACATTCTTCCTACCTGTGTTTGACATTAAGGAACCATCTGGCAGCTGGGATTTGCATAAATCTCTGAGGGGCTGGGAGGTGGGAATCAAACATCAGAAGGGAACTCTGGGAGAGGGGACAGCTGCTCCCAGGCAGGAGCCCAGCTTCTGGGGTCCTGGTCCCACCCACCCACCCTTCTCCCCGGTGGTGGCCAAGGTGGAGAGGCTGCTGCTGGCCTGAGCCCAGGTCATCTGGAAACAGCATAGTTGGTTCTGGGCAGGGTCTCTGCTGGGGAAAGGAGTCCCCCACGGGGTAGAAGCCAGGGCTGGGACCCTGTCTGTCTCTGTTTGCCTTGGGGCCCAACAGTTTGACAGGTCCCCCAGGCATGGAGGCCAGGAAGGTGCCTCTGCCCTCAGAACTCACAGGCTGATGGGGGAGGCAGACCTGTGTCCTGTAGGTGTCCTTGAAAATGGAGGTGTCCCCACACCGACTGCAGCACAGGCCTGGGCCAGCGTGGGGCTCTGGGCACAAGGCAGAGCAGGGGCGCCTGGGGTGAGTGGTGGGCACTGCTCACTGCCGGCCTCTCTCTTGCCTCCTGCCCGCTCCCGCCATCTGCCTGGCACTTCTGCTCCCACCGCCTGCTTCCCTATGGCCCGCCTTGATGAAGCCGCCACCCCACCGTGTCTCCTCTCCTGGGCAGGGTCTGCTCATTCGACCCCCCCATTCCTTAATATAAGCATCCCCTTGGTATCTGTGGCCCCCAGTAGGTGAGGGTGGGTGCCCAGTCTGCTCCTCACTCTGCCCCAGCTCCTGGCACATGGCTGTTACAAATGCACATCTTGGGGAGACAGGGAGAGCTCAGAGATGAAGACCCCCCACCTCAGGATGAAGGCAAATGCATGTCGGGGGAGCCCAGAGGTCCCCTGCCATCTTCTGAGTCTATAAGGACCCCCAGGTCGTTTTTTGGTTTTGGAGATAGGGTCTCACTCTGTCTCCCAGGCTGGAGTGCAGTGCTACATTCATGGATCACTGCAGCCTCAAACTCTTGGGCTCAAGCAATCCTCCTGCCTCAGCCTCCCGAGTAGCTGGGACTACAGGTGCACACCACCACATCCAGCTAATTTTTATTTTTTATTTTATGTAGAGAAGGAGTCTCACTATGTTGCCCAGGCTGGTCTTGAACTCCTGAGCTCAAGCGATTCTCTCATCTCAGCCTCCCAAAGGATTGGGATTACAGGCGGGATCCCCCACACACCTGGCCAAGAACCCACAGGTCTTGGCAGTCAGGGTGTCCAGGTAAGGTCCTGGGGCAATGGCATGGGGAAGCTGGGGCCACTCCTGCAGATGAGGTACAGGGGAAGCCACCAGAGAGAAGCTGTGCAGGTCCCCACTGCCTGCCAGGGCACTGGAGAGGGCAGGGGCCAGCAGAGCCCTCCTGATCCCCGTCAATGGGCAGATGGTGCATCCCCAGCCCCCCACCCACATGCATTTACAATTTCAGAAAATGTGTGTCCACCCCTCCAGCTGTGGGCTTCCTGCAGGCGGGGCCAGGGGTGGGTCCTGTTTGTGTCTCCTTCCTCAGCTCTAAGTTAAGCCCTGAGCAGAGGGTCAGCTCCCTCCAGCTGTGGAGTGATAGGATCCAGGAGAGCCTGTGGCCGGGGCTCTGGCCATCCTTATGTCACACAGCGGGAGCCCTGTCTGTGAGTTGGGCTCCATCTGGGGGCTCCGTCGCTGCTGCGGCATGACATCACACACAATTCCACCAGAATGGAGGGCACCCGCTTCGTTTCTACCTCAGTTACCAACACAAGCACTGCGGCCACTTAATGAAGCAGGAGGGAGTGACGGCTGCTATTGATCAGAGGGCTCCAAGCGCTCAGGGCTGCACTTGGCAGAAGAAAGTCAATTTTTCCCCTCAGTTGAGTTCCACGCACTTGCATTGAGCACTTACTATGACCAGGCCTGTGCGTGGTGCGTGGGGTGCAGGGCGAGTCCGGCAGGGCCAGCCTGGGGCTGGGCGGGAATCCGAGGCTGCTTTTCCCGTTTTCTCACTCTCTGACCATGTAGTAAGGATGTGCTGGCCTAGCGTCCTGCAGACTTTATCCCACTCAATACTTACCCCTCCAGTGGCGCTCCAGGAGCTTAAGGGATTTGCCCAAGATCAGTCAGTGAGAAAGCCGCACCCCAGAGTATCCGCCTCCAAGGCCCTGGGCTGGGCTGGCACAGGTGCCTTTATCTCAGCTCGGCCGCATCCTGCTGGGGGTCACCCTGGTTAGGTTAGGGAGGCCTGGATGGGGGTGGGTCAGCAGGGACTGGGGGCATGGGCACCTGTGTCTGAGGGGACCTGGCTTTTCTTCATGGTAATGACAGCTGCTGAGTGTGTGGTCACTGAAGGAGCCAGGGCCATGTGCGGAGCCTGGCTGGGGTGGCTGCATTCATGCCTCTCAGCCAGTGGGCACTGTTAGCTCCCATGTGGGGGACCGGGCACTCCCAGCTGTCACAGCCAGGAGTGAGTGGAGCTGAGCGCTGGCTGTGGCTGTGCTCACCCAGCAGGCAGGGCCAGGATGGGCTGGCATCTGTATCCACAGGTCCTGCCTGCCTCTGCATGCCTCCTCCTGGTTAGCGAGGGGACAGGCAGTAGGAGGGACCATTTTCCCTCATTTGCTGCCCCCTGCGCCCTAGCCAGTGCTCTGCCCTACTCTGTCTGTCCGTCTGAGGTGGCCTCTGCAAAAACAGTTCTGGGGAAAAGTCGAATTCGTGGATCAGCGGCCTGGCTGCTCCCCAAGGGTTTTCCCATCAGCTCCTCTGGGCACTGAGCAAGGATGCCTCTGTCCAGAAGGCAACTCGCCCCCAGTGACACCTACCGGGTGCAAGTTCTGGCTGAGTGCTGGAGCTGGTGGAAGCTCCTTCAGGTCACCGCAGCTGGAAACTGGAGATTCTCTGTGGTGACACAGCTGCAGAAGGAATTCAGAAGCTACGCTGTGTTCACCTTGTGGAGTACGCTCCCCTTCCATGACCTGAGAGACTCTGGAACACCACAGAGGTGGCTTTAGGGCGAGGGTTTGATGAGTCACCACAGAGCCCTGTGAGAAACTGCCTTCTCTTCTGCACTGTTCTCCTCATGATCCCCTGCGTATGACATCACCCACTCATCCACACATCCTCTAACTCTTCATCCGTCACTATATCCACCTGTCCATCCTTAGTCCGTCCATCCTCCATCCTTCATTTCCATCTCTCTTTCATTCATTCATCCTGCATCCGTCAATCCATCCACTCATCCATCCTCCATCCATCCGTCAATTCATCCACCGGTCCATCCATCCATCCTGCATCCTCCATCTCCATCTCTCTTTCATCCCTTCATCCTTCATCCATCCATCCATCTACCCATCCATCCCGTTCATCCATCCTCCATTCTTCATCTTCATCTCTCTTTCATTCATCTATCCTCCACCCATCCATCAATTCGTCCACCCATCCATCCATCCTCCATCTCCATCTCTCTTTCATCCCTTCATCCTTCATCCATCCATCCATCCATCTACCCATCCATCCCATTCATCCATCCTCCATCCTCCATCTTCATCTCTCTTTCATCCATCCCTCTTCCATCCATCTGTCAATCCATCCACCCATCCATCCTCTGTTCATCCATCCTCCATCCTCCATCTCCATCTCTCTTTAATCAATCCCTCCTCCATCCATCCGTCAATCCATCCACCCATCCATCCTCCATCCTCCATCCTCCATCCCTCATCTCCATCTCTCTTTCATTCATTCATCCTCCATCCGTCAATCCATCCACCCATCCATCCTCCATCCATCCACCCATCCATCCGTCATCCTCCATCCTCCATCTCCATCTCTCTTTCATCCCTTCATCCTTCATCCATCCATCCAACTAGCCATCTATCCCATTCATCCATCCTCCATGCTCCATCTTCATCTCTCTTTCATTCATCTATCCTCCATCCATCTGTCAATCCATCCACCCATCCATCCCTGTTCATCCATCCTCCATCCTCCATCTCCATCTCTCTTTCATCCCTTCATCCTTCATCCGTCCATCCATCTACCCATCCATCCCATTCATCCATCCTCCATCCTCCATCTTCATCGCTCTTTCATTCATCTATCCTCCATCCATCTATCAATTCATCCACCCGTCCATCCTTCCATCCTTTATCCTCCATCTCCATCTCTCTTTCATCTGTTCATCCTTCATCCTTCCATCCATCCATCTACCCATCCATCCTCTGTTCATCCATCCTCCATCCTCCATCTCCATCTCTCTTTAATCAATCCCTCCTCCATCCATCCGTCAATCCATCCACCCATCCATCCTCCATCCGTCAATCCATCCACCCATCCATCCATCAATTCATCCACCCATCCATCCATCATCCTCCATCCTCCATCTCCATCTCTCTTTCATCCCTTCATCCTTCATCCATCCATCCAACTAGCCATCCATCCCATTCATCCATCCTCCATGCTCCATCTTCATCTCTCTTTCATTCATCTATCCTCCATCCATCTGTCAATCCATCCACCCATCCATCCCTGTTCATCCATCCTCCATCCTCCATCTCCATCTCTCTTTCATCTGTTCATCCTTCATCCTTCCATCCATCCATCTACCCATCCATCCTCTGTTCATCCATCCTTCATCCTCCATCTGTCTCTCTTTTATCTGTCCCTCCTCCATCCATCTGTCAATCCATCCACCCATCCATCCTCCATCTATACATCAATTCATCCACCCATCCATCCATCTTCCATCCTCCATCTCTGTCTCTCTTTCATCCATCCCTCCTCCATCATCTGTCAATACATCTACCCATCCATCCTCCATCCATCCTCCATCCTCCATCTCCTCTCTCTTTCATCCATCCCTCCTCCACCCATCCATCCTCCATCCATCCATCCTCTATCCTCCATCTCTGTCTCTCTTTCATCCATCCCTCCTCCATTCATCTGTCAATCCATCCACCCATCCATCCTTCATCCATCCATCTTCCATCCTTCATCTCCATCTCTCTTTCATCCATTCATTCTTCATCCATTCATCAATTCATCCACCCATCCATCCTCTGCCCATCCATCCTCCATCTCCATCTCCCTTTCATCCACCCATCCTCCATCCATCCTTGAATTCAGTCAATCCATCCACTCACCCATCTTCCATTCGTCCATCCATCATCTGTCCCCCATCTTCATCTCTCTTTCATCCACTCATCCTCCATCCATCCATCCATCCATCCATCCACCCATCCATCCTCTGTCCATCCATCCTCCATCCCCCATCTTCATCTCTTTCATCCATCGATCCTCTGTCCATCTATCCATCCACCCATCTATCCTCTGTCCATCCATCGTCCATCTCCATCTCTCTTTCATTGCTCCATCATCTGTCCATCCATCTATTCATCCACCCATTCACTCATCCAACATTCATCTATTATCCATTGATCCATTTATCCATCCATCCATCCATCCTCTATCCATTTACCCATTTTCACACCTCCTGCACAGAGTCCATTCACTGCCCTTCATGTGTGACCAGGAGAGCAGCTGTGTAGACAGCACTGCATAGCTGTCAAGGTGGGAGGAAGGGGGAAGGAGAAGAATTCGTCCCTTTGGCCAAGGTTGGCCCCATGGCTATCACCTTCCCTGTACTTGCACTTGGGGCTGGAGGAGAGAGCAGGGGGCATAAGGCAGGAGGCAAAACTGCTGGGTGCCAGCAGCTGACTGGAGTGGGGTGTGTCAGTCTGTAATTGTGGCATTAACTCATCCACCTGACTCTGGGTCAGTGCCTGGGCCCAAGCCATTGTCAGGGCACCTCTGGTCCAGAGGCACTGCTGGGTGGCCATGGGCTGGTGGCTCAACCTCTCTGGTTCTCCATTGTTTCTCTTATTAATTAGGTAAAATTAGGACTGCATCACGGGGCACCTAGAAGGTCACTTCTGCCCCAGGATAGTTAGAAGAGTTGCAACATTGTGGCTTGCTGTTTCTTAGTCATCTCTTGTTACATGTTAAAAATCCATTCTGCATTCTTAATATAGCCATGTTTGTTCCAATCTAAACATAATGTTCTGAATCACTTACTGGGTAAATTACCTCCTTTCCCAGCCTTGTATCTTCAGATAGCCCCAGGAAGACGCATCAAATCTCCCTGGGATCCACATGCCCCTGCCTGGTGCACGGCTGAGGACAGCACTGGGGTGGGGGCACTGCCAGGCTCTAAGCAGTGCAGGGTGAGTGAGGAATGCTCAGGACCCAGGCGCTGTGTGCCCAGGGCAGGGTGGAGCCGTGGTTACAACCGAGTGTGGATGCTGAAGGCCAGCCGCAGGTTCAGATGCTGGCTCTGTCACTACTGAAACATGGATCTCTAATCACTGGCCCGTGCTGAGCCCTGCTGTTCTCATCTGTGCAGTGGGCTGAGAGCTGGTGTCTGCTCTGAGAGCTGTCATGAGGCTCCCAGAGGTCATGGACGGAAAGTGCTTAGAATAGTGTGGAAACACAGCAAGTGCCAAATAAATGTTACCCAGCATATTGCTCTGTGTTAGAAGCTCTCCTATGGCCTGAGAGTGGGGCACCTTGCTACTTTGTGGCTCAGTTTCCTTATTTTCCAAGTTCTTATTAATGAACTTGTCATTCATCCATTCATTCATTAATTCCCTCTGCCGCATGATGGGGCTGCAGAATTGGCCCCGATATGTGCCTGCCCTCGCAGGGTCAGTCCTGGGAGAGACTGCCCAGCGGAGCCCCCACTGCCCAGGATCGGTCAGTCCTGGAGGAGTCACAGAGGCCACAGGGCATGGCGGGCGGGAGGAACCGCGGCTGCCCAGGCACAGACCAGGGAGAGCTGCTGAGAGGCCCCCCAGAAGCCTGAGTCTGAGAGAGCGCCGGGCCTGAGACTTCCTGGGAACGTCCATCGGCGCCTCCTCTGCACCAGGCAACGGGCAGGAGCTGGGAGGTTGAGGTGACCCTCAGGGGCTGCTGGCCTCCCCATGGGCTATGGCAGGAGCTTGTGTGAGCCTGAGCCATCTGTGGGGGTCCCACCCAGGGCACGCTTTGTGCTGAGCATGCAGGGGTCTGCCCCTCACCTTGAGTGGATCTCGGCAAAGACCACGCCCCTTGCCATGACCTGGGTCAGATGATCCTCAAAAAGGGGGGAAAGGAGGCCAACGTCAGGGACATTTCCTGAGCTGAGTGCCCTGCAGTCACCGCCCCCTGACAGCCACCCTCCCACACACCAGGGCCTCCTGGCCACAATCAGGCCTGAGCAGCCCAGCACACACTTGCTTCCCTGCAAATGGGCCGGACTCCCAGATGGGCCCACATCTCCCAGGCTGACCCCTAAATACATGCTCTGGGCAGTGAGGGGCCGAGGAAGGCAGCAGAGGAGGCGGAAGCTCACAGGTCTGAGAGACCCCACTCAGCCCCACTCAGGGTGAAGATCAAAACAAAACAAAGGCTGGGTGCAGTGGCTCACGCCTGTAATCCCAGCACTTTGGGAAGCCGAGGCAGGTGGATCACCTGAGGTCAGGAGTTTGCGACCAGCCTGACTAACATGGTGAAACCCCATCTTTACTAAATACAAAAAAATTAGCTGGGTGTGGTGGCACATGCCTGTAATCCGAGCTACTTGGGAGGCTGAGACAGGGAATCGCTTGTACCTGGGAGGCAGAGGTTGCAGTGAGCTGAGATCGCACCATTGCATTCCAGCCTGGGCAACAAGAGCGAGACTCCGTCTCAAAACAAACAAAAAAAGCAATGAAGGTAAACAGCCATGATTCTTGATTACTGGGTACTGGGCCTGCTTCTGGGTGGTTCTGGTGGAGGGCCTGTTTCCGGGTGGTTCCAGTGGAGGGCCTGTTTCCAGGTGATTCCGGTGGAAGGCCCGTTTCTGGGTGGTTCTGTTGGAGGGCCCATTTCTGGGTGGTTCTGGTGGAGGGCCTGTTTCTGGGTGGTTCTAGAGGAGGGCCTGTTTCTGGGTGATTCCGGTGGAGGGCCTGTTTCTGGGTGATTCCGGTGGAGGGCCTGTTTCCAGGTGGTTCCGGTGGAGGGCCTGTTTCTGGGTGTGGGGAATGAATGGAATCAGGTGGTGCCTGGGCAACAACAGATGGGCTCGGGTGGACTTGAGGTGTGAGCATGTTTAAAGCCTCTTCGTGGTGCATCCTGGACTTGAAGACCAGGGGCCCTTCCTCATTTAGGAATTCCATCCTTCCCAAGAGAGGCCCCTCCTACTGTTGATAACTGCCAGGCTTCTGGGCTCAGGCTGGTCTGAGAGGCAAGCCCACACTCGGCTTATGCTTTGTGCATTTTCCACACGTGTGTGCCCAGGAAGCTGCACATGGCCTTGACTTCAGTCTGGGGGCATGTCAGTCCTGCTGGGGCTGAGTGGGGTCTCTCAGACCTGTGAGCTTCCGCCTCCTCTGCTGCCTTCCTCGGCCCCTCACTGCCCAAGGCATGTATTTAGGGGTCAGCCTGGGAGATGTGGGTCCACCTGGGAGCCCGGCCCATTTGCAGGGAAGCAAGTGTGTGCTGGGCTGCTCAGGCCTGATTGTGGCCAGGAGGCCCTGGTGTGTGGGAGGGCGGCTGTCAGGGGGCGGTGACTGCAGGGCACTCAGCTCAGGAAATGTCCCTGACGTTGGCCTCCTTTCCCCCCTTTTTGAGGATCATCTGACCCAGGTCATGGCAAGGGGCGTGGTCTTCAGCCATTGGAGGGAGGCCAACTGACTCAGGATGGGTCTGGGGAACCCACGGTCCCTGCAAGTCCCCCCAGGCAGAGCGGGTTGGGGGCCTGTGGAGGTGTGAATGGTCCTGTGACCCCAGCCCCCACTGTCTTCCTACCGGGACCATGGCCTTAGCTGCACCAGTGTGGTCAGGTTCTGCACCAGCCCTGGTTCCTCCTCCGTCAAAGCACCGAGTGCTCCTGGGAATGGAGCTGCTAGCTGTGATTCATGGCTGTGTCTGCTAAATGGGCCAGGGGAAGGCGGCCGGCCGAGGCCAGAGCTGACACAACTGAGTGTGTCTGAGACCAGCCCTGCCTGCTGGCTTCCCTCTAGGGCCTGTGGAACCGGTTGCCGGACACATGAAAACCTTGCCAGGGGGGAAGAACAGGGATGTTCATATTTTACTAACAAATTGAAAGAAGTTAATTTAAAACCAATAACAAATAGGTAAAAATAACAGGAAGAAAACATGCATGGCCCCACAGCTGTAAGTCATGGTCACTCGCATTCGGGAATCCAAGCCAACATGCCTGCCAGCAGCTCAGGTGGATGGAGTCCCCTCATGCGCTCCGGTTTATGTTGTGAAATTGCCATTTAGCAGTGGACATTGTACACACGTGCATGCATGTCTGTGCACGTCATCCTTTTTAACAGTGAGTGAGTATTTCCCTGTATAGATGTTTCACAATGAAGCTGAAATTTGGAAAATCACCCGCACTCTCTGAATGTGCACCCTGTCTTCTGCTCCCTGGGACTAGCCTTGGGTTCCCAATCCTTACCCAGCCCTGGGCCCCCCCTTTGATATGTAACTGGGGCTGGGGTGCAGAATTGGGCTCAGGCTCCCAGGCAATGCAGTGGGCTTCCCTTCCACAACATCCCAACCACCAGCCTCTGGCTCTGAGCTGGGTGCCGGGATGGGCCCACTCTCCAGGGCAGGCCATTCCTCAGATTCTGCTGCTCACCCTGGGGCACCAGGGGTGGCAGATTCCTGCTCAGCAGAGTGGGATGTAGCCCCCCAAGACAGGAAGCTGAAGGGTCCAAGCTTACTGCTCCATGATGCATAGGGCTGACAGTTCCCCTGCCCAGGCCCTGGGAGGACTTAACCACTGGCTTCCTGACAGTGAAACTGGGCATAAAAGCACCACTGCCGCCCTGAGGAGGCACATTCCATGGAAACACGGAGCCCGTCTCAGGTCGCCTCCAGGGTGTGGTCAACACCAACCCAAGAGATTCCTGTCCTGGAGTTGTGGTTTACTGGGACAAGAGTGTACCACTTCCCCCAGCATGCAAGGAGCAGCGGTCTAGCCGGGGAGTGGAGGGGCCTGTGCTCCTGTGGGGGTGGAGGGGAAGAGCCCTGCAGCAGTGCATGATGGGAATCGCCATTTTCTCATGTGTCCCACTTGACAGGGAAAAGAGGGGAGCCAGGCAAGGAGCAGGAGACCCAAAACCACTCTACCTGCCACGCTGGCATGAGCAGGGTGGGCGCTGTGGGCACCCTCTGCCTTCCAGCCATCCTTCTAGGGGGTTTAGTCAGCACCAGCTGGAAGGAGGGCAGGTGGAGGGCAGCTGCTCACAGGCTCCGGGCCACAGGCGTGGGGGGCTCTCCCCTCACTAGTGAGAGGCCAAAGAAAGAAAGAAAGAAAACGCTGCAGTGCAGAGGAAAGGGGACATGTCCTGAAGACAGGAGAACATTGGAGCTCTGAGGATTCACAACATAAACAAACATCCCAAACCACAGTGCCCTTCCACATGGCACACAAAACACCTGCACTGCTGTGTTCATTGCAGCACTATTCACAACAGCAAAGACACGGAATCCACCCAGGGACACACAACAGTGGATCGGATAAGGAAAATGTGGTCCATGTACACCATGGAATACTCTACAGCCATAAAAAGGAACGAAATCATGGCCTTGGTAGCAACATGGAGGCAGCTGGAGGCCATCGTCTTAAGTGAATTAAATCAGAAACAGGAAGCCAAACATCACCTGTTCTCACTTACAAGCAGGAGCTAAATGTTGGGTACACACAGGCATAAACATGGGATCCACAGACAACGGGGACTTCAAAAGTGGGGAGGGAGGGAGAGGTGCAAGGGTGGAAAAGCTGCCTCTCAGATACTGTGTTCACTGTTTGGGTGACAAGTACAATAGAATCCCAAACCCCAGCATCATGCAATATACCTGGTAAGAAACCTGGATAGGTACCCCCTGAATCTCAAACAAACAAACAAACAAACAATACTAAAAAGAAATGTTTGCTCTGAAGCAGGAGCAGGTGCCTAGAAGGGAACGGGCTGAGCATGAAGGAAGCTGAATGGGGCCTCAGGAATTGTAGGAGTTCAAGTTCTAGGCAGTGGTGGACTTGACACCCACACAGGGCAGTGGAAGGCAGCGCGGCAGGGCAGAAGGTCATCCTTGGGGCATGCAGACACACGGACCCTTCAGCTCCAGATGAGAGGGAGAGACCGAACGCCAGAGCGGCAGACGCAATCTGAGGTGACAGGCGGCCTTCAGGAGGACACTGGAACAGTGAACAGAAGGAAAAACTCCCGTGTCTGGCAAGTGAGCACGCCGGAGCCGCCCAGAGCCCCACACAGGCGCACGGGCAGGTGCGCCGGCCATGAAAGGAGCCCACGCCTCCAGATACCTGCTGGCAAGATCTTCAAATTTTAAAGATAAATAAAAAGAATTCAGTAAGTATCTGGACAGAAAACACAAAACCACAATCTGTACTAATGACCAGACCTCAGTTTGTCCTCAGTCTTCTCTGCAAAATGGAATGGTCTAAGGAATGGCACGGAACATATTTGGGAGTGGCGAGGAGAGTGGGCAGTGTTGGCCTTGCCTGGAGCCTGCGGCGGTTCTGGGGTTTGGAAGCAGCTAGCCCCCTGCGGCACGCATGCATTGGGAAACTGTTCCACCCTGTGCTGGGCTGGAATTAAATTGCTGAAGCAAACTGAAAGAAAAAGCCAGAACTGTAGATATCTGTCCAGTTTCTAAGCCTGCGACATCCTCCTGGCAGGGAGGGACCAGAGTGGCTGTGGGCCCCTCCGCAGGTCTGCACCCAAGCCCTCCTGGGAAGAAGCCCCTGACTTGCCTGGGCCCACAACGCAGTGTACGATGGAGAGGGCCCTGGGCGAAGTGCTTTCGTGGTACACCTCTGGTCTCCAGGTTACCCTGCAAAAACACAAGTTCCTCGTGAAAAAAGCTCTCTAAGGAAGGGCTTGTCAAGGGATCCAATTAAATATAATTGCAACGATGCATTTATTTCAGTCAAAAAGCTAAGCCTAGAAAAACATTTTGAAAACTGTGAGTGTCGTTATCTCAGGGCAGTGGGACCATGAGTGGTGAGTGCCTTCCTGCTTCTTCGTACTTGACTTTTGTTGATGTTGTTAATAGGGGCGTGCTGCTATTGCAGAAAAATGCTCAAGACAAAAAGAACATTGATCCTTTACTTGTCCATAATTTATTAATTCACTAGACATTTCATGACCTCTTTTCTCCTTCCTGGAAGCCGCAGAATACGAAACAGGACAGAGTCTTTCTGGTGTGTCCAGGCAAGTACAGTAGAATGGATTCGGGTGGCGTGAGCTCCCAGGGGACTGGGCAGTCCTGGGGGAGGCCATGTTTACAGCGTGTCCTGGAGCTGAGCAGGGAGCCTGGGAGGGGTAGTGAAGACCCATCCTGGTCCAACACATGGCAGCACTTGCCTTTAGTGTCTAACGCTCCCAAGGTTTCATTAGCAAGTCCCTTTGCCTCTTCAAGCCTTAACTGTCTCCCCATGAGCCTTGGGTGCCAACTACCAACGGTGTGCAGGCCTCAGGAGGCCAGGCGAGAAGGGAAGGTGAGGGCCTTGTTGCCTGCCAGGGGCTGCTGCTGTGCCAGCCCCTCCCATCCCACTGTACTTTGGGCAGAGCAAGCCTGGGGAGGTGCCCTGGACCCACCAAACTCAGACACAGCCCCTTTGCAGAAGCAGAGAACATCGGACAGAAGGTCCAGGGAGCAGAGGGGGTGCTTGTGGGCCTGGCTGGCCTCAACAGTTGCTCCCTGGGGGCTGGGTGTGGGCAGCTGGGTGGATGGGGCTGCTGGCCCCTGCCCTAGAGGGTCCCTGTGTCTATGAGGCCAGCGTGAGGTTCCAGGTCTTGCCTTCTCTGTCCCAGCCTGAGCAGCTCTTGGTCCCTCCCACTCCGAGGGCCTGACTACGTGGCTCTGTGGGACTCCCAGGCTCCACATGCCTGCCGGGGCCAGGTGTCCACCCTGGAGCAGGAGTGCGATGTGCATTACTTGTCTTTATATTCCTGAGGTCACAGGGTTGAGTGACTTCCCCATATCCCCAGGGCTCCCAGCTTCCTTCCACTTTACCATCTGTGTCATGGATAGCGGGGAGGCCGTGGCCTGGTGGTGGCTTCATAAACGTCAGTCCCATCACACATGTAGCCTCACCATCGCCCTGGTCCTCTCAGATGGTCACAGCCCCGGGGCTGTGTCAGCCGCCGGCTGTGGTTGGAGAAGCAGCTCCAGCTGGACCATGGAGGACTTTGCCAGGCTGGCCGACAGCCCAGGGACTTCCCATGGGCTGGGGGAGCTGCGCATGGTGGAAGCTGCGGGGGGTCCTGGACTCCTTGTCGGTCCCTTCCCCTGCGGCCGGAGGGACCTGCCTGCAATGTCACCTGGGCTCGGCTGCGCAGCGGACTCCACAGCAGCATGCATTTAAACCACGAGAAAGTAAATAAAGGAAGGGAGGGAAAGAGGTCAGCACATTCACAAGTTGCTTGATTTGTGCAAGAATAAGGGGGCCAAGCAAGGGCGTTTGCTGGGGAGCCAGAGGGTCCGGAGGGTAGCTGTTGCCACTGCGCTGCCCAGAGGGCCCCGGAAAGCAAGGAGCTGGCTCCCAAGAGGCTGGAGGGTGAGCGGCCTGCTGTGGGGAGAGCTGCAAGAGGGAGCAATGCCCTCCCAGGGCCGTTTCCCCATGGACATGGACAGCACGGCTCCACGCACGGCACTCGATGTTGCAGGCTGCAACTCTGGCTTGTGAAACTCACCAACAGCTTGGGCGGATAGGGGGTGACCTTGTTCCCATTTCACAGATGAGGAAACTGAGGCCGGGTGGAACACGTGACTCCTATTCCTGTCACTGCAAGGACAGAACGGAGGAGGCCTCCAGTCCTTGCCTACAGAGCCTTGCTTTCCTGCCGAGGTCCGCAAATCTCTCATAAACCTGATTCCCAAGGCTTCATGGGCAAAAAGTGGCAAATACACTTTAGTAGGAGGCAGGCTCTGACAACTCACACCCGCCATGACCTCCGACTGCTGCGAGATGGGGCCACCGAGGAGAGGTTGCCAAGGCTGGCATGACGCAGTGGCTTTCCTGGGTGTGGGCGGGGGACCTGGGGGCCTGGGCTCTACAGAGACGGAGGTGGATGGGTCAGTGCTGGCTCCCCCAGCCCTAGCCAGAAGGCTGAGGCTCTTCACCTTGCCAATGCCTCCCCAGCATCTGCAGAACGGGCCTGTTCATACAGAGGGGTTTGGGAGGGCTGAGTGAGGCACAAGGCATTATGAGCGACAAGGCTCCGGTCTGTCCACTTTCCTGCACCTTCTGCTGCCAGCGGCTTCATTTCTTGTGCGCCTCTTGGAGCGAGGGCCAAGGAGACGCCCGCTTGCCCTGCTGGGATTCGTATCCGCCTTCTCACAGCCCGGCAGCTGCTCAGCCCTTGCTCTGGTGCCACCGGCCCTTCGCCTTCGCCTGGTTTCTCCTGAGACACGGGTCCCGCCATGCCCCAGGGCTGGGTTCTGCATGCCTCGCCAGCTTCTCTCCATGCTGCTGTCACCCACAGAGGATGTTTAGTTCTGTCCCCATGTACAAATGAAGCAACAGAGGCCCGGAGAGGCCCAAGGTTGCCCAGGTAGAGAAAGGAGAGTGGGGATTCACTCCGTGTGGCCCAGGGTTCTTGCTCCTAACCATGGCACCCTGAAGTGACTGTCGGAGAGGTGAGGCTCAGAGGCCACACAGCAGGCTCGAGCAGTCTGGGGACCAGGTGTGTGGCCCTTGGCCTCCCTCTTTGCCCCGTCCCTGCTCTGGGGCTCTTCTGGGGCTCACTGAGGGCTGACACGGGGAGCATCTCCCTGCCAGCAGATTTCTTTCACGTATGTCAGTGTATGGGGGCGGATGCCAGCAGGTGACAGGGAGCTGGAACCGGTGCTGGCCATGCCTCTGGGATCCCAGGATTCTGCCCTGGAATACAGTGTGGAGGGGTGAGGTCCCACCTCCTCCGTTCATGCTGGGCAACCCTGGAAATCTCCTTTCCCTCTCTAGGCCGTGATGGCCCTTTTGAAAGTGGGGGTGACAGGAATGGCTTCCTGCTGGGGACTTTGGTTTGTGGGCCCCCATGGCTGGGGAGGGAAGGGACTGAGCACAGCCTTGGTCATGGCCTGGGCTAGACGTCCCCCCACACCCCCGAGAGCTCTCCAGCCTTGGACAGGGGCAACCTGTCTGGGGCTTTGCTAGAGAGAAGGAAGTGGCGGCGGCTGGGGCACGAACCCTGCAGACTGGGGCTCTGTGATCCTGTCTGAGCTGCTGGATTGGCCTCTTTGAGAATTGTGCTGCCTGCTGGGCTATCCCTGCACTAAAGGCAGAGGAAGAGAGGAAGCTGTGTTCACTGGGCATCTGCCAGGTGCCGGGCACCGCTCAGCTTCTTGACCCACTCATCAGCGCCACAAGGTGGTTGTGCTGCCCATGCCACAGACAGAAGCCCAGGCCCAAGCCCAGGCCACACCGGTGCAGTGCTGCTGACGTCCTCACTGGTCCTTGAAGCAGGCCTTTCCTTCCGGCTCTTCCTGGAGGGGCCTTGGCTAAGGGAACTCAGAGCAGGCAGAGGTGGTGTCAAGATGGACTGGATGGGCACAGAGAGTTTCAGGTGAGGTGGGCGTGGGGGTGGGGAGCAGCGCCATGGCACCTGGGATGAATTGGGGAGGGGCTTTCAGAGACGCTCTGCAGGGGCAGGAGGTCAGCAAGAGCCAGGACTGAAAGGCAGCTCACAGCCGTGGGCGAGGGTCCTGAAGAGCAGATAAGAGCAGCAGTTGGGGGCTGGGGCTGTGGCTAGAAGACCTCGGGGTGGGGGTGGGCTGGAGGGGAGGGCTGGGCCCAGCAGGCCAGGGGGTTGCTGGGGCAATGACCCCAAGTGGTCTGGAAGGGGTTGGACAAGGGCCTCACAGGTCTGACTGGACATCCCCAAGAAAGCAGCAGTTCCTTCTCTTCTGACTCGAGGCTCCCTGGACAACTGCCCTCCTGCTGGCGTTGCAGGGCTTGTGGCTGGAAGTCCCCGCAGTCTGGGTCCCAGAGTTTTAAATGGGAGCTATCACGATCTAGAGCAGGAAGGGGGAGACATTGGTTCAAGTTAAAGTAGGACCCCTGCCAGCAACTATGGGTCAGGGCCAGCTCTCTAGGGCAGAGAGTGTGGCTAATGTCCAGAGGGGTGTCGGAGCCCAGCTAAGGAAGGTGCCTGCGCTGAGATTCCACAGAGGAATCAGAATAGAGGCAGAATTTCTATTATATGGTCCAGGCACTCTGGAGCAGAGTTTGAGGGGTCAGATGGAACCTGGGCAGAAGTTCCAGAGTATCCAGGTATTGGGAATTCAGGGCAGAGACAGAATTCAGTGGGCATGGAATTCTGGTTGCACTGCCAGGTTCTAAGCACTAAGTGAAGCAGTCTGTTAGCCATCCATCCATCCATCCATCACCCATCCACTCATCTATCCATCACCCATCCACTTATCCATCCATCCTTTGCCCATTGTTTATTCACACATTCATTTCATCCATCTATCCTCTGTCATTCACCTATCATCCATCCACTTGCCCATTCGTCCATCCACCCATTCACCTATCCATCCACCTATCCATCCATCCATCCATCCATCTACCTACATATTCATTCATCCACCCATTCATCCACCCACTTGTTCATCTATTTATCCATCTATCCATTCATTCATCCACCCATTCACTCATCTATCCATCCATCCATCCATCCATCCATCCATCCATCCATCCATCCATCTACCTACATATTCATTCATCCACCCATTCATCCACCCACTTGTTCATCTATTTATCCATCTATCCATTCATTCATCCACCCATTCACTCATCTATCCATCCATCCAGCCATCTATCCACCCATCCATCCATCCACCGACTCATCCGTCTATTTATCATCCATCCACTATCCATCACTCATCCACTCATCTTCCATCCATCTACCCATCGTCCATCCATCCATCCATCCATTCATATACCTATATACCCATTCATCCACCCATCTATTCATCCACCCATTCATCCATCCACTCATCCTTCTAGCCATCCATCCATCCATCCATCCATCTATTCACCCATTCATCCACCGACTCATCCATCTATTTATGCATGCGTCCACTATCCATCACTTATCCACTCATCTTCCATCCATCCACCCATCATCCATCCATCCATTTATCCATCCATCCATCTATCCATATACCTATCTATCCATCTATCCACCCATCTATTCATCCACCCATTCATCCATCCACTCATCCATCTATTTATCCATCCATCCATCCACCCATATACCCATCTATTCATCCATCCATTCACCCATCCACCAATCTATCCATCCATCCATCCACCCACCCACCCATCCATTCACCCACCCATCCATCCATCCATTCACCCATCCACCCATCCATCCACTGACTCATCCATCTATGTATCCATCCATCCACTATCCATCACTCATCCACTCACCTTCGATCCATCCACCATCATCCATCCATCCATTTATCCATCCATCCACTCATACATCCACCCTTCCATTTATCCATTCATTCATCCATCTACTCCTTCACTCATCTGTCCACCCATCTTCCCATCTATCCATCCATTCATCCATCCACTTACCCATTCATCCACTCATCTATCCATCTATTTATTCATCCATCCACTATCCATCACTCATCCACTCAGCCTTCAACCATCCATCCATCCATCCATCCACCCATACATTTATCAATTTGATTATTTTCTGAATGTCTATTGTGTACTATATACTCTTCTGACCTGGGATGAGCTGGAGGGATAGAAATGGAGGACAATTTACCAAGATAAATAAAGCATGGTCTCCATTTTGGAAAAAGTCACAGTTTATATACATTTCATCTTCCTTAGCGAAAAGGTCCATACTCTTGAAAGGAGGTCGGTGGTCAGGGTTAGGAACGCTCTCATGGTCAGCCTACATTTAGGAAATTATTTCCTGATCTTCCTTCAGGATCCTGCTCCATCTTGTTTAATCTGGCCCCTGCCCCAGCCCCTCTAACTGGAAGCCATATTTAATTTCCCTCCTGACCCCAAACTTATTTCTACATTTCCCAGACCCTCACTCGCATTGATAACACCTTTCTTCAACCTTATCGTCTTTATCAATTATCATCGACTCTCTTCTATCTGGCCTTGAGACTCCCCTGCGGCCCCTTGTGGACACTTCTGGCCTGGCCCACACCCTCGTTGCAGCTGAGGCTGGGCCACCCGGCCTGGCTCAGCTCAGCCAAGTTAACTCCAGTGGAGCATGACCGTACCCATCCCACCTCAGCCAGCTCCATGCTATGAACCCCGCTGTTCTGGTCACCTCCTCGCTGGCAGACACAGCTTATTCCGGTCACAGCTCCCAATTCTAACAACCCAACCCCATTTCAACTCGCTCCAAGTGCCTTGCTGATTGAGTCCCCGCTGTGGCTCTTCCTCCTGGGCTGAGCACAGGGAGGAAAAGCGCTTCCCAGAGTGGATCCCAAACCCTCTCCTGGAGAGAAAGGCTGGCTGAAGGCGCCTCATCCGCTGGGTAATGGCCCCAGCAAGAGTTTACCAGTTCCCCTGCAGGGAGCAGCTGCTGTCGGTCTGCACAGGTCCTGCAAACATGCCAGCATGCCTGGGATGCGGAGTGTGGGCTGCGCTGGGGCTCAGGGAGAGAGGTCAGCAGGGGCTGATGCCTGGCCTTGGTCTCTGGCACCATGGCACCCTACTCCTGTCCGCCCCTGACTTGAGCTGCAGGGCTGCGGCTCCGAGGAGCCGGGCCGGGACCCCTCTCCTGCAGCTGTACGGCTTGGTGCCCAAGGATCAACTCAACGCAGGGGCCGCTCACCTCAGGGGAGTTAAAATGCTTTTAAGAGGCAATTATTCAGAATTTTGTAATTTCTGCTTCCTAAGTGTTCTCTTCTTTCCTCACCCTGACCTAAAAAAAACTATTTCTATTTGCCTGATTTGAAAGTGGGGCTGTGCCTTCATCATATTCAGGGACCTGCCATCTGGCCTTCGGCCCCAGAGGCCAGACAGTTCCTGGGCTCCCAGAACAGCCACCTACCCCCACCCTGCCCTGTGGATTTCTCCGTGGGGAGATTCCCCCTTTCCTGCTTGCCAGGGACATTGACTCCCCACCCCCAGCCTTGGAAGCAACTCTTGAACTTCCGGATGAATTTGCTCATTGGCCAATCGTTGCTGAATGCCTCTTCCTAGCGCTGGAGACACTGGGGGAGAGATGCCGCGTTCTAGTGAGAGGCCCACAGGCCCAGGCGGGCACGTGCAAGTCAACGCATCAGTGACGCCCAGTAAGCCCGCAGAAAGGAGGGCTTCAGGGTGCCCGAGAGGGCTGCTCGGTGTCCCTGTGGGTGACAGAGCAGGAGTGTGCAAGTGTGTGAGTGTGCCAGAGACACTACAGGGAGGGGCAAGCAGGTCAGAGGAGCAAGCGCTGGCCATGGCGCTGTCCCCTCGGCCTCCCGCTACGCTGCCGTCCCTGCAGCCTCCCGCTTTGCCTCCGCCCCTCCATGCCCTGCTTTCTCTGGCCTGTGGGGCTCATGCGGAAGTGCTGGGAACTCACACTCCCCAGGTGAAGCCGGGGCAGCCATGAGCCCTGCCTGGCAAGTGGTTCCCAGGGCCTGGCCACACGACTCCCCTTGGTCTCTCTGGCACCGACCTCTAGCTGTGCACGGTGGCCAGTGGCTTTAGGACACCCTGCTGGTTGCTTTCCTTCCCTGTCTCATGCCTCAACCCCACTGGTCTTTCCAGGGCTCACCTCCCAAGTAAGCCACCATCTGCTTCCAAAGGTGGACACAGGGTGGGGGTGTGGGAGTGCAGAGAGGAAGGATGGGGCGAGGTTGGTCTCAGAGGTCACAGCAGAACATGCCGTTTGGTGTGGCTGGCATGAGGTGGTGCTGGCAGGGTCCGGGCGTGCCCCCTCGAGGGGCCTTGAGTGCTGAGTGCAGAGCCTGCACTAGCCACGGACAGGTCTACGTGGGTGGACAGCCTCTGGTCTTTGATTCAGGGCAATGACTCCAGCAACTGAAGTTGTGAGAATGGCCACACAGTGGGTGGGAGACCAGGACGGGGAGTTTCCAGCAGGAAAACCTTGTTGCTGGAACACTGTCGAGCTGCAGCCTGCACCTCCTCCATGTGCATGGCGGGGCCGAGTGGGTGCCTCAGGCTCTGGGCTCACTGGGCTGAGTTCCCTCTGTGTGTCATCGCATTTGGAATCTGCACCCATCCCAAGGCATGGATCTGCCGGCTAGGGGGGTGGACTGTGAGTGACAACAGCCTGGTGCCACACAGCACAGACCCCACAGGACTTTCACTGGGGACGTCTTGGCCAGCTGGTATGGTGGCGCCGGGCCTCTAGGGTTTTTGCACTCACCCCACCTCCTGTCTCTACGCGCCACCCTTTGTCCCCTGCAAACCGGCCTTCTTCAGGGCACAGTGCTCATGGCAGCCACCAGCTCCTGGGTCTGCAGCTCTGAGCTTCAGCAGCCAAGCAGCTCACCCCCAGCTGTGTCTGATCCTAAAAATCCCTCCGAAGGCACTTGCTGGCCTGGGTTGAGGCTGGGGTCGTTCCTGGGCCAGTCACCAAGGTGCCGAGAGGTGTGGGAGCCACTGTGATGGGCCCGCCTGGAGTTGGGGGTCATTCCTGGCCCAGCCAGTCACAATGGTGGACAGGGGAGTGCTCTAAAGTCACCCACATCAGGATTGTCATTGTACCCAGTTTTCAGAGGAGAAAACTGAGGCCTGGAGAAGTTGAGTGACTCGACAAACTCACAAAGCCAGAGTGTGACCTGGTCCTTCCTACTCCAGAGCCTGTGCCAGGGACCCTGACACCCTGGCTTCTGGGATTGCTGGGAGGCTCCCAAGCACGTCCTTCCTGCTCATTGTGTCGGCTGCAGTCACCCCCTGGCGGCCCCAGGCCAAGGTCCAGGCGCCCCTTCCCTGGGAAACCTCCTGCCCCTCCCCAAGGCTGGGCCCTCCCACTTCTCCAGCCACATCCCTGGACACAGCCCCGCCCAGCCCAGACTCATGTCTGCCTTGTGATGGCTCCGGGGTTTCCTAGCCCACCCGGATGGCCGAGCAGCGAGCCCCCGAGGGCGGAGGCGTCTCCCGGGTCTTCAAATCCAGTCCTGGAGAGGCAGTTGCCATCAGGTCACAGTGAGGGCGCCGCATGGAACTACTTCAGATGGAAGCGCATTGGGGTGAGGCGTGCGCTGGCTGAGGGGAGTCACGGTGAGTCAGGTTCAGAACCAGGTGAGGCAACTCGGGCCGCACGAGTTGAATTCACCCTAGCAGAGGCCCCGGCTGCTGGGTTTCTCTGTGGAGGGGAGGCCTTGCCCGGCATTGGCCCGGGGGAGGTTCCTGGCTGCCCGGGGAGGTGTGCCGAGGGCAAAGAAGTGGAGAAAGGAACTCCCTGGAGTGAGGGGGAGGTCTGTCCCCTGCCCCCTGATGTCCAGTCACCAGAGACCTTGGCCCCCAGCCTCCACGTCCACTCTTGGGTGGGTGCAAAAGTCTCAACGCTGTAGGTGCCAGGACAAGCAGAGGGCCCCAGCTGCTGTCTCCAGGCCTGACCTCGCCTCGCAAATCTAGGCCCTTGATTCCAACCCTCAGATGGGCGTCTCCCCTGGTGCTCAGCCAGATCTCAAATGTAAGGTGTTCCAGACAGAGCCCCTGCGATTCCCCAGAGCCACGTGCTGTCAGCCTTCCCAGCTGGGCGGCCCCGGCAGAGAGCGGCCTCATGCACGAATGGGATTTGCTCATTCACCAAACACGGAGAAAGGAAAGGAGAGGACCAGGCCCGCAGGGCAGCAGGGAGCCGAAAGGAGTCCCAGGCTGGCTGTGTGGGGAGGGAACTCTGGAGGCCGCTGGGCCAGGCTTGTGGGGGAGTGCGTGGCAGGGTCGTGGGGGCCTGGTGCAGGGGGCTTCCAGTGCTGGCTGCTGCTCCTGCTGGTGGCTCCCCATCACTGGTCTCTCTGGTCTTGTCAACTCTGTATGGGGTGCTCTCCTGAGCCCCAAGCCCCACCACAGTGCCCACAGAGATGACAACGTAGCAGCATCACTGGGATCCTCACCCAGCCCTTGTCCCGCAGGGGCCAGTAGCGGTCACAGGGAGCATTCCTCTGTCTCCTCAGTACCCAGGAGGGTTCGCCAGCCTCCTGGGTGCCCTGACTAGCTGGGGCTCCTGTGAGTGCTTAGAGTGGGTGGCTCCAGGCTGGCTGCCTGCCCACCTGTGCATTGGCCAGCCCAACCCTGCAGGACCGCAGCTCCCCGCCCCCATGGCCTGAGGCTGCTGCCCTCCCATTCTGTCCCTCCAGGCAGGGGTCCTCATGGCTCCTCCAGGCCCCCAAAGCTCTTCTGAGAGGGCCTTTCTCATAGCCTTAGATTCTGACAGAGGTTTCCCCAAATGACTCTTATTCTTTCTCTGTCTTCGGCAGTCTTGCTGAAGATCAGGGGGTCACAGAGACGCCAACTGGAGTGTAATCCAGGAAAAAGCTTCCCAGCAGTCAAAAACTGCTCCAGGGCAGAACAGCTGCCCCAGGAAGGGAGCTACTCTTGTCAGAGTCCAGCAAGTATGTTGGGTGGCCCCACGTTGGGTCCAAGGGGAGGAATTCCTGCAGTGGCTGGTGGATGAGACAAAAAGATCAATAAATGGTGCTGATTGGTTTATGATCCTGAGATTGCCTATCAGACCTCAGGCTCTCTGGAGGCTGGAGGGCTTCCTGGGATGGGCTGGGGCCCAGGCAGGGGTGGAGGCAAAGCTCCCATGGGACCCGAGGTGTGGAGACTTTTGGGATGCCCAGTGAATCCCCCAGCCCCGGGGCCCCCAGTGTGATGGGGAGCTCGGGTCTCCTTCGGGAGTTCCGGTGCTATGAAGGACTCAGGGTCCTAGGCTTAAATACGGATATTTCCACTTCACAGACAAGTCCACTGAGGCTGGGGGGACCCTGGGGACTCTCCCCAAATCCTGCAGCATTAGAGCCTGGCTGTAAACTCCGATCTCTGTCAGAGCCATGCACTCCCCCATCGGCCACACCTTTCCCACCTCTCTAGATCAGATCTCTGTTTGGGACCAGCCTGCGTCACCACCTCTCCCAGGCAGCCTCTTCTGATGACGCCATGACTTTCTGAGCTCCACAGCCCCTGAGTAGATGCTTGCGTCTGGCTTCATCCTTTAGCACACGACAGAGCTCATCTCCCCACGCGGGCGCAAGTCCCAGGGAGCAGCTTTCATAATGTGCCACTTACTTCCAGGTGCAGGCGATGACAGGGCTCACATGAGCGCTCAGAAAATCTCCTGCTCCCGCCTGATGGTCAGAAACTGGCCCAGAGCTCGTCACACAGGGCCTCGAGCCCGGGGCCTGGCCGAAATCTTTTGGTATCCTCAGCCATGGCCTGGGGTAGGCCCAGGGTCAGTGCTGGTGAATGTGCCCAGGGCGAGGGGACAATGGGTGCATGGTGACCCTTGCCGGGCATGTGAATGCTGCTGGTTCAGGCAAAGAAAGGGCAGATGAGGTGACCTCCCACCCCCTTCCCTGGCCACAGCCTCCACAGGGCCCCTCAGGGACAATATCATCTTGTCGATGTCCACAGCCCTGGGAGGGGCAGCCCTGGTGCCCAGGGGACACTGGAGCTCTGGAGGTGAAGCAGCTTTCCTAGGGGCAGCCCTGGTCCCTGGGGCCCAGGGACTCCATCCTGCATACCCAACCCTTGAGCTCGTGCCTTCCCCGCTGCCCCACAGCACGGATCCGACTCACACACGGGACTGAGCAGCCAGACGGGTCAGGGAGATGAGCACTCAAGCCTGAGGTGTCTCTGTGCCGAGGCACGCCCCTCCTGGCTCATCCTCGGGAGTTTGTGGTGGGATTCCCACTGTCCCCTGGCTGCCTGCTGCGTGACAGTAAACACTGTTTGGATTCAGAGCAAATTGGCTCTAATTAGCCAGCCACCAGATTACAGCTCAGAGGAGCCAGTGGGAAGGGGGTTCTCCCGGGGGAGGGGGCAGGGCCTGATTAGTGCGGCAGCTAGGCAGCTCTCTCTGCTGGCCTCCCTGCTGGCTTCCACGCCAGCACCTCCTCCTCGCCCCCCTGCCTGAGACGGTGGGGCTGAGGAAGTTGGTGGATGCCTGTGGCAGGAGGGTGAGGGTGTGGGTCTGTGTGGGTGCTGCACACCCAGGAAGCATTCGCCCAAACCAAAGACTCCTCTGGGTACATTGTGCAGCTTGGCGTGGAGTGGACCTTCAGCAGGCAGGCTGAGACCCTAAGGGAGGACAGGAGGGGGCTCACTGCTTTGGGCTGTGTTTTGAGGATGGAAGGAAACAGTGTCACTAGCACAATAAAGATCATCAATGTCACCTTGACTGCCTTCATGCCTACAATCAACTCTGGGAGCGTCACTCTCATTGCTGTCACCACCGCTGCGATGGTTAGCTCCCCCACTGTCGCCATGGTTACCACGTCATCACCATAGTTACCACCATCCCACAACTGCTGTCACCACCATCACCATGGTTACCATCACCTCATCACTCTGGTTACCATCACCCCATCATCATGGTTACCATCTTATCACCATGGTTACCTTCACCCCACCACTGCTGTCACCACCATCACTGTGGTTACCACTACCCCTTCACCACGGTTACCTCTTACCTCTTCACCACGGCTACCAACACCACCATCACCATGGTTACCACTACCCCTTCACCATGGTCAGCTCTTCACCATGGCTACCAGCACCACCATCACCATGGTTACCATCACTTTGGTTACCTCTTCATCACCATTGTTACCATCACTCCACTACTGCTGTCACCGCCATCACCATGGTTACCACCACCCACTGCTGCTCTCACCACACCCCCCCTTGGTTCCCACCACCACAGTTACAGTAGCCATCCCCACCCCTGGGTGGGGTCATGTCCAACTGGTGCTCAAGACCTACTCTCCCCAACCCTGGGTCTTGGAAGGTGGCCTTCCCGGCATGTGTCAGTGAGCTAATTCCTTGGTGGATTCTGCCCATAGGAGGCACCTACAGGAGATGAGGGTGAAAGGAAAGTGGGGGTGGGTATTTGCCCCCAGTTCCCTCTCTGACACGCTCAGCTGTGTCCCTCTGTGGAGGCCACAGCTCCCATCAGAAAGCCCTCTCTATGCGGCCACCATCTCTAGGCTTCGGTAGGCTCTCCCAGCCCCAGCCCCTCAGCAGGTGTCTCCCAGCTGCTGCTAGCCTCAGGACACTTCAGCATCTCTTACTGAGCCTCCCTACCCAGCCCTACCGCTGTAAATAGTCTCCCATGGAAACTCTCTGCGATGACCCCGAGAACCTGGATGGGGCACCTGATGTCACCAGTGAGACATTCCCTTCACCAGGTGTCCCTGTCACCCAAGCAAGCCCATCAGAGTCTCCTGTGGGACTTTCTGCTGGAGACTTGAGGGGAGGCTGTCTCTCCCACCGGGGCTCCCAGTTGAAGGAGGTGAGTGGCCGGCAGCCACTCCACACTCCGCAGGAGGACACGTGTGTAACATAACACATGAGAGACAAGGCACGGTGACCACTGCACTCTGGATCCAGCTGTGCCCCAGCAGCCAATGGCAGGGCGAGACATGGCCTCTTGCTGTCTGCAAGTCTGCTTTTTCCTGACTGGGGCAGTCATTGCTTAAGGAAGAAGCGAGAACTGGCAGGATGGATGCCAGAAAGGGCCTGCTTTCTCTCCCATGGCTTTATAGGGGTCCTGCTGCTCGGGCAGAGAGTCTTGGAAGGTGGATGCTCAACTTGTGATTTACCAAAGAAAGCTGCCCATGAGCTATAGGAGGGTGAGCAAGGTGGCATCTTCTCGCTGGGTAAGAGGGTGAGCAAGGTGGCATCTTCTCTCGGGGTAAGAGGGTGAGCAAGGTGGCATCTTCTCACTGGGTAAGAGGGTGAGCAAGGTGGCATCTTCTTGCTGGGTAAGAGGGTGAGCAAGGTGTCGTCTTCTCGCTGGGTAAGAGGGTGAGCAACGTGGCATCTTCTCACTGGGTAAGAGGGTGAGCAAGGTGGCATCTTCTCACTGGGTAAGAGGGTGAGCAAGGTGGCGTCTTCTCTCTGGGTAAGAGGATGAGCAAGGTGGCGTCTTCTCGCTGGGTAAGAGGGTGAGCAAAGTGGCGTCTTCTCTCTGGGTAAGAGGGTGAGCAAGGTGGCGTCTTCTTGCTGGGTAAGAGGGTGAGCAAGATGGCGTCTTCTCACTGGGTAAGAGGGTGAGCAAGGTGGCGTCTTCTCTCTGGGCAAGAGGGTGAGCAAGGTGGCGTCTTCTCTGGGTAAGAGGATGAACAGGGTGGCATCTTCTCACTGGGTAAGAGGGTGAGCAAGGTGGCATCTTCTCGCTGGGGTCCCATCCATGGGGGCCAGGGAGCAGGCTGCAAGGCTCCAGCGTGGGAGTCTGGGGTGTCTCTGGGTTTGTCACCTGTTACCCGCTTCGTTAAAGTCTGATCAGGAGGCTCTGGCCCACGTTCTGCTGCACTCTCCAGATTCATGGACAAGGTCTTGTCTCCTCACCTGGGCCAGAGGGAAGAAAGTCCACATCGAGGAGGAGGCCAGAGCAAGGAGGAAGAGGAAGCAGGAGGGAGAAGGTCGCTTCAGGGAGCAGAAGACTTCCCCCCACCCCACTGTCATCAGCATCTTCTGAGTACTGAAGAAGGACCTGTGTCTCCAAGGCGAGCCCTGGGTACACCAAGGAGGAGCCGTTAGGAAGCAACATGACAGCCAAGACAAGCCAGTCAAAGCAAGGGACGGAGGCTAAAGTTTAGGAAAAAATAAACAGCATGGGAGCAAACCCCAAGAAATAAGAGAATCAGTTAAGGAAGCCCAACTTTCAAGTTCCTGAAAGAAGGTAGGAAATAGGGAGAAGGAAATTATGAAAGAAATCACATGAGAACTTCCCAGAATAGGACACAGAGAGAAAAGGCCTTCAGGGTGCCCCCAAAAGAGTGGGGAAAGACCAAGCCACAGCCCAGAGTGAACCCAGAACTAAAGACATACCTCCTCCTTTTTCTGGAAGTTGCTCCCTGGAGGAGCTGCCTGTCTTTTGCTCAGAGCTTCCCTTCTCCTCCCTTCTTCAGAGATGAATCCCCTGTTTTCTGGAGTACATGTGTTCCTCTGCTGTTGTTTACTCCCTTGTTTTGCTGAAGCACATCCTGTAGGAGCTTCCTGAGAAAGCCTGCATGGAATGCAGTGTCTGAGAGCCAGCATGACCCAAGTGTCTCCATTCAGCTCACGTGTGTTTGACAGCTTGGTTGGTCCTGTATCCAAGTGAAAGCTCCTTTCCCTCTGAATTTGTAAGACATCATTTTCTAGCATCCAGAGTTTCCATTCCTAGTCCAGGAATCCTTTTTCTTGTGATGTGTTTTTCTATCTCTTGAAGTTTCTGGGATTTCTTTACCTGTGGGTCCACTCTGGGCTGTGGTTTGATCTTTTTTTCTGCAAGTCCTTTCTATCTGGAGACCATTCCCCACTGGGAAATTCTCTAGCTCTAGGGCTGCAGGGCTGGGATCTGAACCCTGGGACAAGCGCCAGCCTGTGTCCCCTGCCCTCCCGAATAACCATCTCTGTCCATGAATCTGTCTAAGAAGAGAGCCTCCAGGAATGAAGGGTGGTAGGTCACGCTCCCACCAGTGCTCCCTAGCAGTTATGGTCTCTATCTCCTGCACAGGATAAAACAACGTTCACAAGGCCAGGAACCACATCATCTCCCTGTTGGTTAGGAATCACGTTTAAGAATGTTTCGTCTTGTATCATCTCTGTTGATCTGGGTGGCGGGGGTTCCTTCGTCTCCATCTCTGAGGCAGGTAGGGTGGGGTGGGGAGTGGAGACTGAGGAGGGCGGCTTGCTGTGACCATCAGCTCATTAGCTGATTATTACCTTGAGACTGCGAAGCTATTTCTTGGTTTGTGCCCATTTTACACTGAGGAAACTGAGGCAAGGAGATGCTCACCCTGTAAGCAACAGAGCTGGGTTCTGCTCTGAAACTTCCTTGGACCCTTACAGTGATGGGGACCTCACTGCCTCCGCCGTGTCCCTGTCTCTCTCTCCTAACCTGTCCTCTGTGTCCCCAAAGATCCAAATTGCCTCCTTTTCCAGGTGACGGGGCTCAGATCTTCCTGTCTGCCTTGGTGAGCGGGGCCCAGGCTGCCTCTGCATTTCCCACTCCACGTCCCGGAGGCGAGGTTTTCCCTCTTGAAGATTCCTTAAGGAGCCCACTTAATATGAGTCCCTGCACCCAGCAACCACAGCGCCTCGGCTTGTTTCACTCTGTCCCGCATAATGCATAAACATTTTAAATTTTCTCCTTGGCTATGCATGAGCGTGTCCTAGAGAAGCAAAGAATAAACATGATTGGGACTATGCTGCCACTGAACACTGCTCCAGAGAATTTGAAATCACTGTCACGTCCGGCAGCTGTCTCTTCTCCTGTACGACCCTGAACATGGCCCTGTGTGCATGGACTAGTCTTCAGGGGCCATCCCTGGCCTGGTTTCCAGCCCCCGAGGGAGGTGCTGAGGGGCCCAGGTGTCCTCCCATCAGGCAGTTCCCGGTTCCACCCCTCCTCCTGGTATCTTTGCTGTCTCCCTGTGAATTTGATTTCCTGCATGAAGGGCAAAAAGATCCCAGCTGGGAGTTCTCAGCAGGGTGTTAAACTTTTTCAGGGTGTGTCCAGCATGCAGATTGGCTGGGTGGCCATGGCCCGTTTTGTGTCAGATACCAGACACGTGCACCCGCACACACACCCGTCTCCCTCTGTGTGGACGGGCACGTGCCCCTTCCTGACTATTCACTCATTCAGATCCCTCCTCCTGTGTCCTAGGGGGCCCTTCCATCCTCCTTTCCAGGTTCTGCCCCAGACCCAACCCATGCAGGGCAGGCAAGCCCCCGAATTGAGGCTGAGCCCGGGAGGGTTCTTGGTCTCACCCAGGAAAGAATCTAAGAGCAAGCTGGTGGTGTTAGACAGCAAAGAATCCAAGGGCAAGCTGGTGGTGTTGGGCAGCAATGAATCCAAGAGCAAGCTGGTGGTGTTGGGCAGCACCTTTGATTGAAGTGTCATGTGCCGCCGCAGCAGAGGGACTGCTCCTTGCAGAGCAGGGCTACCACATAGGCCCTGGGCCCAGAGAAGCAGCTCAGAGGCGCTTCTGCAGTCATGGTTATACCTATGCCCAAATTAATGCAAATTAAGGGGCGGTATGCAGAAATTTCTAGAATGAGGATGGTAACTTCTAGGTTGTTGGGTCATCGCCACGGAGAGGGGTGGTAGCCTCTGGGTGTTGCCATGGCAGCGGTAAACTGACATGGCACACTGGTGGGCATGTCTTACGGGGAGGTGCCTCTGCTCCGAAGCTGTTTTAACCATTCCTTGGTTTGGTCCAGCATCCCAGCCCTGCCTCTGCAGTCCACTTCTGCCTCCTACCTCAAATCCAGTCGCAATTTCTAGGGGAAGGCTAGTCTGCGTTCCTTCTAAAAGCTCCCAGGTGGTTCTCCGGGGCAGGGGTGGGAAGCCCTCACACAAGTGAGCTTAGGAACCAAAGCTCAGTCGGTATGGGGACCTGCAGCTTCACAGCCCTGAAGCCAAGTGACCTCAGTCAGAGGCAAGCAGAGCCTCGGGGTCCAGAGCATCTGATCTCGCCCCGAGTGCCACCTCCTGTAGCTGGGCACCAAACTCAGCCCTCCAGTTCCGGATCAGAATGTTCATTTCCGAAAGCATCCAGGGTCAGACGTAAGCAGCAGCAGCAGTAGGGAGCCCTGCCAGCCATGCCCTCTCCACCCCAGGCGTCCTCCTGTGCCCCTGTGGTCTGGCAGTAGCAGCCATGCAGACTCCACCTTGGACCATTTATCCGCCACCCCTTTGCTGCACTGGGCTCCCAGGGTCAGACAGAGAGGGTAGCTGAGGACTGTCAGCCTGGGCTGCCAGCGAGGGCTGGGAAGGTCAAGGGCAGGGAGGGGACAGGACCGGGTGCTATGCAGGTGTTGGGGGACACGCAGCCAGCCTGCCTCTGAAGCCCAGCACTGCATCCCTCCCAGCTGCCACCCCTGTGGGACCTGCAGTGGGTTGAAGGGTGTCCCCCTAAAAGGCATGTGATATGATATGCCTGTGTCCTCACCCAAATCTCATCTTATAGTTCCCATAATTCCCATGTGTCGTGGGAGGGACTGGGTGGGAGGTAATTGAATCATGGGGGCAGTTACCTCCATGCTGCTGTTCTCCTGATGGAGAGTGAGTTCTCACGAGATCTGATGGTTTTCTAAGGGGCTTTCCCCCTTCGTTGGGCACTTCTGCTTCCTGCCGCCCCGTGAAGGAGGACGTGTTTGCTTCCCCTTCCACCATGATTGTAAGTTTCCTGAGGCCTCCCCAGCCATGCAGAACTGTGAGACAATTAAACCTCTTTCCTTTGTAAATTACCCAGTCTCGGGTATGTCTTTATTAGCAGCGTGAGAATGGACTCATACAGCATGTCTACCCGAACCTCAGAACGTGAAGTTATTTGGAATAAGGGCTTTTGCAGATGTTATAAGGTGAGGATCTCAACATGAGATCTTCCTGGTGACCCAGCGATGGGGGTTCTGTGAGACAGAAAAGGAGACTCAGAGCAAAGGCGGCCGTGTGAAGGCAGAGGCTGGGGTTGGGCTGGCTCAGCGGCAGCCAGGGCATCCTTCAAGCATGGCCGGAAGCACAGGAAGGAGGCCGGGAGCAGATTTTCTCCCACAGCCTCTGGGAGGTGCCAGCCCTGCAGACACCTTGATCTTGACTTCCAGCCTCCACACAGTGGGACAGTCTGGGTCAGCCGTTTGGGTCCCAGGCAGGGGTCCTTCGTGATGAGGGCCTCCTGCCCACCCGCCTTATGTTCTCCAGGGAGGTCCTGGCCCTGGTGCTGTGTCCCCCTCTGCTGCTGGAGCCCGGAGCAGTCTCCCCAGCCCTCTGAGTCCTGGGTCCTGGAGTCATAAGTGGGCCCTGAAGTTCCCTCTGGGGGCTCTGTGTGTTACCCGGCCACTTCATGAAGACTGAAACCTTGGGGACTGGGGCCATCCGGGGCTTTGGGGGATACAGACAGCAACACAGCCCGTGGCGAGCTTCGCCTTGGAGGTTGGGGATAGGTGAGGGGCTGTCCCCGGACTGGTGGAACAAAGCCTCGGGGTGAAGGCACCCACAGAGGATGGGGTCCTTGGGTTGAGCCCTTCTGAATTTTGGAAGGACACTGACTGGTGGGAGAGTGAGCAAAGTGCATTCAGGAAGCGAGTCCTGGTGATGTATCCACTCACGTGTTCAGTTATTCACACAGTCAATCAGTCCTTTCACGGTGAGCAAATCGTCGTGGCCCTGGCGAGATGCGACGAGTGCTTCCCTGCTCTTCAAGTGGGAGATGCGGAAGCGGCGCTGGGAAGAGAGCACGGCCTGGCTTCGGAGCTTAGGTTCCGGAGGAGCGGCTGGGTGGATGGAGTGCTGAGGACAGTCGGGCAAGGCCACAGGTGGAAAGCGCCAGCGGGGCGGGGCCCTCCTCAGATGGGTAGCGAGCGGGACACGGCTTTCTGCGGAGGGCACCTGGGCTGAGCGCTGAGTGACAGGAAGTGAGCCGTGCAGAGGTCTGGGGAGAAGGGCTCCAGGAAGCCAGGGCAGCACATGCCAAGGCCCTGGGGCAGGAGGCCCTTGTGTTCATTCAGGACAAGGAGGGAACAGGGCCTAGGTGTGAAAACATCTGTGACGTGGGGGCTGTGGCTGGCCAAGTCCCGGGCCTGGGACCTCGTCATTGACATACAGTCCAGGGCGGGTAGTGCTCACGGGGCCATGGGAGGGCAAGGCAGAGGTGGCCGTGTCCCGTACCGGGGTGGTGCTGGACCAAGCCCAGGATCTGCCATGGGCGCCAAAGGCCTCTCTGGCCAGGCAGCAAGGGCGTCTCAGGGAGGGGCAGGAGGGCCGGCACCCCAGGCCTGAGTGGGAGTGGGGCTCTGGTCAGCGGGCCAGCCCCAGAGGGCCCCAGGTGAAGGCTGCTGTAGGTTTGGGGAGTACAGCAGTGCTGCTGGGACAGCAAAGGGGAGAAGAGGCCACAGGAGGGCCAGGACCCAGGGGAAGCAGGTTCTGATGACCGAGAGGAGGCACTGTCCTTCAGGAGGTCGGGCCACGGGAGGCCGGCCAGCCCTGTGCAGGGGTGGGGGCTGCCCAGTAGCCTTGTCTTTCTCTCCTCTCTCTGTCTCTTTCTCTCTGTCTCTCTCTTGCAGCCTTTGCGCATGGGCTGTTGCTTCTCCCTGATGTCAGGAAGGTGCCGTCCCTTTCCTCCAGGGCTTCCAGTGCCCCTGAGGTCGCCTTGCTGAGAGCGCCCAGGGTTCATGGGTGTGTGCGTGTAATGTGTGCATGTGTGTGTGTGTGTGTGTGTGTCTGCTGCTGGAGTGTGTGTGTGTGGTGTGTGCGTGTCTGTGTCTACTGCTAGAGTGTGTGTGTGTGGTGTGTGCGTGTCTGTGTCTGCTGCTACTTTGGAAGAGTCCACAGTCTGTGCTGCCTGCACAGTTCAAGCTCTAATTATCAGATATGGTTAATTACACAGAGCTGTCATCCATTTGTTTTTAAGGATCCAGAAACCTGGAGCCTTGGCCATGCTGAGCCCTGATCTGCTATCTGCATTGAAAGCGCTTGGGGACCTGTGATTTCTGGCTCACTTTGGCCAGAAAGGGTTAATTCTGGTGAATGCACAAGCTCTTGCCTAGTCATTCTGGGGCCTCCCAGCAGAGCCCGCTACATGGGGCCTCCTCCAGCTCCTCAGAGGCCCGGCCTCGGGGTTCCTGCGCTGGCTGTTCCCTCTGTGGAACGCTCTTCCCTCAGTGTTAAGGGTGAGACCCCAGCTGCCTGGTTGTGGAGTCGGGGCTTCAGATGGAAATCGAGCCCCAGAGCTGGGAGGAGGGGGAATGCCCCATCTAGGAACAGCCACACCTGGAGGTCCCCAATTCTAATAATGATAAATAACTTCTGTGATGTCACCCACAAATGGATGATGACAGATCGGAACTAAAGGTTTATTTTCCTGCTAAAGAGAGACACTGTCACCAAAGCAAGACGTCACAGGTGGCTGAACTGACATGGGAAAGCTGCAGTCCCTTGGGGTTAGAGAATTCCAGGTCCACGGCTCAGACCGGTTCTGTGCAGAGCCAAATGGCCCGTGCACGCGGGTCCTGGTGGCCTTGGGTCTCTTAGCCTGCACCACGGCTCTGACACAGCAGGTGAGCAGAGGGGGCACCCAGGGTGAGAAAGCTTAGAATACTCGCGGCTGGAAGCCACGCCCCACGCCATCCCGCCTTCAGATATGTCCAGTCTGACCACTTCCTCCCAGGCCTCTGTCCCCCCAGGCTGAGTCCCCAGCATACCTCTCCTGGACTGTGGCAGCAGCTTCTGTCTGGGCTCCTTGGCCATCACCTGTCCCCAGCAGCCAGCGTGCTCCAGCCAAGCATCAGGCCAGGGCTCTCCTGCTCCACCCTTGCCATGAGGGCCACCTTCCCTGGCTCCCTGGCTCACAGCCCCTTCCCATGACCCCGAACTTGGCCCCCACTGTTGACCCCTGGGTCCCTCCATATGGGCCTTAACCATACGGAGTCTACTCAGCCATGGCCCCTGCATTTTCTTCCCCAGCTCACGTGGCCAGTGCCTTCTCCACCTCCAATCCTCAAATGTACCCCAGCCCTCCCCAGCCCCCCAGCCCTCCCCAGCCCCCCAGCCCTCTGGGCAGCTCCCTGGCTGTTTTTTCCACACCAGGTGTCCCCTCTGACATATGAGGTGATTTCCCCACATGCTGTGTGTCCTGCACCATCTGACCCTCTGTGGGATGTCACCTGTTTTGGTCTGAGTGTCTGGAAGAGCGCCGTGTGCTACAGAAGTCCACATGTGTGGTCCAGAACAGAGCACCGCCACCTGCAAAGGGTAGACGTTTCCCGTTTCTAGAGAGGGAGGTCTGGAGTGAGTCTCTGAGGCCCCTGCAGGGACTGTTCTAAGTAGGTAGCTGCCAAAGCCACTCCCCTGCTCAAGAACCTTCTATGGCTCCCCTGGACTCACAGAATAAGGCCAGAGCTTTCTTCCCGGCTCAAGGCCCTTCCCGAGCCTTCAAAGGAACTGCTTAGGCTTGCCAAGCCTCAGCTCTCTCATCCATAAAATGGGGACCAACACCACCCACTATTTACTGCCCTGGCCCCACCTGAGCCCCGGCTCTCCAGCTGTCCCCACCCCCACCCGGGGTGCTCCTCAGACTGTCCTGCCGGACTGGCTGTGCCCTCCAAGCTGCAGCCGCAGACATTTCTGCAAACTCCATTCACTTCTCTGGCGTCTCCTGTATCCGTCTGTCTTTTCTGAGCCTCAGCTGGAGCGCTGTCTTTCAGAGGATGCTGCCTGGTTCTCCGGCCATCTGTGGGGCAGCTCTCTCCGCAGCTCTGCACCACGCCTGGGCCCCTCAGCCATTCTGTGCTAAGCCCGACCTCGGGGCACCACACGGGAACCCAGAGGAGCCAGGGTGATGCAGGGTCTGTCCTGACTCCAGGAGCCGAGAGTCCCGTGGATTCGGTCAGGCTGACATTCCTCACGGCTGCGTGCAGCGTGTCCTGGGAGCTTCACAGACATGAACTCACCGAATCCACACCTTGAGCCTCAGGCTGCCAGGCCTGGTGGACGCTGCCAGTCCGCATTTCACAGATGACAGAGCTGAGGCCCGGGGAGACGAAGCAATTCCTTGGAGCGGTGGCTTTCGCTTCCCCAGCCGGGCAGTGCCCTGCCCCCTACTCAACCTGCCTGTCACCAAGCCTCTGCCCAGCATCAGGCACTGCCCCAGGCACTCGGGACTCATCCATGTGGGAAACAGGCAGGAAGCTCTGTCTTCATGCAGCGGACGGTTAAGCCTGCGCTTCCTATCTCTAGAGCCACCATGCCATTGATTGGCCAAATTGGGGTAGTCTGAGACTGAAAGTGTTGCTAGTAATACTTATGCAGGGAACAGATGCTGGTCAGAGCTGCTGCCCTCCTGATCTCCCAAGTAGCTGGGAAGCTCCCGGGGCCAGACTGCAGCTGGCCCTCTCGGTCCCTGTCCCAGTGCTAAAGCCAGCATCAGGCTGTCTCTGCACGTCCCTGGCTGCTTACAGGTGGCCTGGTTCCATCAAACACGGAGCTTTGCAAGGGCTGCTGCGGCCTCAAAGCCCAGTTGCCACAGTTGATCCATTCGCTGTCCCAGCTGCTCCGTGGAGAGAGAGTTACCCTCCAACATGAACTGACTTATGCGATATGTCAACACGCCACCTTGGAGAATAAAGCAACTCCTGCAACGCCACTCTAATTACTCTTCTCAGATGAGGTAATGATTGCTAATGTGGGCTGGATCTCATTAATTAACTCTCTGCCTTTAATTAACTTCTTGCCTATTTCACCTGACATAATATATTATCACAAATGTCAACTTTGCAGAATGTTTCCCTCTTGCAACAAAATAAGACGCGTCACATAAACGTTGCATCTTTGACACCGTACCGGACAGAAGTCTTTGGTAGGAGGTGGACGGGCCACTAGTGCAACACGAAAATGTCTAGATAGAATGTGGAGTTTTCCAAACATCCACTAAGAATTCATAATTGTAATCAAATTTGTTCCTAATCACACTACTGTGACTTTTTTCTATCCTTCAAACACACTGCTAGCAATAAACATAACACCTGAAAACAGCAGTGTGATTTCCTGAAAGAAGAAAAACAATGGGATTCCATCTCCACAGCATGGCCTCCGGAGAGCTGCTGGGCACAGGAGGGAAGGTGGGGGCCGGCCCGGGGGGTTTCCTCTTCTCTTTAGCTTGTTTGGACGACAGCACCCTGTGGCTAGTGGCTTCTGGAGTCTCCAGCCCCAGCTGCCGACACCAACCTCAGCACAGCCCAGGAGATCTGTCCACTCCAGGGTGGAGGGAGGCTCATCACCGTGGTGGCTGCTGGGGACACCCAGAGGTCCCAGCCACTGCCACTACCCCTGCTATGGCCAGCACATCCCTGGGCCCCGTTCTCTCTGCTCTCCTGACCCGGCTCACCCCTGGCTCCCCTGTCACTGCCGGGATTCCTCATCCCTGTCTATCCCTTTCGGCTGCTCAGCCGATGCCCCAGTTACTTGGGAGTGGGCTGAGGTTGTTTTCCCTGACAGCGAGGCCTGGGGCTTCCGCCTCTGCATATCTCAGGACCTAATGAGGCCTGGAGCACCTTTAGGCCCCGGAAAAATATGGGACTGTGGGCCAAGAGCCACGCCCTGTCGTGTCAGGCTTGTCGGCTATGTGGATGCTTCAGCCCGGTGGACTGACAGCCACAGAGCGAGCCGTGGAGGGTCCCCACAATGAATGTAACCTTTTGGGGGTTGGGGCGGCAAATTCAACAAGTCCCTGTCCCTTGCGGCTGGAGCACAGGTAATCAGTTTGGCTGAGTAGCAGCACTGGACTTAATTTCATACCTCAGTGGGCATCAGAGGAGACACAGGGCTGTCACAGAAGCCTTTGTTTAGCTGAGCCCAGCGCTGCTCCCTTACATGATCTCTGCGGGGGAGCTTCTGAGTGTTCCCACATTGACGTGTCCCCTGACTCTTCTCTCTGCACTGCCTACGTGTGTGTGCACACATCACAAACACATACATCTCACACATAAGCACACACAGTACATATGCAGACATGCAGACACACACGCACACATGCACACACAGCACATACACTCCCACACATGCATCCACACGTGCACACGCCTGGCAGGACCTTCACACCTTGGAAATGTGCGAGGACAGGGCCCTGTGAGGAGTCCTGCGGGAGGTGCAGGGCTGCCGGAGCCGGGACAGCTGACCGGCTGCATACATTTGGCCAAAAAGTCCCTTTTCTGGACCTTAGCTTCCTTGTTCTTTATTTGTTTTGCGTCCATTTCTCGAAAACTAAAAGCTTCCCATGTGCAAGAGCGTGTGGGGCCTGGTGAGACCCCCAGTCTACAGGGCTGTGGGGAGCATCAAGTCCACAGCTGGTGGGCAAGCCGCTGCTCCCTCTGTCCTCTCCATGGGCACGTCAGGGCATGACCATGGCTCCCTCTTAGCCCTGGGATGGGACTGCAGGGCTGGGCCGGGAGGATGGCTCGGCCAGAGCCCGGGAGATGAGGAAGAGGGGCCCACATTCCACTGCTGGAGACCTGGGGGGGCACTGGTGGCAGGCGCAGACCTCAGCGTGCTGCTGGCTGCAGGGACTCTTGTGGGGGATGGCAGAGTGCTCCCTGGAAGCTGTGGGGGGTGGCAGAGTGCTCCCTGGAAGCTGTAGGGTGGTGGCAGAGTGCTCCCTGGAAGCTGGGGGGGTGGCAGAGTGCTCCCTGGAAGCTGGGGGTGGGGGTGGCAGAGTGCTCCCTGGAAGCTGTGGGGCAGAGTTCAAGTCTCAGCTCCCCCCCACAAAGGAGAAGCTTTGGTTCAGAGGTGCCTTGGTTCAGAGAAAAACGTGTTCTTGGAGCCAAGTGGATGTGCATCTGGCCCTTGCCTGTGTCCTTACCACGGCTGGGTGGCGTCTGGTCTGCAGCCTGTCGCTCCCTCCCTGCGTCTGGACCGCACTTCACACTCTGCCCATGCTTCCTGCCGGAGGAGGCAGAGCGCTTTTTCCTGAGTCATTGACACTGGGCTCAGCCTGTGAGTGGCTTTGACCCACAGGCTGTCAGGCATGACGGGGTCTGTCCCTCGGCCTGGTTGTCGGGCTTGGCCTCCACACCGTCGTCATGCGCGGAGAGAAGAGCCAGCCTGGCAGCCGCGGGTCCCACGACAGAGACAATGGGGTGGACCTGAGTGCACAGGGGCCTGGAGGGAGGGCCGGGCTCACCTGCAGACCTGGGAGAAAGGAAGCTTGGTCTGTTGTCATCGCAGTTTGTAGGTTACTTGTTACAAAGCGTCGTCATAGTGGAAGCCTGCCCAGCACCCAGCCTTTTCTGACACTGAGCAGATAATTTGACCTTTCTGAGCCTGAGCTTCTGCATTCAGAAAGGGAAGATAACGCGGCCCTTCTGGGAGAATTACCTGTGATTCCACAGGAGCCCGGCCCCAGCCGCAGCTCAGTGCTCCTGGGTTCTCCTGAGAGCCAGTCACTCCCTCCAGCTGCCAGCCCAGCTTAGAGTCCACAAAGGACCCTTCCACGCACGATGCCGCTCTATCCCAGCAGGTACCCGGAGGCAGTCACTACTGCAGACGAGGACGCCGAGGCACAGAGGGCGATGGGGGTCCCCAGGGCCACACGGCTGGTGGGTGGCAGCAATGGGTCACACACACCGGTGTCCCCTGTCCTGAGCCTGTGCGTTGTTTCCTGTTCCGGGTTCCCTCCGACTTTGGGATTCCGTGTTTTTCTCTTGGCTACAATGGATGAAGATGTGTGTGGGGCCCGACAGGTGGACGCAGCCCCCGGAGCGTGTCCCCAGGTGAGATTCCCAAAGGGCTCAGGGCTCCACGTGGGGCCAGGTCCCTCTCCAGCCCCTTCCTGTTTGGGCTCCGAGGTCCGTGTAGTGAGTTCCTGGCCTGCAGCTGCGCTGTGAGTGGACAGGCTTCCGTCTGCAGATGGAGGAGCTGATGGACCCCTGAGGGCCTGAGCTGCTCTGGGTGCTGGGTCTGGGCCTAGGCGTTGGCAACCCAGCTCCTCTTTCTGAAATCCCGCTCTCCTGCTCCCTCTGCGGGTCTGGGTGGGGATTCCCAGCAGGCACCTGCCCGGCATCTGCCCCTCTCGCTGCTTCCAGCAGGCCGTGAGCTGGCTGTGACCGCATCGGAGTCCATCTGCCTGGGGCAGCGGCGTCATTGTGGGAATTAAAGTCTTATGGAACGAGAAGTGACAGGCAGGTGGAGGGAGCTTGTCCAGGTTTTGGGCAGTGGTGCGTTTGGGCTTCATGTGTCACTGGCCAAGACCCTTAGGGACGGTTTGCTTGCCGGAACAAGAGCAAATCCAGCATCTCCCTGCCCTGGTGGCTGGAACAGCTCCTGGGAGGGGTGGGCCGTGCCACTAGGCCTGGCTCCCAAGGGCTCCTCTGCTTGTCCTGTGGCTGCGAGGCCCGACTGTCTGAGCCCACCGGGCCCATCCACCCTCCTGCTCTTTTCCCAGGATGTGTCCTGCCTGCCTGCATCCCACCCAAACACCCCAGGGGCCCTCACTGCTCAGGTACAATGGCCTCGCTCGGCAGCACCGCCTCGAGCCATAGACGCCACCCAGCTTCTGTGGCCTCTGCATGTCCAGCCCTCTCTGCCTGCCTCGTGGCCCTGCTCAAATCGATTGCACGTGGGCTCCACAGCGGGGACAGCCCAGGGTCTCAGCGCACACTGTTTGCTGCGCCCGGCCCTCTCCTGGCCTGCGTCCCCCGCAGCCCTCGGCCCATACACTGGATAGTGTGGGGTGTAGGGTGCAAACGGATTGGCCCTACGGGCTGACTGATTGATTGTGGCTGGCTGCAGAGCTGTGCTGGGAATGACTCTTGAGCCTGCATCTGAGCTCAATGGGGAAGCTCCATGCTCAGCATATGCAGGGGACAGGCCCCACTTCCGGCCATGTCCTCCTCACCTTTTCAGGATTGCCCCATCTTAGTCGGCAGGTAGACTAAGTCTGTTTGCAGACGGCACCATCCCCCACAGGAAGGAGGAGCAGCCTGGGGCTCCCCTTGAGGGACTGAGGCTCTGGGCAGGTGGCTGGGTGTGCCTGGCACACGTACTCAGCACAGGTCCTGGTGTGAGGCAGACTCCTGTCCACTCATTGTGTATCTCAGACCCCTCTGTCGGGGTCTCTGGTCCAAGGGTTCAATGCATTTGGCCACACCTGGAGATCTACAGGAGGGAGAAGAGACCCCTGTCTCCCCTGTCTTAGTGTGGTCTCTTCCTCTCTCACTTTCCCTCTCCCTCTCTCCCTCTCTCTATGTCCCTGTCTCTCTCTCTCTGTGTCCCTCCATCCCTCTCTCTCTCTCTCTTCCTCTCTCTCCCTCTCTTCGTCTCCCCCTCTCTCTCTCCCTCCCTCTCTCCCTCTCCCTCTCTCTCTCTCTTTCTCTCTTTCCCTCTCAGTATCTCTCTCTCTTTCTCTCTTACCCTCAAGGTTGAAGCCTCCTTGTCCACGGGCTGCCTGTGGCCCTCAGACACAGTGTTCCATGTTGCTGCGGTGTGGCTTTCTTAAATTCAGCTTTTTGCACACTCCAGGAACAGACTCGGAGGCCCTCTGAGGTCGTCCTCCCCACTCCCATTCTCCGGGCCCCGGCTGCATCTGTCCAGTCCCCGTGGGTGTTGTTTCCACTCCCCGTGTGCAACTCTCAGGGCGCGGAGACAGGACGGTGCAGCTGACAATGGCGTGGGCTTCACTGGAGGGAACGCGGGGAGCAGAGAGCCAGGGCTCCCACTGGGGATGGGCAGAGCAGGTTCCTGGAGTTGGGGAGAGGTTGCCTGTGCTGGGCCTTAGCAGAGACTGAGGCCAGCTGGAGGAGGAGGCCCAGGAAAGCCCTTCTCACCCTGGGGCCAGCGCCTGGGGCACAGTCAGCGGCTCTCTGCTGTGGGTGGAATTGTGTCCCTCCAAAAATTGATTGGCGTCTGAACCCCCAGAACCTGTGAACAGGACCTGAGTTGGAAGAGTCTTTGCAGATGTCGTCAAACTAGGGAAGCGGTTGTACCCTAATCCAGTGGCTGTGTCTTTATAAGAAGGGGAAATCTGAACAAACGCAGGGAGTGCACCAAGTAGCCACAGATGCTGAGACTGGACAGTGTGTCCAGGAGCCAAGCTGAGGATGGCCGGAAGGCGGGGGTGGCCTGGAACAGATCCCGGCCGGAGCCTCCAGAAGGGCCCACCCTGCTGGCACCTTGCTGTCAGCGTTCTGGCCCCCAGAGCCGGGAGACAGTAAAGACCTCCTGTCAGCTACCCAGTTCGTGGCACTTTGCTGTGGCAGCCCCGTGAGACAAGCCCACCCTCCCGGCCGTGCCGAGCACTCCAGCCCTGCCAGAGCCCAGGACCGTGTGCCTCCTGGCTCCCCGCGCCTGGCCAGTCACCGTGACCCCAGGGACACCTGACTCCACAACACCTGCTCCATGGCTCCCACCGCCGTCCCTCTTCCTCTCCTGCGAGCTGACCACTCGCTCTGTGCCTGCTTCCTGCATATGCTGGGGCTCTTTCTGTCTCACTGAACCCCTGAAGCAGCTTCTGAGAGAGGAGCGGTGCCCAACTCTCTTTGCTCATCTGCCTCCAAGAGGTGCTGTGGGGAGGGTCGAAAGGGTGGCAGAGGCCACCCAGACTGCCGTCTGTCCAGTTCCCCATGTTCCCTATCTGCCCTCTCCCCTCAGGAGATCCCCTGCCCTGGGCTGAGACAGGCGTGGAAGGAGGCACCTGGGGCCGCCTATCTGTATGGGCACCAAGCGTGGCTGCATGCGGGAGGCGGCTCCGCAGAGACGTGGCAGACCATCTGTCATGCTGGTCGCCACCTTTGTTCATGGAGCAGATACATACCCAGATCTGACAGCACAATATCATTGCGCCGGATGGCTCCCTCAGATGCCCAGATAAGCTGTCGATTGGACCGGGCCCCCAGTCTCTCTCTATCTGGCTTTATTTGGCCATAATAGTGGGGAAGATGCCGTTGGTAACGACCCGTGACAGCTGCTATATTGATATTCCCAGTCTTGGGGAGAGAGGGAGGAAAAGAAAAACAAACACTTCATAAAAGTATGATTGAAGATTAATAGTTGTCTGGTGACGATTCACAACGAAATAGGCCATAAAGAGATTACTTGTCTGCAGAGCTGACTCGCTCCCGGCGCCAGGCTGCGGAGACACTCCTGCTCCCGAGTTGCAGAGCTGGGCACCCGGGAGGGCCTGGGTTCCTCTGTGGAGGGCTGAGTGGCACCCAGACAAGCGCAACCATTTCGGGTGCTGTGGGCCAGGGTGCTTGAAAGATTCCCAGCTGGAGGAGGGTAGATGGAAATCGCTTTGGAACTATTTATTTATTTATACTCTGCCGTGTTCCAGGAAGGATTTAAAAAGGCTTAGAAATTGCTTTGTGTCAGAAGCCCCTGTAATCTTCCCGGCTCTTCCCCAGGTGGACACAGGGGATCTTACAGCGTCAGTGTCGGGCCGGGGAGGCCGAGGGAGGGAGGGTCGGGTCCAGGTGGTTGTGCTGACGTTAAGGAACCTGGGTCCCTCTGAGTTTAAGTGACATGCCCCGTGGGTCAGGGGATAATTGAGTGGGAAATTGGGGACTGAAAATCATTCATTCATTTGCTCATAATCTTGCACCTTATGTGAACTTTGTTCATCAGAAGAAAGTGAGGAGACCACTTACGAACTTGGAGAAGATATTTTCTGCAAGCGTAGTGAAGAAGGATCCACGCCCCAGTGCACAGGCAGCGTCACGCAAAGGGCCCCATGGAAGGAAGGGCAGGAAGAGGCTGAGCTGCTCCGCAGGGGAGACGCAGCCGGGAGGGCTGAGACACACTCCCACCACCGGCGGCCAGGGAGGGTGCGTCAAAGTCACGGGAGATGCAATTACATCCCTTTAATTGGCAAAAACGACAAATTGGAAGGCAGATGACCTTGGGTAGGGGAGCAGGAGAGCAGAATACAGGAGCTGGTTCAGTGCGGGCTGCCGGTAGCACACAGCCCCACAGCGCTGGCGGGTTTATGCGAGCTTATTACTTATAAACAACATGCTAAGGATGCGTGTTAGTTCCCTGTGGCTGCCCTAACAAATTATGACAAAATGGGTGGCTTAAAACAACAGAAATGTATTCTGTTATGATTCTGGGGATGAGAAGTCTGAAACCAAGGGGTGGGCCAGGCCTTGCTCCCTCTGAAGCTCCCACGAGGCTCCCTCGTGGCCTCCTCCAGCCTCAGGGGACCCCAGGGGTTTCTGGGCTCTGGCTGTCCCCTCCCCCATCTCTGCCTCTGTCCTTGACCCGGGCGTCTTCCGTCTGTGTGTTTGTGTCGTCTCTGTCTCATCATGACGCCCGTCATTGGATTCAAGGCCATCCTGAATTCAGGATAATCTCCAGATCCTTCTCTTAACTACATCTGAAAAGACCCTTTTTCTCAAGAAGGTCACATTGACAGGTTCCAGGGCTTAGGACATGGCCTTGTCCTTTCGGGGACACCACGCCAGCCACTGCAGTAAGGAGGGAGTGGGTGAATAGAAGTGGGCCTGGTGTGAAGGTCATGAGCATCTGTGCCTACCGAGGCCTGGCATGAGCCTGGGGTCCTCTAGATAAGAACACAGTGGAATGCCGATGGCGCCTAAAGCTGGCCTCCGTGGATGGGCTCCGTGGGCTCACAGGGCCGAGTGAGGAGATGGCCTCCTTCTCCTAAGGGGCTTACGACTGGAACACTGTGCCCAAGACCACCCAACCAGCAAGAGACCCCCAGGCCAGGTGGGCAGGACTCCTAACCATGAGGGTTTCCCAGTCACAGCTGGTGCCTCTGTGCGTTAATAAAACCCAGGCCCCAATGGGGAGGCCCCTTCGTCGGTGGGGTGTGTGGGGGCTGAGCATGCATGTGTATGTCTGTGTGCGTGGGTGTGTGTGCATGGACAACACATTAGAATTCTAAGAAACCAAAGAAGTCCCAGCCTGAGAAACAGAGTCCCCTGGCAGTGAGCTCAGAGAGGCCGAGGGTGGCTCTGAGTCCCCATGGGCATCACGGCTCCCAGGGTGGCTGGGGCCCTGGCCTCTGGGCAGCACCTGCTAGCTGCCTGCCCTTTCCTTGCTGCTCTCATCTTCATCCTCCCACCCCTTCTCATCCATGTTTCTTTGTTCTCCTTTATGTATCTTCATAAGCTGCCTTAAATCCTTTTTGAACAAGGCAGGGAGTAAATAGATAAATAAATAAAAATCCCCTTGCTGCAGATCGTAAACCATCTTTCCGAGGCCCTCCGCTTACTCCAGAAGACACTGCTCATCACTCCTCTGACAGCTCCCATCCAGGCCCCGGCGCTGGACACAGAAAAATCAGCAGGCTGAGGGAGCCGGTGTCATCGTCCACCAACATTTACAGAGTGCCGGCCGGGTCCTCTGTCAACGCAGCTGCAAGGGAGGCAGCACGACCCCGGTCCCTCTCCAGCAGCTGGGGACCGGGGACCCTGGGAGCCCCTGGGGGTGAGGCCGGCGGGGTTATGGGGGCTAACCAGCATCCCTGGACCATGCGCTCTGCACGAACTGATGTGTGGGGAGGCCTTGGAGGCAGTGGCCCCTTGCCCACTTTCCTGTGCAAGAGATTCCAGGTGCCCCCCACCGCCAGCACAACCCACTGATTGAGTCCCTGTGATGTGCATGACGCAAAGCCCGTGTCTTGGAAAACGTTTGTTTTAATTGTGTGCTGTTTTCATGCTCTCACCTGGCCTCACCTTCCCCCAAGCTGGGGTCCTGAAGAGCAGGGACTCCGTGTTGCACGCTGGGGCCCATCGGGTTCCCAGTGCAGAGAAGACATCCATCGGTGCTCACTATTGATTGATTGATTGATGAGAAGCCACAAAAAGGCACACTGCTGAGTAGAGGCTGGACTCAAAGATGGGCAAGTTTGCTTCACCATCAAATGGACCAGGATCGTGGTGTGTGTGTGTGTGTGAGAGAGAGAGAGAGTATGTGTGTGTGAGTGTGTGTGTGCGCACATGGGCTGTGGGTCTGGGTACTTCACCAACAAATGGACCAGGATTGTCGTGTGTGTGTGTGTGCGCACATGTGTGTGTGCACACATGGGGTGTGTGTCTGGGTACTTCACCATCAAATGGACAAGGATTGAGGTGTGTGTGTGCATGGGGGTGTGAGTGTGTGTGTGTGTGTGAATGTGTGTGTGTGTGTGCACATCGGGTGTGGGTCTGGGTACTTCACCAACAAATGGACCAGGATTGTCGTGTGTGTGTGTGTGTGAGAGAGTGTGTGAGTGTGTGTGTGCGTGCACGTGCACATGGGCTGTGGGTCTGCATACTTCATCAGATGGACCAGGATTGTGGCGTGTGAGTGTGTGTGTGTGAGTGTGTGTGCACGCATACATGGGCTGTGGGTCTGGGTACTTCACCATCAGATGGACCAGGATTATAGTGAGTGTGAGTGGGTGTGTGTGCACGTGTGTGTGCACATGGGCTGTGGGTCTGGGGCAGGCAAGGTGGAATCATGTCTTAACATCTGCATTGCATCATTTTTGTTCTTACACAAAGTTTTGCTCTTGTCAGTGACTCAGACACAAATCAATAGCCAGCTCTGAGTGCAAGTGTGCAAGTGTATGTGTGTGCACGCACGTGCGTGTGTGTGTACTGGGGGCGGGTGATACGAAATTATCCAAGTGCTGCCATGACCATAGGGAACTCCGTCTGCCCCGCTCTCTGCCCATCCCGCCGAGGCAGGTCATATTTTAGAGGTAGGAGGAATCTGAAAATAAATCGTGTTGCCCATGGTCCTTTACTGTGATGAATGGCGCCTCTTCTGTACAAGCTCTCACCCCCCTCTGCCTTCCCATCCTGCGTTTTCACAGTTTCGTGTCAGAATTAGGATATTCTTGCTTCAAGTGAGCGATAGAGAGAGGATATCGGGGCACAGGAGTAGCCGGAGCTCGGCTGCCGTATTTCCCATGAAACGACACGATTTATTTCAGGAAACGCCGGTATATTTTATGCGCTGGGGTCACGGCTGTCAGCCACATCATGGCTGGACACATACACACGGGTTGTGCTTGGCTGAAGGTGCCAGGACTGAAGAGATTAGATTCCTGAACATGCGCGGCGTGGCCAGAGCCCAGGTCAGTGGAGGCCCGTGGAAGAAGTCATCGGGAAGATGTATGTGTGGGCGGCCGTGGGTCTGGATTTGGGGCCGGTCCTGCTGCCCGTGGGATTGGCTTTGGTGAGGAAACCCACGGTGCTGTAGGAAGGACAGCGGGTGTGGGGTGGACACTGGCCTCTGCCCCAACCCTGTTGGGACCCTGCTGTTTCCTAGGACAATTTCATCCGTGCCCCTGTCCCTCGGTTTTCTCACCTGTGAAAATGGGATGTCAATGCTGACTCCAGTCTTGTCCACGGAGTGGTGCCGCTGTAGGGACTCAAGGCTCACGTGTTGTAAAGCACAAAACGCTGTGGGAATTCAAGTGATTAACACGAGGTCATTTCCTCCAAAGATATTTTTAATCATTTTTATGCAGAATGAGGAATAATTGATGACAATTTAAAAACCCACACGCATTCATCATATCAGCGCGTGAGATAAATTAATGACGGGAGCGGGAGCCGGGATTCTGAGAACTGGGGTTCCGCTGCTTGCCCTGCTGGTCCTCAAGTGGGCGGCTCTTAAAACACCCGTGAGCCGCAGCTTCCTCGTTTGTGAAACGTGAGTTAAGCCTGCAGTTCGGGCCCATTGGCTTCACGTGGATCGGGGCTTCAGCGTTCGCCTCGGGGGATGGTCTGCAATTCTTCTACTCAAATGGAAAACCCTGGGAGTCAGGCCCCTGACGCTCTTCAGCCTCTGCTCCAATGACTCCCCATTCTCACCTCCCCCACGGGGTCTTCGAGGCTGGTCTCCACCGCTGTGTCCAGACCGGCCCCATTCCTCCCACCTGGAGACAGACAGGACAGTTCCGAGGAGACCCACACGCAGGGAGGATGCCCCGCACAGTGCCTGGCAGGTGAGGGAGGTTTGCTGCTGCAGATGGGGCTCCTGCTTACCTCATCCATCTTGGAAGGACGCCATCCCCTCACTCAGCCCTGTGAGCCCACCCACGGAGGTCAGCTTTAGGCACCATCGGCATTCCACTATGTTCTTATCTAAAGGACCCCAGACTCATGCCAGACTCATCATCAGCCAGGACAGAACGCCAAGCCGTGGAGGACGGTCCAGACGGTGGGTACCCCCAATAAACCAGAAGGAGCACAAGTAAGGTGGGCAGTGGGCAAGGCCAGGATGGGGTCCAGGTGGGGCCGCTGCTGAGTGGCACAGCTCCTGGGAAATCTCCTGGGCTCTGAGCCTTTGTTTCTAAAATCTCTAAAATGCAGGTTGAGGGTTGAACTGTGTTTCCCCAGGAGACGTCCAAGTCCTGGCCCCCGGTTCCTGTGAATGTGACCTATCTTTGTAGATGTAACTAGGTTAAGATGGGGGTCATACTGCATTAGGGTGGCCCCTAGTCCAATGCTGGTGTCTTCACGAAAAGAGGGAGGTGTGGGCACAGGGGCACACAGGGAGAAGGCCTGTGAAGATGGAGGCAGAGATCGGAGCAAGGCGTCTGTCTACAGGCCCAGGGGTGCCAAAGGCGGCCAGCAAGCACCGAAGCCAGGAGAGAGGCCTGGGAGCTCTCAGACCCTCCAGAGGGCCCAGCCCTGCGAACACCGCCATGTGGGACTTCCAGCCTCCAGAGCTGCAAGAGGTTTTAAGCCATCAAATCTGTGGTACTTTGATATGCAGCCCTAGAGGGCTAATACACAGGCTGTGAACCCCAAGCTCACGGGGCTCCCCTGAAGGCTGAATGAGACTGCACAGGTGAAGCACTCACCCAGGGCCCAGCCCACTGTGTTGCTCAATCCGGGTCGCTTTCGGCTGTGAGTAGAGCCAGCAAGACCATCATAGGAAGCTCAGCCTCCCTGAGGGTGGTGATGGAGCATCTCTGGGACCGCAAGCCTGTGGAGACACTGGAGGAAGGGGCTGCTCTGAAGTCCCTCCCCAGTGGGGCTGTCTTCAAAAGGCTGGTAGCGGAGCCCTGTGCTCTAGAAGACTGGACACCAGACCGGGGCCTCCACCTTCCTCTTTCATGTGTCTTATTGGCATTCATCCACAATTACTCATCACTCAAAAATTTACTCTGGGTCAGACATAATACCAGGAACAAGGAGAGAAAAGTGCTACCGGGTGCACGTGCAGTCTAGCGGGGTCACAGAGATGGAAGCAGGCGACCTTTTCATTACATGCCAAGCGCAGTCAATGAAATATACATGAGACTTCACGCAAGCCGGAGCGGCAGGGGAAGTACCTGGAGGAGAGCAGGGACGAGCGGCAGCAAGGCCAGCCTCCTGCGAGCCAGGCCTGATGCAGCAGCTCTGGGCTGAGTGCTGGGTGCAGGTTAGAGGCAGCTCACAAGGGGCTTCCTCACTGCAGCAGGGAGCCAGGCTGCACCCTATCCATCGGTAGGGCTCCAGCTGGCTGCTCACCACAGTCAGTGGGAGTGTGCAGCCTGCAGATCTCCAGCCCCTGCCCTGCAGCCTCCCAACCCATGGCATCTGGCCATCAGCGGGGCGGGAGGGCCACCAGTGGAAGATGGCGGAAGGATGTCAGACTTTGAAGCATTCTACAGGGTGGCGTCGGGGGCTTGGGATGCGGCCCTGTTTGCATTTTAGAAAGAAACATTTGGGGAGTTACGGAGGGTGGAGGAGACAGGAATGGATGCAGCCGCTCTGTTAGGAGGAGTCTCTGGAGTTCCGGAAGCAGCAGGGAGTGAGCATAGCCTGAACGCAGAGTGGCCAGGTGTGGAGGTGACTGGAACAAGAAGGAGAACTGGGAGGAACAGTCATGCCTTAATTCGCTCGCACAGCAGTGCCAGGGAGAGACAGAGAGGTGCTCATCGTCTCCTTCTCCCCAGAATGGCACCAGGAGAGGGTGAGATGACATGCAGTGTCGGTGGGGTTGAGGGGCCATCTCACAGCCAAGGAGCCCACATAGAAGGCTCCTGCCCCTCCATGCCCGGGGATGGGAGGAGAGGGGAGGGCTGGGCCTGGGAAGCACTGTGCCAGCGTCGCAGACAGGGCCCAGCCAAGGCCCTGATGAGGGGGCCTCGGAACGGAGGTGCCTGACCGGGAGTGCAGACACGTGTGAGAGTGTGGCTGGCCTGGGGTCCTTGCTGCAGCTCCCTGCAGAGCCGGCCAGGCACCGGCCTGTGTGAGAAGAGAGGCAGCCCCCATGGTAAGGCCTACTGGGTAGAGCCTGCACAAGTTCCTAGAGGTGGGCCTGGAAAATCACACAGGATTCTGGCCTGGAGCTGAACTCTGCAACTCCTCGGTCAATAGCGATGGTTATTTGGGCCTGTAAATGGCAGCATTGGTGATCGACAGGTGTGGATGAATGGAGATCAGTCACGGAGGAACTGGACAACTCATGTTTCCAGGCTGGGGGGCAGGGGAACCTGGACCACCTCATGTCAGATTCTCTCACCTGGGCTATGGACATGTTCTGAGTGATTGTGCCGGCTGAGCAGGCAGTGGTCAAGGAGACAGGTGAGGGCCGCGCCCATGTGGCGGGCGCGAAGGAGGAGGGCAGGCCGTGAAAGCAGCGTGGCATGAGGGGCCCAGGGACATCAGGGTGGCCATCTGGCATGTGGCCACCTGCTCCGTGAATCGGAGGTTGGACAGGAGATCAATGCTGAGCAGTAGGAACACAGGGACGATGTCTCTCCACCTACGGGTAGATGGAGCCACCCAGGGCCGTCTCACGGGTGGGGATGACCTTTGCTGTGTGTGTCACCCTGTTCCTTTCTGTGGCCGCTGTAATGAATGACCACAAACTCACAGCCACGCGGATGTGCTATTCTGTCTCCCGGCTCTAGAGGTCAGAAGCCCGCACACCGGTGGGGGGTGCAGGGGGGACTCTGCCTGGGCCCCTTCCAGCTTCTGGAGCCTGGCCACTCTCTCTGGCTGTGACCCCTTCCTGCGTCACCCCGACCTCTGTCTTCTACCAACACAGCCCCTACTCCTCTCTCTGCCTGCCCTGCCGCCCTCTTGTAAGGACCCTGGTGATGACACCGGTATAAGTTCTCCATCTCTGGGTCATTCTTTCCTGGGGGCCATCCTGCACATTGTAGAATTTTCAGCAGCAGCCCTGGCTTCTACCCACGGGATTCTCATAGCCCCTCCCTCCAGTCATGACAATCAACATTGTCTCCAGACCTTGCCAACTGTCCCCTGGGGCCAAAATGGACCCTAGGCTGAGAACAACTGACTTAGATCAGTAATTTCAGTGATAGTGGCACTGACGTTGAAGCCACTCTCCTGTGTGAACCGCTCTTTTGTGCTTTAAAGACCCGATGATGAGTGTCCACAGATGCGAGTGCTGCTGCGCTCTGGAGCAGAGGGCCCAGCCCGTCCCATCTCCGCCTACAGGCCTGGGTCCCAACTGCCGTGAGCTGCGGAGTAGCTGTGGCCTCAAGATGTCTCTGTGGGATCTGGAAGGCCCTGAAGGAGACACCTCCTGCCTTCCTCAGCTCCCCTGTGGGGCCTCCCATGTCTTCTGTTAAAGTGTTTCTTCTGTCTGTTTTCTTTATTGCTTTCGAGTTTTAGTTCTGTTACCACGTCTAGTGTCTTCCATCGCTGGACTTTCCTGTCTGTCTGATCTTGGACACATGTCTGGTGGAAACTGGAAAAATGCATAAACTAAGAATAACTAGCATGTGTTTGAGGGCCACCACTCCCATTCTGAGGCTTGGACTTTGTCACCTCCTCCTGGTCCCCAAGTGCGTTTGGCTGGGAGAGGCAGACAAAGGGGTGGCCCCTGGAGAAGGAACTCATAAACAAAATATCCTGATCATCAGTAGTTAAGTCCAAATACTTGACAATAATTCCCTGATACAAAATGTCCATGCCTCCTGAGGGTCCTTTGAAATTCTGGGTGGAACAAAGACATACATAGCTTTCCCTCTTTTCAGGAAGAGGAGCTGGGGGGGACAGTTGGAAGGTTTCTTCCTGTAAGACAGATGCCAGTTCTCCAGTGCTGGGGTGACATTAACAGACTTGGGAATACTGCCATAAGGGAATTCTCTTTTTCTATTCCCTAAGCAGAAGGTAACATTTGCTCATTCTGCTCAGGTTAAATTGCCATATTAATTATTCAAAAGACTTAATGCTATCAAACCAGAATCCGTGTACCGGATCCAAGGGGGAACCAGAAACAAAATCAATGGGTCCAAAGGCCTTGACAGCTCATGAATAATTAACTCTCCACCCCCTTGAAGCTAAACAGAAAAAGAACAAACAGTTTACATGATACAGAGAAAAGATAGATGATAGAGAGAAGGGCAGACAGACACATAGATAGATAGACAGGTAGGTAAATCGATAGATAGGTAAATGGACGGATGGATAGATGGATGGATAGATGGATAGATAGATAGATGGATAGATGGATGGTTAGATAGCTAATTGGATGGATGGATGGATGAATAGATGGATGGATGGATGGATGGATAGAGGAATGGATGGATGGTTAGATAGATGGACAGATGGATGGATAGATAGCTAATTGGATGGATGGATAAATGAATAGATAGATGGACAAATGGTTAGATAGATAGATAGCTGGATGGTTAGATAGATAGATGAATGGATGGATAGATGAATGGATGGATGGTTAGATAGATGGATAGATAGATAGGTGGATAGATAGCTAATTGAATGGATGGATAGATGGATGGATGGATGGATGGATGGATGGACGGATAGATGAATGGATGGATGGTTATATAGATGGATAGATAGATGGATGGATACATAGCTAATTGGATGGATGGATAGATGAATAGATAGATGGATGGTTATATAGATGGATAGATAGATGGATGGATACATAGCTAATTGGATGGATGGATAGATGAATAGATGGATGGATGGGTGGATGGATGGATAGATGGATGGATAGATGAATGGATGGATGGTTAGATAGATGGATAGATAGATGGATGGGTAGATAGCTAATTGGATGGATGGATAGATGAATAAATGGACAGATGGATGGATGAATAGATAAATGAATAAGGGATGGATGGATGGATAGATAGATCTATAGATAGATGGAAGGATAGAAGGATGAATGGATGAATGAATGGATGGATGGATGGGTAGATGAGTGGATAGATGAATATATGGATGGATAGATATAGATAGATCTATAGATAATGGAAGGACAGATGGATGGATAGATGGATAGATATAGATAAATAATAGATAGATAGATAGATAGATAGATAGATAGATAGATAGATAGAGAGATAGATGATAGATAGGCAGACAGGCAGATAGACAGAGAGGACCCTGGCTTGAGTCCAGCTGCATCTCTCTTTGTCCTGAGACCCCCTTAGCTGTGGCCATCTGTGTCAGGAGTCATAGCACTACTTGGGTTAAAAGTGAACATAATTTCATGCGTCTTTCAGCGTGACCCTGAGGGGAGGGACTGGGCCCTGCAGTGTACTGGGATGGGTTTCGTGCCATCTATTTATATCCAAATCAATTCTAAGTTGGTTGCAGAACTGCCTAATCGAATCTGTTGTCCTTCATACATGCAGATGAGACACCTGACCCCTGTCCTCGTCCAGGCCTCCTGGGAGAGCCCAGACCCTTCTTCTTGTGGCCAGAGAGCTGCAGGGAAGGCAGCATGGTGCTCCGGCTTGCTCAGTCTGTGGCGGGCCTGTCGTGGTGCCTCTGTCCCCTTCTGACTGCCCCTGGAGGTCGAGGGGAGCAAGGCAGGGCTGGCCTTGCTGGGAAGGCTTCATCTTGTCTGCTCAGAGACCAGGCGGAAAACCTACTGGGCTCACAGCAACTGACCCTGGGGCCCTCTCAGGGGACTCTCCTCTCTAGGACCCAGGAGCCCCAGGAGGCTCTGTCTCCGGTTCACCCAAACCTCAGGGTGCCCTAGTCCCCTGGGGCTCACCCTGCCCTCTTTCTGCCCTGAAGCTGCCACACCCACCTGGGAAGCAACAGGGTGGGAGGGATGGGGGCACTCAGGGGACAAAACTGTGTCCAGCACAGCCTGTGCAAGGCAGACGTCTCCCTGGCTCAAAGCTGGAGCTGAGAACAGTCCCAGGCACCAGCCCTGCCCAGCTCCCTCCCTCTGTCCTCCTCCTCCTCCCAAGCTGCAGGTGGCGCAGTCAGAGCTGGGTGGTGTTGGGGCTGGAGGCGGGAGGGGCAGCTCCCCATGTGGCCTCAGGCACCTGCCCAGGTTCTCTCTGCTTGGGCTTCCGGTCTTCAAGCTCTGCTTTCGCCCAGTGAGCCTGGGCTTTGGATGTCTGTCTGCTCGTGCTCATTTCCTCTCCTTCCTCTCCCTCTGTCCCTCCCTTCTTCCTTCTTCTCTCAAAGCTGTCTGAGTGTGTGTCAAGCACCAGGCTGGGATGGTCAGTGGGAGGAGATGATGGAATGTCTAGGGCATGGTGGGGACAGGCCCCTAGACCAGTGGCGTGGCCAGGGCAGATGGAGTGCATGCAGGCTGCAGCTCCAGGAAGGCCGAGCTCCCCGCCTCCTCTCTGCCGCTCTCCCTCCATGGCTCCCCCAGCTCTTCCTTCCTCCCTCTCTTCTCATTCCTCCCTGCAGCCCTCCCTGGGGCACTGCCTTGGAGCTGGGAGGACAGACCAGATAGCTATAGCCTGTGGAATTCTTGAGCACGGCTGGAGGATCAGCAAGCAGGGATTTGAATCCTGTGTCTGGCAAGACTGCCCGGGAGACCTCCTGGCTCACCTCCTGTTGCCCCCAGTTTCTGCAGCTGTGAAATGGGAATAATGACTGTGCTCATCTCAGGGAGCTGCTGGGGCCCCAGCAATGACAGCGATAGTAACAACAGCATGATAACAAAGCCCTGCAGCCCTCAGCCCCCGGCCCGGCCAGGAGAACATCCCTGGGAGAGCTGACATTGTCCGGTCCTTATTTTCACAGATAATGCATCATTGACAGCCGTGGATCTGCAGCTTGTCCCCGTGACAGCCCCTGCAGCATCAGCAGACGAGGGACCTTGAGGTGGACAAGGAAACACAGTCCTGAAGAAGCTGGTGGGCCCAGGCCTGAAAAGCAGAGGTGGCTTCTCCTCTTTAGCCTGGTGGCAGCAGGTGTGCCCTGGTAGTCACCGTGAGCCTGGGTTTTCGGCCGCTCCCATCCCCTAGTGAGGTCCTTGTGTGCGGAGGGGAAAGCTTTAGGGAGGGTTTGGCCTCCCCAGGTGATGGGGTGTAGGTGGTGGGGCTGGGAGTTGTCAGACCCCAGACCCTCTTGTTAGCAATAGGCCGTGCTCTTGAATCAGGCCTGATGTGAAGGACCTGGTCACGGTGGGCTGGCAGGATGGCCAAGGCATTTTCTGTTGTTTTCTGTTGGGCTCCCACAGACCAGGGGTCAGACCATGAGCCACACACCCCGAAGATGCTCGGAGATGGTGAAGGTGGCATCGCAGAAGGCCAGGGCTGCCCTGGGGCTGAAGGATGGCAGAGCCTCCCGCTACCCTGTTGGGAGCTGGGAATCGGCCATTCCTTCCCCAATTCTGACCACGGAAAGTAGCCCTCAGCCCGAACTGAGCTGCAGAATTCCCACATCACCCACGGGAAGGTTATGATTTCCATTTTAATTAGAAACACTTGATTACACTCCTCGCCCATCCCTTCTCCTCTCCCCAGCTCAGGGCTTTAGATAGTGTGTTCACTGAACGGGCGCCCTCGGGACCTTGCCGAGTGGGACAGTCCCCTCTCTCCCTCACCCAATGTCTGGGGCTGCCCAACAGTGGTGAAAGGTGCTGGGAAGGCACGGCAGCCCTGGGAAGGAGCAGGAAGCAGGACAGTGGGAGAGTGCACTGTGTGGCCCTGCGAGGGTGGACTGCAGCTCCCACCCCCTCACAGCCCGCAAGTCCTGCGGGGACTGCATGGAAACCCCCCTTATTCTGGGGAGCACGTGCTCTGACTCCCCTGCTTTAGGGTAGGCCCAGTCTGCGCACCTTGGAAGGAAACCTGCTGATCCCATTTTTTCTCTTTTTCCCCAGCACCAGCTGTGAAAAGCCAGTCAAGGACACCCCGTGTGGCAGAGGCTGCTGCACACTCACCGAAACCATTTCCGCTCTCCTGGGCTCACAGCGCAGCCACATCTGCCCATCCTTTGCGGTGGGTGTGGCTGCGCTCAGGGCAGCGGGTGGGAGCGGGAGAGGAGAGGGGCACACACTGAGGTCTGAGAATAGAGAGGCACAGGAACAGGGACCTGGCACACAGGGACAGAAGAGGGGGTGAGAGCGTGGTGGCAGGACGGAGCATGGCAGGCTCACGGGCCCAAAAGGAGGTAGCGTGGCAGGAGGGGCCTCCTCCCCACCATCAGTGCGCTTGTGGAACGAGCCCTCCTCCAGGTCCTCGAGCTCCATGGTCTGAGCTCTGACCTCCCGATGAGGGTCAGGACGGTGGAGTGTGGGGAGAAAGAGCCAGCTCTGGGTGCAGACCTGGACAGCTCCGAGTGGCCCAGGCAGGCACCAGCCCTCCCTGCGGCGAAGTGGCCATTCACCCGCAGGCACGGTGAGCAAGCTCTGAAGTCAGCTGTGCCGTGTGCTGGGCTGCAGAAGCTCTACGTCCTCTAGAGCTGCCCTAGCTTCCCAGCCACCCTGAGGCCTTTCCACCTGCCTGAGGGGGTTTCGTGGGGTCCCCTGGGTGGCATCTGGGAAGCACTCAGCTGGCTGCACTCCTCCGGGCCCTGCCCTTCTCCAGAGAGGTCCTGGGCTTCCAGGGCCCGCGCTCCTGCAGGAGGACAAGCAATGACCCCAATAATTGCTCTCCAGCCCCAGGCAGTGATGAATGGACCCAGAAGCCGTGCAGTGCTGGGAATCGATACTGTAATATCTTTATACCAGCGGCAGAGGATGAGGTGAGGAAATGCCACAGCCTTTGAACCTCCCTGGCAGTCTGTGGAGCCACCACGCTTGGGCCTGGGACTGCCAGGAACTCGTGAACGTAGCCTGGGAGGGAGGGTGCGTGGAGAAATGAAGCCTCCTAGAGCGCAGAGGCTGCCTGGAGGGCAGCACAGCCCCTTCACCCGTCCCTGTGTGTCTCTGAGCCTTGGTCCTCTTCATGGAAGATGTAACAGGCTCTACAGTAGGGCGGGCCACAGGTGCATATTACAGGGTGACCAGGGAGCTGAAAGTTGGGGGGTCCAAAAGTGCTGCAGCATCAGGGGCCTCAGACAGAACGGTGAGACTCAGGCCTCTGACCGGGCCTTGTTCTGCGAGGGGTGGCATCGTTGATTCGCAGGAGACTCTTGTACGCTCAAGGTCACACCTCAGGTTGGCGTGGGAGCCATTTCTCTGAGCTGTGCTTCGCTACCGAGAGGGTGAAGGTGCAGGCAGCCATGCCCGTCTCTTGGGTGCCGTGGCGGTTGAGGAGGTTCTGACCTTGCCTCCCAGGGCACGCTGTGCAGGGGGACTGAGAGGGCCCTGGGTGGGCACCTGGACAGTGGGACTCTGCTCCAGGGGCCCGTGCGTGCCTTTGAGAGGAAAGCCAGAACACTCGCCTGCAGCGGCAAAGCATCCCTCCCGATGCTCTTTCATCTTTTAGAGCACCTCTGGTGAGAAATTGACTTCTTTACCATTGCTCTGAGACGAAAATAAATGACGTTATTTCCTGGCTCATCTTGTGAGCAATGTTTCCTTCTCTCAAAAAGAAGCATCACTGTCTCCTCCTGTTTCCTCAGCTGCGGGGTCACTCATTGGTTCAGATAAGTCATCCGTGATCAGACGCTGGTGAGCTCTCCAGGCCCAAAGAGCTGGCAGGGGCCTGCTCCCCATCTGTCTGCGGGCCGGTGCCGCAGTCGCCAGCACCCTCTGTGGGCAGAGTCTGGGCTCTGAGCGGAAGTGTGGGGGTGCTCTCTTTGGAGAAGGCAGTGCCTAGCTTGAGGGCAATGACACAGCTCCTGACCTCATGACCTCATCCAGGCTGATAGGAAAGACAGCCCCTGATCTGCTGGTCAGAGGGAGGAGACATTGTGTCAGATCTGCTGGTCAGATGGAGGAGACGTAGTGACAGATCTGCTGGTCAGAAGGAGGAGACACAGCACCAGATCTGCTGGTCAGAGGGAGGAGACATAGTGCCGGGTCTGCTGGTCAGAGGGAGAAGGCATAGCACTGGGCCCGCTGGTCAGAAGGAGGAGATGTAGTGCCGGGTCTGCTGGTCAGAGGGAGGAGACATAGTGCCCTGTCTGCTGGTCAGAGGGAGGAGACATAGTGCCAGGTCTGCTGATCAGAGGGAGGAGACATAGTGCCAGGTCTGCTGATCAGATGGAGGAGACATAGTGCCAGGTCTGCTGGTCAGAGGGAGGAGACATAGTGCCCTGTCTGCTGGTCAGAGAGAAAAGACATAATGCCCCATCTGCTGGTCAGAGGGAGAAGACATAGCACTGGGCCTGCTGGTCAGAAGGAGGAGATGTAGTGCTGGGTCTGCTGGTCAGAGGGAGGAGACATAGCGCCAGGTCTGCAGGTCAGAGAGAGGAGACATAGCACTGTGTCTTTCGGTCAGAGGGAGGAGACATAGTGCCGGGTCTGCTTGTCAGATGGAGGAGACATAGCACCAGGTCTGCAGGTCAGAGAGAGGAGACATAGCACTGTGTCTTTTGGTCAGAGGGAGGAGACATAGTGCCAGGTCTGCTTGTCAGATGGAGGAGACATAATGCTGGGTCTGCTTGTCAGAGGGAGGAGACATAGCACCAGATCTGCTGGTCAGATGGAGGAGACATAGTGCTGGATCTGTTAGTCAGAGGGAGGAGACAGTGCTGGGTCTGCTGGTCAGTGGGAGGAGACATAGTGCTGGGTCTGCTGGTCACAGGGAGGAGACATAGTGCTGGATCTGCTGGTCAGATGGAGGAGACATCACACTGGATCTGCTGGTCAGATGGAGGAGATATAGCACCAGATCTGTTGGTAAGAGAGAGGATACATCTGCTGGTCAGATGAGGGTCACGCAGACCCACTCAACCTGCTGATCAGCTGGGGGAGATGGCATTCAGTTCTGTGTGGGTCCTGAGTTGGATAAGGAAGGCAAGAATCTTTTCTCCGGGAGTCCCCGGTTTCCCAGGGAAACCACAGGCTTCATGGAGGGTGGTGCTTAGCCCCACCAGGGATTGGAGACTCATGGCCCCCACCCTCCTGGTATCCTGCGGTCAGATGGGAAGGTCAGTCCCTGTCCATGGAAAGGAGCGGGGATGGCACCAAACACAGGAAATCAATCGCTGCTTCAAAGACAACTACCACATGCCAGGGTGCAGAGGAGGCAGCTGGCTTGTGTGTTGGCTCTGGGAGAGCTGGGAGGCTCTTGGCCAGCTGGCGGGAGGGGGAATGACGAATCTGGCCCCAGGTGTCTACTCTGTCACTCGTGCTGAGCAACTGCGCATCAAATGCCTGGGTGGTGACTTGGCATCCAGGCTCTTTGCCCTGGTTCTGGCCCAGCTGCCTGGGGACCAGGAGGAGCCCCGGAGGAGAGGAACGTGAGAAGTTGGGATTGGGAAAGGAGTGGAGTTTGGGGGAGACCTAGGTTACATCTTCAACAAGCATTCAGTTCCAACCTACCAAGGGCATCCAAGAACTAGACAGCCCTAACCAGCCAGCCCCTCTAGAGACCCCAGAAGACCCCATCCTCAGGAGCACAGGCCAAGGCTCAGGGCACCGATATCCCTCCAGGATGCGGGTATGAGCCAGGGCCTCTTCTGCCCCGAGGCCTGGAACTCTACCAGAACCCCTGCGGTTCTTGGACCTCCAAGGGCAGGGGAGAGGGAAATGGCACCAGGTGTTCTGAGAGGCCCAGAAGCCAGAACAAAGGTTGCTTCTGCTGCAAAAAGCTGCTCACAGTGCTTCCTGGGTGCAGAGCCATCGTTCCTGGCACTGAGTGTCTGTGTGGCAACCCTCTCTGGCCTAGGGCCGCTGTGGCCCCAGTCACAGTGAGCAGCTGGTCTGCCTGTGCTTGTGGGGTACTGGGCTTGCAGGGTGCGACAAGAAGGACCTTCCCCCCTCCGCAGAGCCCGTCACTAGGGTGCACGTACCTGTGCACTAGAGTGCAAGGTCGCTGGGTTCAGGACCCTGGCCTGTTTTCTCTGTGCCCTGCACAGATGCCTTACCCACATGCCTAGCAAACATTTCTGGATGAGTAGGGAGAGATTACGTAGATCCCAGCAGGGTCAGCCTCGGGCCCAGTTCACTGGCCAGCCCAGGGGGAGAGGATTGAGGGGGAACAGGGCAGAATAACCAGCACAAAATACAAGGGGACTCATGGTGTTTCCCATGATTTAGATCTACTTACCATTTGTTCCATTCTTCGAAGAGAATAACCCTAACCCCCCAGTCTTTACCTTTGTGATGGTTGGAGCCGTTGCCCCTCCTAAGTGTGGACTGAGGTCCTCCAGGGGCAGTTGGGACCTTCCTGGGACCTTCCTCCCAAGGTCAATGCAAGCAGTCCATAGTAGGTATCGAGAAACCTCAACTCCCCACATGAGTGAGGATCAGGTTGCAAGAGCCAGCCTCGAGTATCCAAATGCTCTCTCTGCTTTTTGGCCCATGCTCACGGTCAATAAACCTCCTAGACGCCTTCCCGGGAACGTGAGCCAGCATTGATCCCTCTCCTCCTGAGTGCTCGTGGCATCTCGATTTCTGCTGCATATGTACGGGCAGGTGTTTTTCCTATTTATTTTGCTCTCTAATTTCCTGAGTAACCATCTTCCTGCAGGATCAATGTCGGATTCATCTGACTGTGACACCTGGCACAAGGCCTGACCTTTTAGGAAGTTACTGAATGAACGAGCAACTCCTGTAGCTTCGGCTCCCAATAATACTGAGAACGGCGGGCTGGGAGGGCATCGCTCTAAGCCCACAGGAGCTGGGAACTCTTCGGTGTGTGCTCTTGACAATGGTGCACGACTGGTTACTATTCTCAGTTGGTGTGTTTAAGGCATGTATGTGAAGCTGTGGGGCCTTGCTGAGATCACACAGCCCCGGCAGTTTGGCCGCAGAGTCTGCGCTTACTGAAAAGAAAAAAATTGAATCCAACCCAAGTGAGCTGGTTTTGTACGCTTAGGTGTCTGTAGCAGAAAGAAAAAAGTCAGGTTCATTCTCCTTAGAATAACAGAATCTCATGGAAATACGAGGCATTAGAGGCCAGCTGGTCCAAGGGATGAATTTCATAAGGAGACAACAGAAGTCTTCAGCAGATGAGGGGAGGGGACCCTGTTCAGCCATAAGCAGGAGTCCTGGACTCCTCCTGCCTGACCCCGGCCAGCAGCAGGGCCCGTGCTACACAGGTTGCCGACAAGATGAGAACCTGAAGGTGCACGGAGCCTCAAGTCAAGCCAAGCTGGGGACATTGCCCTGCCTGCATTTCTACAATGAGTTGGTCCTACTGAGTGTTGGAGCAGGTTTGCAAATGTGGCTGGATTTCTACAACTCAGGAGAAAGAATGCAGTCAGCAGGTGCACTTGCTAGGCTCTGGTTCCTTGTATGTGATGGATAACCCAAATACATTGGGGTCACACTTCCAGGTAAGCCAGGGGGAATGGCAGGTCTGGAACAGAGGCTCTGGAACCTACTGCTGGGCAAGACCCTCAGGCATGGCTTGTCCAGCGTGTCTGCCCTCCAGCTGCATGCAGGGAGAAGGGGAAGGGCAGGCACCCTCTCTTTCAAGGGCATGACCCAGAAGTTATCTGGTCACCTTGGTTCCATCCTGAGGATCAGAGCCTGGTCACTCCTAGCCCCAAAGAGGAGGCAAATCAGGCTTTTGTTCAGGTGGCCCTGTGTCTCCCCAAAATTGAAAAGAAGCAGAGAATGGATACCGGGGTGCCAGTCTCCCCAAAGCATCTACCAGAGAAAGGATGCCAGGGCGCCAATCTCCCTGCAGCGTCTACCAGCAGGTGAACGCGATGGAGGCTGATGTCCCCGAGGGCTTTTCCAGAAGGGTTTTCACTCTTTTCTTCAACCTCATCTTCCTCACCTACCACCTTCTGCGCCGTTTGCTTCTCCGTATTGTTTTAATCAATTCTCACAGTGGTGCAGCCAGCTCGACAGGACCCAGGGCTTCACTCAGTTTGAAGTGGAAGAAGCAGTCCAGGGGCCATGGCCAGGCCAAGGTCAAGGCCCTGCAGGCTGGGAGAACCAGACATTCCCTTTGGAAGGCTGTGTCCTCCTGTGGGCTGGAGAAGGTAGCCTTGCCTCACCTCCAGGTCCCTGAAACCTCATGCCACCTGGAGCGTGTGCTGGAGCGTTGCTGAGCTGTTGACTCCGGGCAGAGCCTGCTGCTCCAGCCTTAGCCTTGCATAGTCCAGGCTGCAGAGAGCAGGCCTGGGTGCCGAAAGTCACCAGCTGCCTCTCTCCAGGCCCTGCTGTCCTGTCACCTGCCGTCTCTCCATCCTGCCAGGCTCTGGTCCAGGGCTTCTCACTGCCTCCTTGGCAGCACCGGTCCCGGCCTCTGCCAGCAAGGGGACGGCAAGCTGAAGAGGGACAAAGGAGGCCTGACCGCCACTCCACCCTCTCGGCATGGGCCCTGCAGATGACTGACCTTTGGTGATGGAAGGTTGTGGGTGACCTCAGCTTCTTGTCCTCGGCAGGGAAACTGTGGTTGGCCTCTGAGGTCCAGATCTCATCACCCCAGAATGTTCTCTGGTCCCACGTGTGGGGTTAATAGCACCCCCACCCTGCTCTGCCATGCCTGTGTCCCTCTGTCTGCCTGTGTCCCTCTGTTCACCTGTGTCCCTCTGTTTCTGCATGGCCACACCTGTGTCTCTTTGTCCCTGCATCACCATATCTGTGTCCCTCTGTCCTGCACCACTATGCCTGTGTTCCTGCACCACCACGCCTCTGTCCCTTTGTCTGCCTGTGTCCCTCTGTTCTGTGCCACCACACCTATGTCCCTCTGTCCCTGCACTGCCACGCCTGTGTCTCTCTGTCCACAGGAAGAGCCCGGCCAGAGGAAGACTTTCAGGTTAGACTTGTGAAAGGGGTGAGTGCGCAGATCACCAAGGGATTAACGAGGGCCCTGACCTGGAGGGAGTGGGGGGATTCGACTTAACAGGCACAGAAGAGGCTTCCCATGCCCCCATGGAGTTTCTCCTCTCTGCTCTGAGAAGTTCTCCCCAAAGGGCCAACCCTTGAGTCCCCGGGCTCAGCTCCTGTTCTGCCTCTGGCTAGTGGTGGCCTCCATCCATTCATGTCCCCTTCTCAGAGACACCGTGTCCTCATCAGAGAAAGGAGGATTCCACAAAATTGTTTCTTAGGCCATTTCCAGATGTGAAGACCCTTCCCAGATGGAATGGCCACCTTGTCCCCCCAGATAGGGCAGGTGAGCTAGAGCCTTTTGAGGGACCAGGGGCCATCTCCCACAGCTGCCTTGGAGGGCCCCCCGTCCACTGTCAATGTGAGAGCCCTGGTGGTGGGTGGTGAGTGATTGGGTGGTGACCCGCAGGCCTGGTGTTCATGCGGTAGCCACCTGCCCCGTCAGTTGCTGGCGTGTGGCTCTGTATTGGAAGCAGGGCCAGGCTGGGAGAGGAATGCAGATTTCAGAGTTCGAGCCCTTCCAGGTGCTCGGGCTCCGTGAAGGCCCGACGGCAGTGAGGCGGGGAGGCCGGCCTGTGTCCAGGGAAGCAGGGGCTGAGGAGCAGGGGTAGGGGAGCCCCCCGAGATCCTAAGTGCAAGTCACAGGGACGCCATGGCTTCTATGCGGCTTCTGTTTCTCAAGATCTGTTAGCTGTGATTGATCCTAAATGCTGACATTTCTCTGCCTGCAGCCCGGGGGAGACAAGGGCAGCTTGGTCCCCGACAGGCCTTGTAGTTCTAGGCTGCACCTGGACTCAATGCCTCTTCCTAGGGGGACGGAGCTGACTCTGCAATGTTTAGCCACATACCTGGCCTTGGCGTATTGAGCTGCTGAACTCCGCAGAGCATGGACCCAGCTCGGGCTGTGGGACTCGGGATCAACAGTGCTCCCCTGGCGAGGAATCCCCAGGACAGCCCAGGGCAAATGCTCAAAAGTCCTGTCACCTGCTACTTCAGCTGCATCTTCTCACACCATTCTGTTCTGTTCAGCACGACAAGGAAATCACATTTTCAAGAGAGCTTCCGTGTTATCAGAGAACAGCAAACCACCATAAACTGTGGCTCTGTTTCCATCGTGTCACATGGCCAGCTGTCAGGATGGAGTAGGTGTCCCTCAGCCATGGCCCTTCCACGCTGCGTGCCCCGGGGGCTATGAGCTGGCACTCCCCTGGCTTCCCTGGGCAGCAGTATGGCTGAGGGTGACAGTCGCCTTGCTCCCCTAGCACTTGTCCATCCTCCACACCCCACTGCCTGTGCTGCCCGGGGCTTCCCCGGGACTGAGCTCACCCAGCTTTACTGAGGCCAGGACGTGGGCTCCAGGCCTGGGGTTTGGGGAGTCTCCCCAGGGGCCCCGTCCCTGCTTAGGCTTGATGGGTGCTTTTGATCCCAGAGTTCCACACTCATTACTGAGCTGACTGGATGCCCACACTGCAGCAGGTCTGTGCTGTGGCAGGAGGCAGGCTGGCTCATGGCTGTGTCCTAGGGCAGACTAGCAAGGAGGGGCCCGAGAGACAGCTGAACAAGGCAGGGAGGGCAGTGCTGGCGGTGGTGCGGGGAGGCACCGGTGCTTCTCAGAGAGGCCAGCAGGGGCCTCGGAAGGCTGGGAGGTGTTTGAGAAAATCTGGGGATGACAAGTGCTTGTGTCTGGAGGGCACCTGATGGGGGACGTGAATTGTGCACCTGTCCAGTGTGTAGGCCTTGTGCTCAGGAGAGACATGCTCCCAGATGGACCAAGCTCTGAGCCTGGCCCTGCCATTGGCTGACCCTAGAGACCCGGGACAGGCAGGTGGCTGAACCAAGGGTGGCACCTGCCTCAGGAGGATGCCACGTGAATCCTGCAGGAGATACAGGGTCTGGCAGAGCTCAGTAAATTGAAGGACTATTTTGGCAGTTTATTTGGCATATTTGGCAATTGAAGTAAATTACCACTGCCTTGGAGCTGTATTTTATACACTGGGTTTTCTTTTCTTTTCCATTTTTGAGGCTGGTGTGGAGTGGGTTCTTGGCTCACCGCAACCTCTGCTTCCTGGGTTCAAGCGATTCTCCTGTCTCAGCCTCCCCAGTAGCTGGGATTACAGAATTTTCATATTTTTAGTAGAGACGGGATTTCGCCATGTTGGCCAGACTGGTCTCAAATTCTGGGCTTTAAGTGATCTTCCTGCCTCTGCCTTCCAAAGTGCTGGGATTACAGGCAGGAGCCACTACGCCCGGTCTACTGGGTTTTCTTAAAATGGGGCTCAGACTCAGCTGGGTGGGGGGGCGGTCCTAGGTTGCTGGTCCAACATGAACCTGCTGGAAGAACAAGCTGTTTGCTGGCTGATGGCAGTGGCCAGGACCAGGCAGGCACGGCCCATGGGTTGGCGCCATGTGGTGACCACGTTAAGGTGATCACAGCAGCACACCAGCTTCCAGGATTCAGAGAGGTGCTCCATCTGCCCCGGCCTGCTGGGTCACTGAGTTTACCCCTCCATCCATCGTGAATCCTTCAGATGTGGAAATCAGAGGTACACATTAGTGGCGTGGCAATGGCCAGAGCGTGCAGGCACAGGTGGACCTAGGCTGAGCACACGTGCACAGCTGTGCCAGCTTCACCCCGTGTTGGGTGTGGTGGAAGAGTCAGGGGCGTGGATTGGAGTCCCGCTCGCTCCATGCTTGCCCTTTGCCGCCTCCACCCAGTGCTGTCTCCCCACGTGTTTTGCTCCTGTTTCCTGGGCTCAGGTCCTTCTCTTCCTGGTCTACATATCAAACTCATTCTTTGAGACCCATCTCAAAGTCTTCCTCCTCCAGGAAGCCCTCCTTGACTCCAGGAAGAAGCAGCCTCTTCCTGCTTTCCATTGACCCCCCTGGGTCAAGACCCCGAGGGCCAAGTCCTGTCTCCAGCTCATCACAGTTCCAAATTCAGCTCAGGAGGCATCCCCCAAGGCTGGCCAGGAGAAGCTGGTTGCCTGGACAAGTGGAGACAGCAGCTGTGGGTGACACGAGGGCCTCACATGGCCCCATCTGTCCGGAAGGAGGAATGTCTGATGGCTGGGATTTTCAAAGTGTATCTTTTTTTTTTCCGAAGTCTCACTCTGTCGCCCAGGCTGGAGTGCAGTGGTGTGATCTCGGCTCACTGGAAGCTCCCCCTCCCAGGTTCATGCCATTCTCCCACCTCAGCCTCCCAAGTAGCTGGGACTACAGGCGCCCGCCACCATGCCCAGCTAATTTTGTTTTTGTATTTTCAGTAGAGACGGGGTTTCACCATGTTAGCCAGGATGGTCTCGATCTCCTGACCTTGTGATCTGCCCACCTTGGCCTCCCAAAGTGCTGGGATTATAGGAGTGAGCCACCGTGCCTGGCCTTCTCAAGGTCCATCTTTAAGGAGGTGGGGCAGTGGGTTGGGCATGGGGTGGTGCATCCAGGTTGGCAGGGAAGGGTGCATAACGGCTATCACAGTCGGCCAACACCTTGCTGTTTACAGAGCACATGCCCGTGCACCCATGCACCTGTGCACCCCCGGACCTGTGCACCCACACACCTGTGCACTGACACACCTGTGCACCATGCACCTGTGCACCCCCAGACCTGTGCAACCACACACCTGTGCACCCCCAGGCCTGTGCACCCACACACCTGTGTACCATGCACCTGTGCACCCCCACAGCTGTGCAACCCAAGACCTGTGCACCCACACACCTGTGCACCCCCAGACCTGTGCATCCACACATCTGTGCACTGACACACCTGTGCACCATGCACCTGTGCACCCCTGCACCTGTGTACCCCCAGACCTGTGCACCATGCATCTGTGCACCCATGCACCTGTGCACCAACACACCTGTGCACCCACGCACCTGTGCACTGACACACCTGTGCACTACACACCTTTGCATCACACACCTGTGTACCCACGCACCTGTGCACCCATGTACCTGTGCACCACGCACCTGTGCAACCCCGGACCTGTGCACCCACACACCTGTGCACCACGCACCTGTGTACCACGCCTGGCACAGCAGGACCAGGACTCGGCCTCCAGGCCTTCAAGAGGGAGTTGACACTCAAGGTCGGGCAGCTAAGGAGAGGCCAGGCTGGGATTCAAACCTGGGCCTGACTGTGTCCCACATGGAATGGAATCAGCCCCAGGCTGCCAGATCTGGCACTAGACTCTCAGGAACTTTCGAGAACCTGACCCCAGGCTGCTGGGAATTCTGGCAAATGCTCTGGGGCTTGATCACCCGCAAACTGCTTTTGTTCCAGCTGTTCCGGACACTTTTACTCCAGGGAGGGGCCTGTGCCTCTGGAGTTTCCCCCCCAACCCTGGGAAAGGGCTCTGCCCAGTGGGTCATGAAGGAGGCCCGCCCGGCTAGAGGCTGGGATGGGAGTCCTGACAGTTCCGGGTTTGTTCTGGGAGCAAGGGATTTGCTCGTTTTGTCTTCGAGGCCTCATTATTTTGATAGGAGCCCTGCCAGACCACAGACATGCTGCCATTTAATTATGGACAGGAGGCGCTGCCTTCCGAGCCAGGGGAGATGTTTACTGGAAAGGGCGCTGATGTGGGTTCCAATCCCAGCTCTGTGCTGGAGGCAACCAGGTGGACTAGCAGGCGCCGCCACCCCGTCAAGCCTCGCCAGGCAGCCACGAATATTAATGGCGTTAATATTCGTGCTTGGCATGGCATCCGGGGGCCTGGAGCAGCCTGGCTCCAAGTGTGCACCCAGCATATGTGTGCAATTTTGCCCTCTGCGCGGGCTTCCCGGGAGAATGCTGCCTGCCACGTGTGCAGTTAGGCGGGGAGTGCCCGTCCAGTTAGAGGGACAATTGAAAATGAGTTCAGAATTGGTGTGAGATGTTCCTATAGCCAGTGAGGACTGAGTTCTCATGGAAACAGGGAGGCCCGTGGCTGTTGGCATCTGTTTCTTGTGCACATCTCTGGCCCCACCTGCGTGCCCAGGAGGCCTCCCTGTCTGCCCCAAAAGCACCTGTCCCAGAGGCTCCGCCTAGGACTGCTGGCTCTGGTGTGGGACAGTGCTCCACATTCTGCACAGCGGCCTCTGCCCCGAGGACACCCTCTGGGATCCGGGCTGCACCGTCTCCATTTCCCAAGTGAGAAATCACACATCGGTGCTTGGCCGACAAACCGCAGTCACATCGCTGGACCTCCGCCTCTGGGTTATCCCTGTAGCCCCTGAGCCCTGCTGCTTCCTAGCAGAACCAGGTGACTTAACGTCCTAGGCTCCAGAGCTGGAAGGGACCTCAACATTTTCCAGGAATTTCCAGCCCACTTCAGGAGGCCAAGTTCCAGAAAACTGCCAGCGGCTGTGAGTGCACCTCCCCGAGGGCTGCTGGGCTCTGAGGAAGTGTTTGCTCTGGGAGGTGGCACTGCCTCCCTGGGATCCCTGCCATCCCGTCCCCCTTGACCTGGGCAGTATGGGCCCTGCATAGACAGGGATGTGGGTGTGGGGACAGCTCTGGAGGCCCTGGGCCACTCTTCTCCCCTGGAGAACCTGGAAGGGGCTCTGGAGCACACTGTCCCTGGGCTGCTCTGGGCGGGACACGAAGTACTGGGCCCAAAAACAAACCTGGGCTCCAAATGGCCCCTGTGGACCTGACCCCTAACCTCCAGGGCCCTCTCCACTCCCAGCACTGACGTACGGCAGTCCTGCTACGTGCCAAGCACTTTACACTTACATCTCACTTTGTTTTCCCGACAGTCTAGAGGCACCCACGATGATTTCTCCTTCACAGGGAGTGTGAAGCCACCTCCTCTCAGCCATGATGGCAGGGGCTTGGAGGGGCTCCAGGACCGAGCTCTTTTCTCTCCCCTGCCCTCGAAATCATCACGCAGGTGACACTTTGGAGCCTCCTCATGGGTTCCAGGCCAAAGACATGGCATTTCATTTGCTCCTGCAACAGCCTTTGAAAGGGGGTCCTGCTGTCCACGCTACTTTGCTGGGGAGGAGCTGGGACTCCAGCAGTAAGGTGACCGGCCCGAGGTCCTGCAGCTGCAAATGCCACACCCAGGACTGGAGCCCAGGTCAGTCCTAAAGCCTTGCCACCCGCCGCCAGGGCCCTGCTGTTCTGGAGTCTCCACAGCCAAGGTAGGAATCACTCCAGACCCCATGGGCCTGAGATGCTGAGATGCATTTACCTATTAGCTGTCTTTTGGCATTTGGCATTTTCTTAGCTTTTAGAAAAGAAAGAAGCCGCCTGTTCCATAACACTTCAGATCTAGAACTCATGAACATTTCTGCAGCAAAACCTGCACCAGCAAACTCTACAGAGTGATGGTAAAGTCCATCGGCAGCCTTGGGTCAGTTCAAGTAGATTTTTGTCCCCAGATGAGCTGGTCTTTGGAGACGTTTGCCTTTCAGAGAGGCAGGTGGGTCTCAGTCCACCTGACAGTGAATGAAGGGTGAGGGTGACGCCCAGGCCCCAGAGGCCGCTGAGGAGCTGCCTGTGGCCGGAGGACGGGAGCCTTGCTTTCCAGTGTGCACTTGTGCATCTTTTTAATTTTGTACCACGTGCATTTTAACTATTGAATACCAATTAAAATAGTTTAAAATATTTGATTCACTGGGCAAAGCAGGCAGATTCTGGCAGAGATGAACCCGAGGGCTGGCTGGGGCCGCGTGCATCTCCTGGCCGTCTATGCCTCCCAGCGGGGGAAGGAGGCAGCCACCTCTGTGTGCGGCCTGGAGGCGGCCTTGGTGTGCTGAGCACCTCCTGGCACTGCCCCTCCACCTGGTCACTGTGGGCAAAGTTACCACATCTTGCTACGCCTCAGTTTCCTCATCTGAAACATGGGAATAACCTTATAGGGCAGGCATGAGGATTCAACGCACCATGGTGGAAATGCCCAGCAGGAGCTGGTCGTCTGTGCCCCCACCCGAGCGGGCAGGAGGGACTTGGATGGAGACCTGATCCCAGGGGACCAAGAAGCCTGGGGCTGGGACCTCGATTCTGTGTCTCTCTCAGGACCATTTCTGCAGGATGTGGTGCTGAGGCCTCAGACAGGTGGGTGTCAGGGTTCATTCCATCCTGGACACCCCCCAGCTTCATGGGGTCTGTCCACACACAGCCTGCTTGTCCCCTGGCTGGGGCCCCAGGATGGTCAGAGGTTCTGGTGGCTGTATAGGGGCCCATCAAGTCAGGTGTCTTCAAGGTCTAGTGTGGATGAGGTTGGACAGTTATTTCTATTTCATTAAGTGCCACTTAATTATTAAAATAAATTAACGAGCCTTTACAACTGTGTAAGATACGTCTGATTACATAGACACTTGAAGTCAATAAATATCTTTAGAGAACCAATTACCGCTTAATTAAGGAACAGTATTGATGACAGTCAGCTGTGCTCCTGCGGCTCAGATGCCCAGGGATGGTGGGAGTCTCGGGTAGGAGTGTGGGCAGCGGGCAGGGCCGCGGTGGTGAACTCCCGCCTCCCAGTCCCCAGGGCTGCTGGCCACCCCTTTCCTCCTGAGGCCTGTGGCAAATCGACGGAATAATGAAGACCCCTCCCACTGGTGCTGCGACTTGGAAATCACCCTCTCCTCTTTGTACAGTCAACGGCCAACTTTATTGATGTGTAATTGACATGCCATAAAATGCCCCGTTTGAAGTGGCAGTTTGATGTGTTTTGACAAATCTGTAACATAACCACCAGCACAATCCAGACAGCGCATTCCCATCACCTCCCAAAGCTCACCTGGACTGGGGGTCAGCCTCCCCCACCCCACTCGCCTCCTCACCCCACTCGCCCACCCAGCCCATAGCAGCCGATCTGCTGTGTCCGCAGCCCTGGCATTTATGTAAAGGGCGCCCGCTGTGCAGTCTGCAGGCTTCTGCAGCTCAGCACGAGGTGTTGCGTTCATCCTCGCTGCCACTCGTGCTGGCTGCTGGCCTCTGTAGTGTCCCATCTGTGACCTGCTTATCCACATCCATCTGTCTTTCTGCTGATGGGTGTTGGGCAGTTTCTGTTTTTGACCCTGATTCTGTGGGGCTGGAGGCTGGGATGTAGACCAGAGGCTGAGAGGCAGGGTCTGGTCAGAGTCAGGGGGAAGGGGGCAGTGCCAGAGTCCAGCTGAGCCTGTGGCTTCAGGGCTCTGCTCTTCCCCAATCAGCCCGGCTTCCAGTGGAGTCTCAGCTTAGCACCGAGGACACACCCGTGAGCTCCCATTCCCATGCAAGATTTCAGGGGAGGAGAACTCAGGCCGGATGGCTCAGAGACACAGACAGGTGGATTCCAGGTGGGAGAAGGCACTTGACGGGTTTCTAACCCATGTGATAGTCCACATGCGGATGCACGTGCATCCCCACACGTGTAGCCCACACGTGTACATGCAAATCCCCACGCCGAGGCCCCCAGACATCCTGCCAGGCACTGGTCACTTCAGTTATGATCTTGGGGTAAAACTAAAGCATTAATTACATTATACAGAAAATGAAAATAAAATTACATTTTCCTTTGTAAATATCCAGGAATTGCAGCTCACCAGTTGCAGCTGAGCACCATGCCTGTCCATTGCAGGATGTCCCAGGGCCCTGCTGGGAGGGTTTTTATTAGGATCTTTGGCATGACTGGGGCTGCGACTGGTGTGCTGGCTGTGGCGAGAGAAGGATGGGGTGAGGCTAAAAAGCTGGATGGTGATAGGTAGGCAGGCTGTGGTCTGGAGGTGCCACTGATCAAGGTGGGCACACCCGTGGCCTGTGCCTGGCATCTGCACTCTTGGGTGCATGGCCCCAGGGAATTCTCCCTTGTGGAGGGGAAGTGCCAGGTGTGTATTTGTGGTGTGGGAGTTTGAGGATGCCTGGGTGCCTGTTGTGGGGAAATGGGGGAATGGGGGTCCCCCGTGGCACACTTGTCAGCAGGCGGAAGGAAAACATTCGATGACCCTAGGGCAGTGCGGAGGGAAAAGGGCAAGAGCCTGATGGGGTCATTTATGGAAACTGGAAATATGTATGGATTCCATGTGCACATTTGGCCAAAACATAATAGAACAAAAAATCCACCCACGCCCATTAGATTGGTGGATTTTTGGGTTGAGTTGGGTCAAGGAGACAAAAAGGGACAAACAACTAAAGCAAAGAGAGGGAGGCCTGCCTGGACCCCGCCTTGCCCATCAGGGTTGGTGGGATCTGGCTGGACCCCACCTCGCCCATAAGGGTTGGAGGGCCCTGCCTGGACCCTGCCTCGCCCATCAGGTTTGGTGGGATCTTCCTGAATCCCACCTTGCCCATCAGGGTTGGTGAGATCTTCCTGAATCCCGCCTTGCCCATCAGGGTTGGAGGGCCTTGCCTGGACCCCATCTCGCCCATCAGGGTTGGTGGGATCTTCCTGAGCCCCACCTTGCCCATCAGGGTTGCTGGGATCTGCCTGGTCAGGCACGGAGTGACCGGGGAAGGTGAAGTGGCAGCAGCAGCCCCAGCTTCTTGTGGGAGTCACTAGCTGCCTGCAAAGTGAATGGCTGGGCATTGTGTGCTTGCATTGTCTTCTCAAAGGTAAGAAGTCATGTGATTTGTGCTAGTCGTTCCCGGCTAGTCGTTCATTCTTCCACTAATTCTGTAAACACTAACCTGTGCTGCCCCTGAGCCAGGCCTGAGCTGTGTGCTGCGGCCCTGGAGAGGCAGGAGGTCGCCTGTCCCCCAGGGAAGTTCAGAGGCTCCTGAGCAGGCTGGGGGCACCTGCAGAGGCTGCCTGGAGAGGGCGGTGCTTAGCAGAGCAGTGAGGAGGAGCCAGGCCAGGTGGGGTGCAGGGCTAGGGACTGAAGGCATCCTCTCTCCGTCCTCCCTGACTCCTTCCTAACTCTTCTGGGGACTCATGAAACTTGCCCTCCCCTCTTCCCCACTGCCCCAGGAGGATTCAAGGAGAAAATCGCAGACAGCGCTTCACCCAGTGCCTGGCGTGTGGCGGCCACTGATAGTGGCGGTGATTTTCCCTGGTGTGCTTCCGTGGGTGGAGGGTGGTAACAGAGGCCCCTCCCACCGGCTCCCCCACCCTCTCCGCAGCAGCAGCTCCTGCTTCCCTCTCATCTGTAGTGCACCCCAATCTGCCTCCATACCCTGCCCTCCTGCAGCCCCGTCTGGATGCCCCCTAGACACCCCAAGGGGAAACTCACGATGCCTCCTGCAGCCATCCCCTGCTCAGGCTGGGTCTCTGGGGATGGGATGGTCCACTTGAACTGCAATCTGGAGACTTGTGCTTTCTCCTTCCTTTCTGTCGGCCTCACATCCGCAGGCTGCCAGATCCAGATGGATCAGCCCCTCTGGCCCGCACCGCATCGAGGGGTCCGTCAGCCTGGACTGGACCATCCCAGCAGCCTCCCCCATGGGCGCCCTGCTTCAGGCTCACTGGCTCCTACCGGTTCCCATCCGTCCCTCCCCAGTAAGGTTCCTCAGTGGCTCTAAGCCCACAGAGTGAAGGTTGAGCTCCTTCCTGTGTCATTTGAGGGCTTCCCAGGCTGGGCCTGTTGTTTTCCAGCTAGGCACCTTCCTCTCCCCTCCTCTGTGCCTCATCCTCTAGCAGGAGCAAACTGCATCTGGTTTTTGTGCAATGTCCAGAACACAGGGGTGTCACTCCCTTGAGCCTTTGCACTGCTGTCCCATTTTCTTGAATACTTTTATGCTCAGCTGGCAAACTCCTATTCATCCTTCAAAACTCTTGCTAATGCATTACCACCTGTGTGAAGCGGTCCCTGATGCCTTCAGACAGGATTACGCTCTTACCCTGATGCTCAATGGCTTCTTTCATCCCCATCATTTATCTGATATCCTGATTATTTGTTTGCTTGCTGCTTCCTCTAAGAGATCAGGAGCTTCTAGAAGGCAAAGCCTGCCCCTCACACTCCTCCATTCCCTCAGCTGAGATTAGCCCCTGACCCCTGCTCAGCACACACATGCCCTGAATAGACAGTGGTGGAGGGGATGATGCCCTCAGGGTTCTGCACAGGGTTTGTCCTCTGTCCCACATGCAGGCAAGGCGAGCCGCGGCATCCGTGCAGGGATCATGCCAACACCATTCTAGAGAGCATGACAGTGGATGGACACTGTGGCCAGGCCGGGCAGGATGGCTGCTCAGAACAAATCAGGACCCCGGCTGGCCTCTCTCACTCTAGGGAGGAAGCAGTATGATCGGGAAAGGGTTAAGCTCGAGTGTGATTATTTATCCATTTGGCTAATTAGACTTTAATAAACCGGTTCGCTGCAGTTTGCAGCAGTGCTGCAAGAGAAATTTAAGTGGCTTCACTGGGAAGCCTCACTGGCCTTGCAAACTGACCAGTATGGAGGTGTGGGAGCGGAGGAGCAGGGCAAGGGCTGCGGGGCCTCGCCAGGCCCACCTGCCCCCAGTCCTCTACCCTGGCACCACTGGGCCAGCCTTCATTCTCCTTTGCATCCTTTGCTTCCTTCACTAGGTGGTCACCATGGGCTGGTGCCAAGGACAGTAGGGAGGGGCCGCTCAGACCCTGACCTCCGGGGCTCCCGCTCCAGGGGTGGAGGAGGCACTAATGGTGAGCTCATGGCCCCCACATGCTGGGGCTCACCTGTACCCAGCTTTCAGAGCACTTGCACACATCAACCCAAGTTGATGATCTATCGCCCCCATTCCATGCATCAGAGACAAAGGCACAGAGAGGCTAAGCTACTGTCCCAAGGTCACACAGCTGCAGGTGGAGGGGCCGCCTGCCCAGAGGCTGTGCCTACCTCCTCGGTGTGTTACCCCTCTCCTTTTCCAGCATGCAGGGAACCACCGAACCTTCTGAGAGAAGCCAGCAATGGGGACAGGGCTCAGGGGGATATTTGGGCCAAGAGTCAAAGGTGATTAAGAGTTGGTGGAAGGAACAAAGGTGCAAAGACCCGAGGCAGGCAGGTCGTTGGCGAGACGGAGAAGTTGAGTAAAAGGAACCCAGGCTGAGGAGGTGGAGGGCGTCAGACCACAGAGGGCCTGCGGGCAGGGCATAAGTATCTGGGAAGCCATGAGCTACTGCACGCTGACAGTGACAGTCCCCAATACCATCTCCTTGCCTTGCTCAGAAGGGCAGGATGAGGTCTGGCTCAGCTTCCCACTCCAGGAAGCCCTCCCAGGTTTCTCTCTTTTCAAGAAAAAGCAGATGGCTTGCCAAGGTGGCCTTTGTGGCCTTCCTCTCCCTGTCTACCCCGTTCCCTCTCTGGCCACCTCCCTGCTGCCGTTGGGCTTTGGAGCAGTATCCTGGATGAGAGCAGGTCAGATGTCCCGGGTGCGGATCCACACCGGCCCCTTTCAGCTACGGTCATGAGCAGGGATGCAACCTCTCTGTGCCTCAGGCTCCTGTCTGTGGAGGGGGATATTAAGAGTCGCCCGGGTTCACCCAGCAAGGCGTATGGTGCCTGGGATGGGGCAGAGGCCTGATAGACAAGACTTCTGCCCCTGCCCCGCTTGCTTCCCCGCACAGACCCTCCAGGACCTGCTCCCTCGTCCTTTGCAGTCAGAACCAGGAATAACCGAGTGACGGTGGCCACCCAGGCCTGGGCAGGGGCGGGCTCTGGGAGGGGTCTCTAGGCCACTGCACAGGGATTGCACCAGGTGGTCCAGAGCTCACACCCCTGGGCCCTGCACACTCATGTGGAGGGCGATGACCCCCTCAGATCCAGCTGCCCCCACAGCCCCAGGCTTTCCCTTCTCTCTGGTCCAAGTGAAGACAAAACCCTTTTGTGCACTTGACCTCAGCACAGCTGCAAAGCCTTGGCATTGTCAAAAGAACCTTTCAATTAGAGCTAAAAGCCAAGGGAGAACAAAAACACGAGTAAGCAAATTCAGGAGCAAACACCCGTCACGACTTCAAAGTCTACGTTTCACACCCCAGTAACCTGCGGCGACCTGTGAAGAGCAAGGCCTTGATCCTCACACCAGAGGGCGGGGTGAGGAGGAGGAGCTTCTACCAGGAGCTAGGCCTTCTAAGAGGCACTGTTCACCTGCTTTATTTCATTACATCCTCAAAATGGTCCCTGAGTAATATATATTCCAGAACAGAGCCAGGCACAGAGAGGCTAAGGCACTTGCCCGAGGTCACACAGCATCAGAGCTTTGTTCATGGATAATCACGGTTTTGCCCCAAATAGAGTCTGACTTCTCAAGCCCCTTGCCTAGTGATGTTCCTAAGACAGAAGCTCCACACCCCTGGTTCACACCAGACACCCCCCAGGGTCCTACCTGGGGGTCATGGCCAGGCTGAGAGAATGGGCACAGACCCACAGACCACCTTGGCCTTCAAGGCTCAGGTTCCTGCAGCCTCCCTGCTGGGACGGAGCCCCCTTGAGGAGCCCCCGAGAAAGACAGGAGCTTCCTCATCCACTTAGCCAGCGAGCCCAGGGCAGGCCCTGCTCCAACGTGGGTTGGGGGTTCAGAGGCCCCTTGGGGTACACACAAGGAACCAGTTGCTAAGGCCGGTGATGGACAGTCCCCTTGGGTCCTGCCCTGCTGGGGGTGGGGAGGGGAGGGAACACCTCCCTGGGGCTCTGAAGTGGGACCCAGACCTGCCTGCCTGTGCTGATCGGGGCCCTGTGGCTTCCAGGCCCAGGAGGCTAGAGGGCAGTGGGGACGCGGCTTGTGTGTGCTGGGGCAGTCAGGGCTATGATTAGGCTGGGGACCTGGGGGCCATGCAAGGCCTGGCAGGACATCCTGGGGAACATGGGCTTCCCTCAAGAGCAGCAGGGTCCTAAGGCTCCTCCCTACATGTCAGGCTCATGGCTCAGCACTGAGAGAGCAGGGGCCTCCCTCATCAGGTTGCCGGCAGGGGGTTTCCATGCCTGTCTTGGGTCACAGACAGAGCCTAGCCTGGGCTAGGAGGATGGGGGCATAAATAAAGCCCTGATTTGTAGCATTTGCTAATTCCTGGGGCATGGAGATGCCCACCTGGCCTCCCTGGGCACTCATGGGCCCGTGCGGGCTGTCTCCCATTCACCCTTGGGTAGGCTGGGAAGGCTGCGTTTCAGATGTGGAGCCTGGAGCAGCAGAGCCGCAGGACAGCAGGCAGCACACACTGGCCGCCAGGTACTGGCTAGAGCCTCCTCAGTGCTGCCTTGGGGAAGAGGAGTGCAGGGGGCGGGGTATCCCTCAGGGGCTTCAGCCCAGGCTCACCATGAATCCCAAGCCCACTTCAGGGTCCCAATCACAGCCAGAACCACCCGGACCCGCAGGAGGACCTCTCCCCTCTCTGTTCCCTCCCCTGCTAGGCATCACCTGCCTCTCCAACAGGCGGGGCCACCTCAGTGCCTGGCCCTCGCCGCCTGTTTCAGCTCCTGGCTTAAAATCCTACTGTCCTTTTGGAGAACAGTGATAAGAAAAATGCCTCACAGAGCACAGCCTTTCCTGGAGCACAGAACACTTTATTTCGTGTGACTGTCATAGACAGGACTTAGCCATTCCCACAGTTACAATGACAGAAAACCACGGTCCTGGCAGGTAAGCCTGGCACCTCCTGACAGCTGAGAACCACCCACGAGAATTTAGACCCGGAATGCCATCTCCCGTCTCCATCCCAGAGAGCAGTGCCAGGCTGGCTTTGGCAGGGCCTTCAACACCACGAGTCGATCAAGGACGAGGTTTCAGGTTCCTGAAGTCCTTGGAAGTCACCTTGGTAAGGGCGGGCATCTTCTTGCAGAGAGAAGGGCGTTCTCATGCCTGCTTATTCTCATAAACAATGGATACGGCCCTGAGTGCATTACTTAGGCATGGCTAATTGGGAGGCTGAAATCAAACAGCAATGGAAAGGAAGCCTCCCATGTCCCCGCCTGGGGATTGTGAGCTGTCCATGGCTTTGAAGTCCCCTCCTGGCCTGGGTGGCCTCATGTGTCCTCACTGAGCTGCTCGCTCTTCTCAGAGGAATTCTCCAGGCCAAGGAACAGGCCTGTCAGCCCCAGAAGGCAGCTGGGGACCTCAGGACTCTTTCTCCTCCAGCATCCTGCAGTCCTGGCCCAGCAGCCGCCCTGGAACCGGGCACCCAAGACCCACCCAGCCCTGCACCTGGCTCACTGCGCAGCGTTGGGAAAGTCGCTGGCCTCTCTGGGTCTCAGCGCCTGGTCTATACGGTGATAAAAAGTACCCAAAGCTCACGCTTGCTTGGTGCTTTGTATGTGCCTGTTAGCATTGCCCGTGCACATGCTAACTCCAGTCCCCACAGCAGCCCACTGAGGAAGGGGTGGTGAATGGCTAGATTTTCCTGATAAGGAAACTGAGACACAGCGAGGCTAAGTCACTCACCCAAGTTCACACGACTGGCAGATGCAGGACTTGGACTCAGTTTGGGGCCGTCCAGTTTCCAGATCTGTGCTTTGCAAATGGAGGGGCGGATCAGACACTCTAAGGGTTCTCTTCACTGTGGAAATCTGTGAAGCTCATTCACTCACCCATTCACTCATTCACCAAGTCACGAGCATGGCCCAGTGCCCCGGAGCTATGCTTCTGGGCAATGACTCTGTGATCATGGCCCCAGTGCAGTGGCTGCTGCGCCCATGCTAGCCCCCTTGAGCCGTTTCCCCCTCCTTCCATTACCCAGCCCGGACCCTCACCCTCAGTTATGTCTCTGCAGACAACAGCAGTTCACTTAGTGCTGTGACCCAGTCCTTCCTACCGAGGGCTCTGGCACCCTGCCACCATGCCATGTCCAGCGGGGCCTGCCGTAGCTGCCCATTTAGTGACAGCTGGCCAGGGCCACCATGAGGTGTCCACGCAGATCACCTGAATTCCCCACATGCCCCCTGTGCAGCCGCGGCCCCGCCTCCACCCTCTGGCTGGGGTCTGTTGTACCTGCCAGGACGGTGGTGCTCTCTCCTGCCTGGTGATCCCCCCACAAGGAACCCGACGCACCAGAGGGCAGCCGTGGTTTGTGCGTCACTGGACATGCTCTGTGCCCGCTGATATACCCCCTCCCTCCATCCCCGGGGACCAGGACCTCTAACTCTGCAGTGCCCAGAGCCGCAGGGAAAAAAGCACAAATCCCTTCCTGGGTCACTGGGAGTGATGATGCCGGGGGCTGCTCCTGCCTCACTCCTTGGTTCCTGGGCGTCCTCCTACCAGCGATGCAGGTGCACACAGAGATCCCGAGCTCAGCGCCAATCCTGCGTCCTGGGACAGGGTCCCACCCCGCAGAGACTTGCCCGGTACGAGCAGCTGCGGCTCTCTGTTGACTCCAGTTTCCGAGTGGGTGTCGTGTGATCTGGCCCGAGGCCTGTGCTTGTGGGCCTGCCCCACCTCCTCTGCTGTGATGGTCAGAGGGGGCCCGAGTCAGGGGATGAAACACAGGGGAGATCGCAGACCGTGTTGCTGGTGGAGGTTGGGTAGGCGGGTGGGAAAGGCAAACCCAGGCTTGGAATATCTTCCCCTCCAAGTGAGCTGCTGGCCTTTCCAGGATGGAAGGAGCTCAGTGTGGCCTATTTGCCACCAAGCGGTCAGCTGGCCTCCTCCAGGAACGAGCCACATTGGAAGCTGAGCTTTGGCCTTTGTGGCAGATAGGTGGGAGCAGGTCGCTGGGCAGTGGCCTTGGTCAGCGGGAGCTTATGCTGCTGCAGTCTCCACTGCTGGCTCCCTGGTCACGTCAGTCATATGACTGATAGGTCGGCTGGGCGGCTGGGGACAGTCTGGCTGGCCACAGTGGCCCCAATCATTCTGTCAGCTTAGTGGCTTAGAGCATCTGCCGTAGTGGACACTCCCCCGGGCATGAGCATGATACAGATACCCTCGGACTTTACGCCCACCCCAGGCTGCCACCCCCCTGCTGCCACCCCGGACTGCTTGTCCTTGATTTTCCAATCGTTTCCATTGTGGGTTCCTGGCCAACCAGATAGGCCGTTTTTCCCAGCCAGTGAGTGTGTACTCCACCCTCAGGCTGCTTCTCCTTCCATGCAAGTGGTGGGACAGGCCCTCTGCCCCAGCGCTGCCCACTGGGTGACCTTCCCTCCTACTGTCTTTCAAGGTCACTCAAGGGAGGTGGCAGTGCAGCTGGTGCCCACGTCCAAGCCAGCCCTCCCACACATCAGACGTTTCCTCCTCCTTCAGCGAGAATGGCGGTGTTCCCCTCGTGGCTGCAGTGAGTGAATGGTGGGGGCAGTGAAGGGGGAGGCCGTGAGCTCCGGGCTGCCTGTGTGCAGACTGTGGGCCCTTCAGCTCCTGGGGCTCGGCCCCAGGTACACCCACTTCCATCTCAGGCCGGACTATTGCTGGGCCCACCTCACCTTATGGCTTGTGGGCCTGCGTCTCCCACTGGGGCCACAAATTTCACAAGGCATCTTTCTTGCAAAGTTTATGACAAATGATTACATTTTATTATCAAAATCAACCCATGTATGCCTGAGATTGCAATTTCATGTGTGAAAAATCAGACCTTGGCAATGACCTTGAGCAATAGGATAGAAATAGCTCCCACATGCTTAGTGTTCCAATAATGGAACACTAGGCATTAATGTGACACCATTTCCTTATAAGGACCTGATAACAGTGTGTTTCCGGGTACCCCCCCCCTCCACCTTTTGTGTTATTGGTGTCTGCCAGAGTGTGCACCTCATATGTTGGCTCCTCGCACCGCAGCCGGACGCACGGGGGTCTTTTCCTGCTCTGCATCCCCTCAAAGCTCAGGGCCTAAATAATGTTTCTCCCACTTGCCGCAAGCTCCCCTGTACTATAGCATAGACATGCTGTTTCTGATTTCCAACTTAATTTCATTATGCTCTGAGAACACCCTCTGTATTATTTCTATAATTTTAAATGTGTCAAAGTGTGTTTTATGGCCCAGCATGGGGTCTGTCTCGTTGACTTTTCCGTGTGCGCCTGAGAAGAATGTGATTCTGCTGTTGCTGATACAGTGTTCCATCCATGTCAATTAGGTCTAGACAGTTGAGAGTGTTGTTTGGTCTTAAATATCCTTACTGATTTTCTGTCTACTTGTTCTGTCAGTTACATGGAGAGGAGTGTTGGCATCTCCAACTTGAACTGTGGGTTTCTCCTTTCCGTCCTCTGTTTTAGCCTCATGCGTTTTGAAGTTCTGTCATCCACAGACACATGGGAAAGGCCCTTTTGTTAGCCTGTGATGTTCCCCTTTATCTCTGATAATATTCCTTGCTCTCAACTCTACTCTGTCAGATGTTAATTTAACTCGTTCGGCTTTCTTCTGATGAGTGTTGGCATGGCATCTTTCTTCATTCTTTTAGCATATCTGTATCGTTATATTTAAAGTTGGTTTCTTGTAGGCAGAATATAGTGCGTTCTTGCTTTTTCTAAGATCAATCTAACAATCTATGTTTTAACTAAAATCATGCACCGCATGATGGCATTTGGTCAATGATGGGCTGCACAGAAGATGGCTGTCCCATAAGGCTGTAAGCCCACATGTTTTTTTGTTGTTGTTGCTGGAGACAGAGTTTTGCTGTTGTTGCCCAGGCTGGAGTGCAATGGCACTATCTCGGCTCACTGCAACCTCTGCCTCCTGGGTTCAAGCGATTCTCCTGCCTCAGCCTCCCAAGTAGCTAGGATTATAGGCATGTGCCACCATGCTTGGCTAATTCTTGTATTATTAGTAGAGACAGGGTTTTACCATGTTGGCCAGGCTGGTCTTGAACTCCTGACCTCAGGTGATCCACCCCCCTTGGCCTCCCAAAGTGCTGGGATTACAGGTGTGACCCACCACGCGCAGCCCTAATCCCACGTTTTTACTGTACCTTTTCTATATTTAGATAAGTTTAGATGCACGAATCCCCACCGTGGTGTCACAGTTGCCCACAGTATTCAGTACCGTCGCATGCTGTGTGGGTTCGTTGCCCAGGAGCAGGAGGCTCTACCATACAGCCCAGGTGTGTAGTAGGCTATACCACCTAGGTTTGTGTACATGCAGTCTTCGCAGAAGGACGAAATCACCTTACAACTCGCTTCCTGGGATGGATCTCCATTGTTAAGTGACACATGGCTGCATTAGACTATTCACAAAGTGACTATAGAAGACTGTTGCATTACAATTTGTCATCTTGTTGGCTGTTTTCTATTTGTTCCACTTGTGTTTTGTTTCTTTTTTCCTCTTTTCCTGTCTCTTCTGGGTTTAATTGAACATGTTTTATAATCCCCTTTTATCCACTCTATTGACTTACTATTTATATCTCTTTTATAAAATACTAGTAGTTGTGCCGGGTGCGGTGGCTCACGCCTATAATCCCAGCACTTTGGGAGGCCAAGGCGGATGGATCATGAGGTCAGGAGATCAAGACCATCCTGGCTAACACAGTGAAACCCCATCTCTACTAAAAATGCAAAAAATATTAGCCAGGCATGATGGTGGGCACCTGTAGTCCCAGCTACTCAGGAGGCTGAGGCAGGAGAATGGCATGAACCCAGGAGGCGGAGCTTGCAGTGAGCCAAGATCGGGCCTCTGCTACCCTCCAGCCTGGGCGACATAGCAAGAGTCTGTCTCAAAAAAAAAAAAAAATACTAGCAGTTGTCCTAGAATGTGTAATATACATTTTAAAGTAACCTGAGTATACCTTCAAATAATATGACACCATTTCCATATAAGGACCTAAGAGTATATTCCCAGGCAGCCCCCTGCCTCCTGTCAGCTTTTGTGCTATTGATGTATACTTTACTTTTACATGTGCTATAAACATAAGACAGTGCTACTGTTTTTTCTTGGGCAGCTATCTTAGAGCAGAGGTCAGCAAACTATGGCCCCCAGCCTGTTTTGTCAATAAAGCTTCATTAGCACGCAGCCACACCTATTTGTTTAAGGACTGTCTATGGCTGCTTTTGTGCTATGATGGCAAAGTTGAGTGTGGAGTTGGGTAGCTATGACAGAGATCACCTGGCCCACAAAACCTGAAACACTTACTACCTGTCACTCTAGCAAAAAGCTTGCTGACCCTTATTTTGACCAATTAAAACTAAAGAAAGAACATTTATTGTACCTTCATCAATTTTATTTCGAACTCTTTGTTTCTTCCTACAGTGACATGTTTCTGACTGATGTACTCCTTCTGCCCGGAGAATGTTTCTTAACATTTCTTGGAGAGCAGATCTATTAGCAATAACTCCCTTAGGTTTTGTTTGTCTGAGAAAGTCTTGATCTCTCCATTTTTTACTAACTCTTACATTTTATTATCAAAATTTTTCAACCCTTTTAAAATTAGATGGTGCTGTGTAATGAGCTCCATCTAACCCTAACCATCACTCCCCAGCGCTAGCAACAATTGGTACCAGGCCCATTTCCCTCCCTCCCTTCCCTCCCTCCCTCCCTCCTTTCTTTTTTCTTTTCTCTTCTTTTCTTTTCTTCTTTCTTTCTTTCCTCCTTTCTTTCTTTCCTTCTTTCTTTCCTTCCTTCCTTCCTTTCCTTCCCTCCCTCCCTCCCTCTTTCTTTCTTTCTTTTTCTTTCTTTCCTTCCTTCCCTCCTTCCTTCCTTTCCTTCCTTCCCTCCCTCCCTCCCTTCCTTCCTTTCTTTCTTTCTTTCTTTCTTTCTTTCTTTCTTTCTTTCTTTCTTTCTTTCTCTTTCTTTCTTTCTTTCTTTCTTTTCTTCCTTCCTTCCTTCCTTCCTTCCTTCCTTCCTTTCTTTCCTTCCTTCTTTCCCTCTTTCTCTCTCTCTCTCCTTCCCTCCCTTCCCTCCCTCTCTCTTCTCTTTTCTCTTCTCTTCTTTACTCTTCTCTTTCTTCTCTTTTCTTTCTTTTTTTTGACAGAGTTCTCACGCTTGTTGCCCAGGCTGGAGTGCAGGGGCATGATCTTAGCTCACTGCAGCCTCCACCTCCTGGGTTCAATTGATTCTCCTGCCTCAGCCTCCCAAGTAGCTGGAATTACAGGCACCCACCACCATGTCCAGCTAATTTTTGTATTTTTAGTAGAGACAGGGTTTCACCATGTTAGTCAGGCTGGTCTCGGACTCCTGATCTCAGGTGATCCACCCACCTCAGCCTCCCAAAGTGCTGAGATTACAGGCATGAGCCACTGTCCCCAGCCTCTATCTCCTTTCATTCACACCCTCCCGCTGCATCCCACAAATCAGATCATCTCACACATAAAATCTTAATGTGTATCTGTAAAAGATCATGACTACTTTTTCTGAAAAACAAATTTAATTTCTCTCTAATTTTTTTTTGGAGTGCAATGGTGCAATCTTGCCTCACCGCAAACTCTGCCTCCTGGGTTCAAGTGATTCTCCTGCCTCAGCCTCCCGAGTAGCTGGGATTACAGGCATGTACTGCCATGCCTGGCTAATTTTATATTTTTAGTAGAGACAGGGTTTCTCCATGTTGGTCAGGCTGCTTTCAAGCTCACACCTCAGGTGATCCACCCCCCTCGGCCTCCCAAAGTGCTGGGATTACAGGCAAGAGCCACCGCGCCTGGCCAAGATCGTGACTACTTTAAAATCATAAAATAGTTAACAGTATCACACATCAACAATGAACAATATGTTTGATATTATCAAATATTCAGGCAGGGTTCACATTTCTCTATTATTACATAAAGGTTTACTCCAATTTTGAAGAATTTTAAGAAGAATATGGGGTTGACAGGTTTTTAAAAAAATGTCGTTAAAGATGCCACTCCATTGTCTGCTTGCATGCATGATTTCCAGTGAAAATCAGCTGTAATTCTTAACTTTGCTCCTCTGCAGGTAATCTGTTTTTCTCCACTTTGTCTGCCTTAAAGATTTCAATTTTTGGTGTTCTGACTATAATCAATGAGGCATATGAAGAAGCAAGGCATGAATATTGAATATTGGTGAAGTTTGAATATTTTGGTGGTGAGGCAGGAGGGTAGTTGATCCTGCTTGGTGTTACCTGAGTTTCTTGGATCTGCGGTTTGGTGTCCTTCATGAATTGAAAACAGATACTGGTCATCATTTCCTCACATATTTCTTCTGTCCCATTCTCTCTTTCTTCCCCTCATGGGAGTCCAGTTATCCATATTTTAGACCACTGCATGGGGTTGCACGGCTCTTGGATGCTCTGTTCTGTCTCTCCCCACCCTGCTCCCCACTCCCCTTCTAAATTCTCTTTGTGTTCCAGTTTGGATAATTTCTCTAGATATACTTTATTCCACACTGACCCTGGGAGAGCCCACATCCCACCTCTCTCCTGCTTCATTCCACGCTGGACCCTGGAAGAGCCCGCATCCCGCCTCTCTCCTGCTTCATTCCACGCTAGACCCTGGGGGGGAGCCCGCGTCCCACCTCTCTCCTGCTTCATTCCACGCTGGACCCCGGGAGAGCCCGCATCCCGCCTCTCTTCTGCCGTATTCCACGCTGGACCCCGGGAGAGCCTGCATCCTGCCTCTCTCCTGCTGTATTCCATGCTGGACCCCGGGAGAGCCCGCATCCCACCTCTCTCTTGTTGTATTCCACACTGACCCTGGGAGAGCCCACATCCTGCCTCTCTCCTGCTTCATTCCACGCTGGACTCCGGGAGAGCCTGCGTCCCGCCTCTCTCCTGCTTTATCCCACTCTTATTTTACTGGATGCTTGTTTACCTGTGGGTAGAGGCGAGGAGGGGCTTCTCTGAGTTTCTGATTGAGCCTCTGCCTCCACAGAACCTGTGTCCTGGAATGTGTGTCTGGGATGTGTGTGTGTCTGGGGTGTGTGTCTGGGGTGTGTGTGTGTCTGAGATGTGTGTGTCTGTGGTGTGTGTCTGGGATGTGTGTCTGGGATGTGTGTGTGCCTGGGATGTGTGTCTGGGATGTGTGTGTGTCTGGGATGTGTGTCTGGGGTGTGTGTGTGTCTGAGATGTGTGTGTGTCTGGGGTGTGTGTCTGGGGGGTGTGTGTGTGTCCGGGATGTGTGTGTGTCTGGGGTGTGTGTCTACAGTGTGTATCTGGGATGTGTCTGTGTCTGGGGTGTGTGTCTGGGATGTGTGTGTGTCTGGGGTGTGTGTCTGGGATGTGTGTGTGTCTGGGGTGTGTATCTGGGGTGTGTGTCTGGGATGTGTGTCTGGGGTGTGTGTCTGGGATGTGTGTGTGTCTGGGGCGTGTGTCTGGGGCGTGTGTCTGGGATGTGTGTCTGGGGTGTGTGTCTGGGATGTGTGTGTGTCTGGAGTGTGTGTCTGGGATGTGTGTCTGGGATGTGTGTCTGGGGTGTGTGTCTGGGATGTGTGTCTGGGGTGTGTATCTGGGGTGTGTGTCTGGGATGTGTGTCTGGGGTGTGTATCTGGGGTGTGTGTCTGGGATGTGTGTCTGGGGTGTGTGGGATGTGTGTGTGTGGGGGGTGTATGTCTGGGGTGTGTGTCTGGGATGTGTGTGTGTGGGGGGTGTATGTCTGGGGTGTGTGTCTGAGATGTGTGTGTGTCTGGGGTGTGTGTGTGTCCGGGATGTGTGTGTGTCTGGGGTGTGTGTCTACAGTGTGTATCTGGGATGTGTCTGTGTCTGGGGTGTGTGTCTGGGATGTGTGTGTGCCTGGGGTGTGTGTCTGGGATATGTGTGTGTCTGGGATGTGTGTGTGTCTGGGGTGTGTATCTGGGGTGTGTGTCTGGGATGTGTGTCTGGGGTGTGTGTCTGGGATGTGTGTGTGTCTGGGGCGTTGTGTCTGGGGCGTGTGTCTGGGATGTGTGTCTGGGATGTGTGTGTGTCTGGAGTGTGTATCTGGGGTGTGTGTCTGGGATGTGTGTCTGGGGTGTGTGTGTGTCTGGGATGTGTGTGTGTGGGGGGTGTGTATCTGGGGTGTGTGTCTGGGATGTGTGTCTGGGGTGTGTGTGTGTCTGGGTGTGTGTCTGGGATGTGTGTGTGGGGGGGTGTGTATCTGGGGTGTGTGTCTGGGATGTGTGTCTGGGGTGTGTGTCTGGGATGTGTGTGTGTCTGGGGTGTGTATCTGGGGTGTGTGTCTGGGATGTGTGTCTGGGGTGTGTGTCTGGGATGTGTGTGTGTGGGGGGTGTATGTCTGGGGTGTGTGTCTGGGATGTGGTCCTCACAACCATGGCTCCTCTGGCTTTAGTTCTGGTCATAGCCCGTGATCTCGCGTCACCCCCAGGGCTCGACGTTTTGATATTTTCTCTTCCCTCTCCCAGCTGTGGGGGGTTTCCATTCGTGCCCACTTTTGTGGCTTTTCCTCCTGCAGACGAAGGCTATTTTCTCTGTAGGAAGCTGGAACCGATGGACTTGTGCAGCTTTTTAGCAGTGGCTGAGGTTGTTTCCCTCCAACCGGACCATGGGGAAGGTTTTCAGGAAAATCCCACATCTTCCTATAAGCACATGGTGGAGTTTGTGGGAAAAATTCTGCTAGAAGGGACAACCCTCCCTATACCTCAGCCCTGAAGGGTCTGTGTCCTTACGGTAGCCGCCTGAGTCCCTTGATCAGCTTCTCGGTGCCTGCCACAAGTAGGCCACCCTGCATGCCCTGTTTCCCTGCAGCCACTTGCCTTCCTCAGTCTCAGGTTAGGGGCTGTCCCGTGGTGCCCATTCTCTGATGGGTCCCTAGAAGCAGGGGGTTGACAGCTCTCCAGCTTTGCTCTCTCTGTAAGAGTGGGAGAGATGGGCTTCCTGGCTCTGTGCCTCTCAGCTGAAGCTGGAAGTCCTGGAGTGTCACTCAGCAATGAAACAACCCAGAAAAACATACCAGGGGAAAGGCTTCTCATTGAGAGGTTCAGTGAGGCCCACTAGGAGAGCAAATCCTGAGGTGGCTCCAAGTGGCTGCCTCAGGAAATACGTCGAGGGTGGTCTGGGTTGGGGAGGGTGGTCTCTTTCCATTTTGTGCCCTTTTGTGTTTTCCTACTATAAAGAAATTACACACATATGTTGGTTTGCCCAATAACCACCTAAACACACACACACGCGTGCGTGCGCACACGCATACACACACACACATGCACGCGTGCACAACGTGGCTGAAGAAGTAGCCAGAAAAACAGTGGGTGGATGAGGAGGGCCGCGTGGTGGTCATTAAAGGAGGGCGGGCTTTCAGAGAGGAGGACACTGAAGCCGTCAGAGGGATACGCGTTCTCATGAGCTCTGCAGCCTGGAAGTTTGAAGTCACTGGTGGATCTGCTGATTCTTATTTGTAAAAGATGGAGTACGATTCAAGGAGGAACGCATGACGCTGGCTCTTTCGGTAGCTCGTGTAGTGTTAGCACATATTTCTGCGACTTAGTGGCTTGATAGTAAGCTTCATAATGGGATCAACCACAGGGGCTTCAGCGTGAGTCCCTGGGATGTGTATTACTGTGAAGGGCAACTCTAGGCCCATCCAAGTAAAAGGCTTGCTGAAAAAGTTAGATAGGCTTCCCGGCTGCAGGACTTCTCAGAGCCTTGAATCGGCTCTGTTCTCCGCCACTCTCCAAGGGACCACAGAGTATATGTGATTTATCAAACCTATTTGCCCTGAGACCCTTTTCATCTGGGGTGTCTCCTAGAATTAGGGATCCATCGAAGACTCGCTTTGAGAAAACCAATGAAGAGAGAGGCCTGTGTGTGTCTGTGCCAATTCTGGCACACCCTGACGTCCTGATTCGGAGCTTCAGTCTTGTTATTTATCAGGTGGGTGTGAAAGGGCTTTGTGAGGGTCATGACCATGCTCAGGACAGGGAGGAGAGGGGAGCCTGGGGGTGGTGTCCAGTCTGCCCATTCTCTAGATACTGCCCTGGCCGGCAGAGGTGAGGGGGTGCAGTACTTTCTCATCAGGCAGAGGGCTCCTGATAAGAACCCCCGGGAGCCAACACCCCCACCACTGTATCTGACCTAAAGGCTGCTGGTGCCTGCCACCAGTTGGCAGGCTAAGCCAAGTCTGCAGTTACCGGCAAATCGCCATCCTGGGTACCCAGGTCCATGCCAACCATTGATTTTCTGGTCTATGCCTGACCTTCCCCACCAGAAGTGGTAGGGACAGATGTTAGTGCTGAAGAAATGGGTTCTTGACGCCCAGTGCCCAGCCAAGGGCATTGACTGACAGTTTTCAAATGTGCCCCCCTGGTCTCAGGAGCAGGTGGGCCCTTGTTCTTTGTTCCCACAGTCCTGTGGGGCTGCCATCCACATTAATGGGCAGTGGAGTCCAGGGTACCAGGCCTGCCAGTCACGCCCCCCTTGCCGTGTGCCCTCCATACCTGCAGCATAAATACCAGCTGCTCTGGAGCAAGCCTGGGCTGTGAGGGACACAGGGTGGCCAAGGAGTACAAAATGAGGCAGAGGAAGGGGCTCCGGACCCAGAGGCAAGTCACCTTGGCCCCTCACTCACAGCCCTGACCTTGGGAGAGTAGCTTCGTCCCTGCAGAGAGGAGGGGAGGTCGGGAAGCTGAGAGCACAACTGCGCAGAGGACAATTGGAGGCAGGGCATTGTGACACCTTTCAGCTCCATGAGGACCCTCCAGGGCAGACGTCACTGGCACCCCTTTCTTATAGAAGAAAGCTTTGGGAAGGTCCTTTGAAGTCTGGCTTCCCAGAATGGCAGGCTCATTTTTCTTTCTTTTTTTCTGACATTTCCTTACTTCCTGGCACTGCCACAAGCCCCAGGTGGGTCTTACCCCCTAGAAGTAGCCATTTCTCCAGGGGTGCTGCAAGGGTGTCCAGACACCGAGGTCTGGGTCCTGGGGGTGCCTGCTGTACTGGGGTGTCCCTGCTCCCAGGACACTGCTAGAGATCACACGTGTGTGTGTGTTTACATATGTGTGTGTATGTACATACATGCAAGTGCTATGTGCACTTCTGTATTTATTCTGCATCAATCTACCTGTATATGTGTGAAAATAAGTCTGAGCCCACACTGCCATCTCTGACTCCACACCAGCCCTGCAGGGATTTTTGTTACTTTCTTTCTTGCTTATTGCTGACTTTTGTCACTAACATTGAGAAACCTGGCTTCATATCTACATATTTTATTTTATTTTATTTTTTGAGATGGAGTCTCACTCTGTCACCCAGGCTGGAGTGCAGTGGCACCATCTCGGCTCACTGTGGCCTCTGCCTCCCAGGGTCCAGCAAGTCTCCTGCCTCAGCCTCCCGAGTAGCTGAGATTACAGGTGCATGTCACCACACCTGGCTAATTTTTGTATTTTTAGCAGAGACAGGGTTTCACCATGTTGGCCAGGCTGGTCTCAAATTCCTGACCTCAGGTTATCCATCCGCCTCGGCCTCCTAAAATGCTGGGATTACAGGCATGAGCCACAATGCCTGGTCTATTTATTTATTTGTTCAACTCTCGTACATGTCTACTTTCAGAATCAGTAACCCATATCCTTGTACGAAACAAGTTTACCCCCTAGAGAACGGCTAAGTGCGGTGCTTTTTGTTCCTGCTTTCCAGGGCCTAGTCACACTCAATTCTCTGAAGTTACCCAGGTCAGCTTCTTCCCACCCACGCTTGGCGAGGCCCCGCCACAATGTGTAGCACCGGGAGAGGCACCTCTCATGGCTAAACCCATCCTGGGGCTCCAGACTCCTCCTTAGATTTAAAAACACAAAACGGAACAATGAAGTTCACCTTGTGGATACACATTTCTGTGGGATTTGCCAAGGACACAGAGTCACATATCCACACTCATAGGCACATGCAGAACAATTCCCTCCCCCACCCTAAATGGGGCCTCTGTGGCTCCTCTTCTCTCCCTCAATCCCCAGTCAGTGAAAGCCAGTGGTTTGCTTTTCATTCCTATCGTTTTGTCTTTTCCAGAATGTCATATAAACTGAAGCATAAGATTAGATCCTTTGGGTCTAACTTCCTTCCCCTGGCAAAATGCACCTCAGATGCACCCGGTGGCTGCACGGATGACCCTCTGGTTCATCTTGTTGCTGAGTGGGATTGCACTGGACATGTCAGTGTGTTTGTCCACTCACTTGTTGAAGGGCACCTGGCTGCCTCCAGCTTGGAGTGCTGATGAATACAGCTTTCATACACATTCACACTCGCCTTTTTCTGTGGGAACACAGATTTTCAATTCAGTTTGGTGAATACCTAGAACTTAAAGTGGGGTTGGTTGGGCTTACAGTAGGTGTGTGTTTACCTTTATGAGAAAGTGTCAACTCTTCCAAAGCAGGTGAAGCACTTTGCATGCACACCAACAGTAAGTATAAGGTTCTGTGGCTTCACATCCTTACCAGCATTTGGCATTGTTAGCTTTTGAAAAAATATTTGTAGCCATTCTAATAGGCTCATAGTGTTCACCATTCTACTAGGTGTATAGTGCTGTCTCACTGTGGTTTTAATTCACCTTTCCGTAATGACTAAGGATGTTGAGCATCATTTCTAGTACTTATTTGTCAGTGATGTGTCTTTTTTTTTTGAGATAGAGTCTTATTCTGTCACCCAGGCTGGAGTGTAGTGGCACGATCTTGGCTCGCTGCAACCTCCACCTCCCACGTTCAAGCAATTCTCCTGCCTCAGCTTCCCAAGTAACTGGGATTACAGGCACAGGTCACGTCCAGATAATTTTTGTATTTTTGGTAGAGACGGGGTTTCACCATGTTGGCCAGGCTGGTCTTGAACTCCTGACCTCAAGTTGTATGTCATCTTTGGTGAAGTGCCTGTTCACATTTTTTGTGCCCATTTTTTTTTTAACTTGGACTTTATTTTCTTGTCATTGCATTTTATGAGTTCTTTCTATATTCTGGATATTTGTCCTTTATTGTATACATAATTTGCAAATATTTTCTCTCAGTCTGTGAGTTGTCTATTTATCTTCTTAGAAATGTCTTTCGCAGAGCAAAAGTTTTAAACATAAGCTTCATCAACGGTAATTCATCTTTTTCTCTGGCGGAGTTTGGAGTTTTCTGGGAGGGTGAGGCTGGCTGGGACAGACACTGTTCCTGGCTTTCTGTGCGTTCCAGGCACCTTCTCCTCAAGTCCTCCTGCAAAGTTATTTCTCTGGCTTTGGCTGGTTTCTTTACACATACATGCAACTGTCTACATGTGGAACTTTCTGCATACCTGGCATCCCCTGAGCAGCTTTTTCTACTCAGTGAACCCCGAGGTCTCTCCAGACCCGACCTCCTCAACCCAGGGGCTTCGCTGGCCTCTGCCTGGGTCTCCCCTCCCTGAGCAGCAGCCTGGAAACTCACTCAAGGCGGTCGGCTGAGCCCACTCCAGTGCCGCCTTGTTCATTTCCCACCCACGGTGATCACTGTTCCTGCTGTCTAGTATCTTAAAAACACAGGTTCTGCCTATTTTTTATGGTTTTAGATAGGAGGGTGATTCTGTGTCTGCCACTCCATGCTGGCCTGTCCTGGGCACCATGTTTATTGTTTTACAGTTTATAAAGCATTTCCACATGCACCATTCCCATTCAATCATCAGAAAAAACCCAGTCTACACTGGCAAACAAACATTTTGGTGAGGAGGACAGAAGTTACTTACTTAAAAGTTAAGAGGTCAGAGTTCATGGGCCAGGTAGTGAGGGTCAGGGCTGTGGCAGGACTTCTGGTTTCTGGCTGCCAGGGTCAGTGATTCTTCCAACCAATCTCGCTGACCAAGCACAGGTGAGGTGGTGGCTGAGGGTGAGGGTCATGAGAAGGAGCCGGGGGCAGGCATGGTCAGCAAGGGCTCATTGAAGAGGTGGGGCATGAGGCTAGAATGGGTGACCTTGGGGTTCAAGAAGAGCAGGGCCTCATCAGAGGAGGCCTAAAGGACCGAGCCGCAGCATGAGCTCAGGAGGGAGGGGATATTCACTGCTCTCAGAACCTAAGACCATTGGCCTGAGAGAGGGCGGAGCTGGAAGGATCCATGGTGGTCCCCTCCTTTTGCCTTCCCTCCCACCTGGCGCGGTGGAGCAACCAAGTCCCAGAGCACAGCTGCTCTGTGAGGGGGCAGAGGCAAGGCTGCAAAACGACTCGGTTTCCTCCCTTCACACCCACAGCTTTTAACAGTATTTTCCTTTGCACTGCATTTTTTCTGACATGCCCCCAGCTTGAGCATTTTTGTGCTATTAATATATCATTAGACGCAGTTTTGGATTTCTTCCTTTATCTTCAGGGCACATGTTTATTTTAGACCCCAAAACGGCAAGCAGAAAGGGAATGTTTGAACTGAAGAAGCACAGCACCGTGTGAGTTTAGCCACGGGGCTGAGGAATCCATTAGCTATAAACGTGGTGAAGCTGAGGGGAATGTGGAGGCCTCCGTTGCTAGGAGGCGAATGTGTAACTGCACCCAGACCACGAGGCTACCGTGAACCTTTGTTCTTCAAGACCGTTATCCTGAAGTGGTCCCTGATGTTCTCAGTGGTGAGGACTGTACTTTTTATCCTTGTGCCACCCTCCCCCACTCCGCGTAACTGGCTCCCTGTGGCATTTCTGCTCTCCCCTGTCCTATTTCCCTGCCCCACCTCCAGTGTGCACTGTTGGTGGGGTTTCCCATCAGTAAAATGCTCGAGTTTGATAAGGCAATTCTTTTATTATTATTATTATTATTATTATTATACTTTAAGTTTTAGGGTACATGTGCACAATGTGCAGGTTAGTTACATATGTATACATGTGCCATACTGGTGTGCTGCCCCCATTAACTCGTCATTTAGCATTAGGTATATCTCTTCATGCTATCCCTCCCCCCTCCCCCCACCCCACAACAGTCCCCAGAGTGTGATGTTCCCCTTCCTGTGTCCATGTGTTCTCATTGTTCGGTTCCCACCTATGAGTGAGAACATGCGGTGTTTGGTTTTTTGTCCTTGCGATAGTTTACTGAGAATGATGATTTCCAATTTCATCCATGTCCCTACAAAGGACATGAACTCATCATTTTTTATGGCTGCATAGTATTCCATGGTGTATACGTGCCACATTTTCAGCCTCACAGCATTAGTGTTCCAGGGATGTCTCTCTCCTTCAGCTCTGGAACTCTTACTCTCCTTCAGGACCTGAGCCCAGGCATCCCTCTGTCCCTGTATGTGTCAGCCACGGTGCTGCAAGGCTGTGTGGTACACACTCAGATCACACAGCCTAGGTGTTGACTTCTTGCTCACAGGTGTGAGTGTGTCTGTGTGTCTGTGCTCTGCCGGGTGTGGCTGGGCTTGGCCAGGCTGGGTTCCCAGCTGCACGTGGGTTCAGGCTGCCCCGCCATCCCACATTCTGCAAGCAGCAGCCATCCAGGGTATATTCTTCCATGGCCAGTGGCAGAAGCCCAAGAGAACAAAGCAAACTACAAACACTTCCGAAGCCTCTTCGTTCATCAACTCCAGTAACATTCCGTTGGCCAGCACAAGCCACTTGGTGAAATATAACCTCCGTGGGTGGGCAGTGCAGGCTAACTCCTCACAGCAAAGGGAGGAGGGGACAGCCATGGACAGGAATCCCACCTCCCACACCCAGAGGCTCCTCTAGCCCTGCCCCACTGGACCTCTGCATTTGGCCACAGCCTGCGCTGTGAGGTTTCAGGCTCTTCGGGGGACTCAGATCCTGCATTTGGGGTCCCTGGGGAAAGCCTAGCTTCCTTGTTGTCTCACACCTGAGCCCTTCAGCTGCTCTGTTAACCCCTAAGGCCTTCTAAAGAACCCCTTCTTCTTAGGTGAGCTGAGATTTTCTGTTGCTTGCAACCTAGGAAACTGACTTTTACTAACTAGCAATTAGTATTAGTCTTTTCTTGGAAGGAGGGGACCTTATTATCCTGGTCTCACTGCTGTATCTCTTGGGGCCTGTGCACGGTAGGGATGAATGCATGTGTGCTGAATGAACAAACCCATTCCGGGGCTGAAGCTCACTGCCCTGGAGGGCGTGTCGGCCTGTTGGTCCACTGTGGTTGTGAACCTGGTCTTGTTGTTGCTGGGCCCAAATTGCTGCATGGAATGTTATTGGCCAAAGAGAATAGGAAGTCTTCCTTTAAATTGTTGCAACTCACAGGTTTGTAAGTCAGGAAATACTGTCACAGGTATACTTAGAAATATTTCCTATGTATCCCTTGTTTTCTATTTAATCATTTTATTATGAGATATTCCAAACACAAATATGTCAGAAATGGGCTCAGCTGTGTGTCAAGTGGCTTAACCAAGCCGGCATGTATTTTTGTCATGTGACAAGATGCCGGGAGGTGGGCAGTGGCGTGCTGGTGTTTCAGCCCCACTAATATGGTTTGGATCTGTGTCCCCACCCAAATCTCATGTCCCCGATGTTGGAGAAGGGGCCTGGTGTGAGGTGATTGGATCCTGGGGTTGGGGGACAGATGGTCCCTTTGCTGTTCTCGTGACAGTGAGTGAGTTCTCACAAGATCTGGTTGTTTAAAAGTGTGTAGCACCTCCCACCTCTCTTCCTCCTGCTCTGGCCATTTATGTGCTTGCCTCCCCTTCAGCTTCTGCCATGATTGTAAGTTTCTGGAGGCCTCCCAGCCATGTTTCCTGTACAGCCTGTGGAACTGTGAGCCAATTAAACCTCTTTTCTTTATAAATTACCCAGTCTCAGGTATTCTTTTATAGCAGTGTGAGAACAGACCAATACACCCACAATGCCACCAGGGAGCAGTACCCGCTCTCTCTCTTTGTTCACTCTCACTCTTGCCTCATGGTCTCATGATGGCTGCCCCATGCTTGGCCTTACATCTGCCTTCCAGGCAGGAAGAAAGAGAAGGTCAAGGGCAGAAGGAGGAAACCAACAGAGGGTCTCCTCTTTTGAGGCCCTTCCTTTGGAGGCCCCGGTGGTGGTTGATTTTCTGTGTCAGCTTGGCTGGGTTGCAGCGTCCCATTGTTTGGTTGCACAGGAGTCCATACACAGCTGTGAAGGAGTTTTTTTTTAGATGTGATTAGTATTTCCAATCAGCTGACTTTAAGGAAGCATATGACCCTCTGTAATGTGGAGGGGGGGTACTCAATCAGTTGAAGGCTTCTGAGCAAAAGACTGAGAGTCCCTAAAGAAGGAATTCTCTTCCAGACCGTAGCAGAGGAATCCCATCTGTGGATTTTCGACTTCAGACGGCAACGTCAACTCTTCACTGAACGTCCTGCCAATTCCTTAAAATCTCTCTCTTTCTCTATATTTGTACATAGCCTACTGATTTAGTTCTGTCTCTCTGGAGAACCTGACTACTAATACATCCACCACATAGCCATGCCCACTGACATGTTCTTTTTTTTTGTTTGTTTGTTTTTTGAGACAGGTTCTCACTCTGTCACCCAGGCTGGAGTCCTGTCATGCCATCGCAGCTCACTGCAGCCTCGACCTCCCCAGATCGAGCAAGCCTCCTACCTCAGCCTCCTGAGTAGCTGGAACTATAGGTGTGTGCCACCATGCCTGGCTAATTTTTGTATTTTTGGTACAGACGGGTCTCACTATGTTGCCTAGGCTTGTCTCGAATTCCTGGGCTTAAGTGATCCTCCCACCTTGGCCTCCCAAAGTGCTGGGATTACAGACATGGGTCACCGTGCCCAGCCCTGTGACATATTCTTGAACAGGACTGTCACATGGTACTTTATCTGCAGGGGAGGCTGAGTCTTTTTCAAAACTCGGTATATCACCACCACAACCAAATTGCAATTTTATTCCTAAGGAAGAACCAGGGTAGAGATTGATTTGGTTGATGTCTGCCAAAATATAGAAAACTATAGACAGTACAATCGATAGTGGGTCCCATGTAACCTCCACTGAGCTTCAGTAAGGGGGAGCATTTATTATGCTTCCTTCACGCACATTTCTGTTTTTTTTTTTTTTTGAGACAGAATCTTGCTCTGTCTCCCAGGCTGGAGTGCAGTGGTGCAATCTCGGCTCACTGCCATTTTTGCCTCCCGGGTTCAAGTGATTCTCCCGCCTCAGCCTCCTGAGTAGCTAGGATTACAGGCACCCACCACCATGCCCGGCTAATTTTTTAAAATTTTTTTAATTTTTATTTTTTAGTCTTGCTCTGTTGCCCAGGCTGGAGTGCAATGTCATGATGTTGGCTCACTGCAACCTCCACCTCCTGGGCTCAAGTGATTCTCCTGCCTCAGCCTCCTGAGTAGCTGGGATTACAGGTGTCTGCCACCATGTCCAGTTAATTTTTGTATTTTCAGTAGAGACTGGGTTTCACAATGTTGGCCAGGCTGGTCTTGAACTCCTGACCTCAGGTAATCCACCTCCCTCAGGTTCCCAAAGTGCTGGGATTACAGGCATGAGCCACCGTGCCCGGCCTAATTTTTGTATTTTTAGTAGAGGCAGGCTTCACCATGTTGGCCAGGATGGTCTCCATCTCTTGACCTCATGATCTGCCCACCTCGGCCTCCCAAAGTGCTGGGATTACAGGCATGAGTCACCATGCTCTGCCACGCATTTCTTAAAGAATCGAGCTGCAGATCCAGCGGCAGCCCCGGCACCCTTCCGCTCCCGTGGCCCCTCTCTGCGCAGAGAATGTGGTGTCGCCTCCGGGTACGTCTCAGCTTCCTATAATGCACATTGCATAGAGCTCCCAATCATATTTCCATGTAATATTGTTTTGCAGCTTCCCAATTATCTTAAGTTTCAGATGAGCAGCATCATGCCGTGTTCAGCCTACCCCTTCAACATGAAGCGTTCCGGTTTTTCCCTGTTGAATCTGAGGCTCTTCCCTCAGCAGAGCCGCTGGACCCCGGGCCGCTGCGCGAACACGTGGCCACCCCACCTCGACTAGTCCACGCTCTCCTACTGCCGGCTATGCTGGGGGTTTCCATTTTTTGCTGATACGTAGTTTTGCTACCTAAGCTTCCATCGATGCCGTTGTGTGTCATTGTGGACTCTGCGGTGACCTTCTCTAGGCATCTGGCCGAGGTAGAATTAACCCGGGGTCGGGGGGGGAGATGCACCTCTTCAACGCATTCCCCGTCACCTAACGGCTTTCCAGCCTGGCCGCCCCGATTCGCCCTCCGTCAGCCGGGTGAGCTTCTCTGTGCTTCAGATCTTCACTAACTGCTGGCATCGGCCACCCCTCAGGTTCTGCTCCGTTCGTGGGGGTTAAAGCGCACGTTCATGTTTTCATTGCATTTCCCTGATTGACGGTTGAGCTGAACATTAAAAACTGTGTGTATCGGTCATTCACGTTTCTTCTGTTTCGATTATGCTTGCCTCTGGCCCTTTCTCTTCCTTCTGGACTGATTGACTTCTAATTGATTTGTAGGGGTTCACGGTCCTTGCTAATCCTCTCTCAGCTGTAGGTGCAGAGATCTTCCCCCGGCTGACGGCTTGCATTTTTCCTTTGTGAAGTTTTCCTTGTATAAGATGCTTTAATTTTATTGTTGTCAAAAAGACTCATGTTTGAAGGTCACAGGCTTTTTATATCTTGTTTAATTAATTAATCCCTTCATAAACCTCAGGTTTATGAAGATATGATCTAATATTTCCTTCTCAAAGTCTTGTTCTTTACATTTACGGATTTATTCCGCCTGGGATTTATTTTTGTGTTTGGCAGGAAGTAAAAATCTAATCTTATTTCATTATGGAGATCCAGTTGTTACCGTAGCACCATTTAGGGCATGGTTAAAATAGTTCACACTGAATTGAACCCCTCCTCTGACATTTCTCAAGCTCTCCAGAGGCGAGCGGACCCGTTTCTGGGTGCTTTGGCCCCCTCAGCCAGTTTCCCCCTGAGCACGAAGGACCCTCACATGTGGCTGCTGTCACTTCCTGGGTGTTGATTTCTCATCTTCCTCAACTTCTTGGCTGCTCTGCACCCTCTGTTCTTCCTTGCTAATTTCTAACGAACTAGTAAGTTTTGTGAAAAGCCCTGTTGAAATTTGATTGGAATGTAAAGACGGAAATTGACGTCTCAGGGCACTGAGTCTCCTGTGCTTGGATGCAGGGCCGGTGGTCCTCACCTGCCGCTGCCAGGGCAGCCTGGTCTCTCCCACCTTCCAGAACCAGGCCCATTGCACTTCCTGCCCTGAGGCGAGCTGGGGCCACAGGACAGCCTGGGAGCAGCAGTGGCGTGGTGTGTGGCACATCAGGGCACAACTTGTCTTCACACACCATGCTCCCTCTGGCATGGTGTCCTCCAGCACAGGAGACAATGGCTCTGCCATCTGCACCCTCCCTCAACCTGCAGCAGACAGGAAATGTGAGCGAGGAACACGCTATGAGGTCTGAGATTGGCTGGCATGGGCCCTTGAAAGCCTGGTGGTCAATTTTCTGGAATTTTGCAAGCTGGTTTAATTCATGTTTGCCTGAAATCTGCTGTGGTGGGAAAATTCAAATGGTGGAAATCTGCAAATGCAGTCATCTGTACCTTTCCCCCCTGAAAGTGAGGCTTTTATTTATAATGTTCTCTTTCTTTTTTTGTCTTGAAATTTACTTTTTATTATAAAATTAATACATGCTTATTGTATACAATTCAAGAACATGGAAGTATGTAATTCTAGTCTCCAGAGGTAACCATTGTTTACAGCTTAGCGTGTATTGTTCCTCACTTAAAAAAAAGCCCCGACATTACTGAGGTTATGTGATTGAGACGCACAAAGCTGTAGCCATTTTATTTATTTATTTATTTGAGATGGAGTTTCGCTCTTGCCACTCAAGCTGGAGTGCAATGGCGTGATCTTGGCTCACTGCAACCTCTGCCTCCCGGGTTCAAGCGATTGTCCTGCCTCAGTCTCCAGAGTAGCTGGGATTACAGGCACCTGCCACTACGCCCAGCTAATTTTTGTATTTTTAGTACAGATGGGGTTTCACCATGTTGACCAGGCTGGTCTCGAACTCCTGACCTCAGGTGATCCTCCCGCCTCGGCCTCCCAAAGTGCTGGGGTTACAGGCATGAGCCACTGAGCCCGGCCTGTAGCTAGCTATTTTAGGTAAACAACGTGGCCAGTTTGGAGTTAAGTACGCACCTGTGAAGCCATTACGACCCTTTATGCCATAAACCTATTCATCTCCTCGAAAAGTTGCCTTGGGCTTTCTTATTTCTCCTTTTTCTTCTTTCTGTGATAGCAGATTTTCAGGTAGATGGTGTGGGGTTGGAGCGGCACGTGCTCTGCTGCAGAGGCGACCTCTAGGACTCATTGGCCCTGCCCACCCTGCGGCCTCTGACCACCACCATTCCACTTTCTGCTTCTGTGAGTTGGACTGTTGTAGGCCCACGACAGGATTTTCTTCCTGCTTAAGGCTGAATAGTATTCCGTGGTGTGTACAGCCGTCCCCCTTACCTGCGGGGGTCTTATGCAAGATCCCCAGGGGAGCCTGAAACCACAGCTTGTGGCCCCCAACCCGATTCCTGTCATCCACACACGTTCTTGTCCATGTCTCCACCCGCAGCTCTGCTGCCTGCCTCATCTTCACAGGGTGCCCGTCACACACTGTGGCCGCACCTTTTGCATTTCAAGGTGGGACAGCAACATTAGCATGAATTTCTTTTCCCTCTTCACAATTTCAGGGATGGAAGATTCGTTTTCACCATAGATCTCAGCAACCTCATCATACCGTTATTTTTTTTTTCCAGTACATCAAGAACTTTGACCTTTTCACTGAAAGGAAGCACTTTACATCTTCTCTTTGGCATATCTGAGTTGCCGGTATCACTGTTGTGGTTGGGGCCATTAGGAAGTAAAGCAAGGGTGAAGTGAACACAAGCCCAGCCGTACTGTGACCGCCAATCTGAAAACAGGGACAGCTACTGAGTGATTGACAGCAGGGTGGTGTGGACAGTGCTGTGACCGCCAATCAGAAAACAGGGACGGCTACTGAGTGATTGACAGTGGTGTGGTGTGGACAGTGCGGGTATAAAGGGAAGATTCAAGTCCCTGGTGGGAGGTACAAGATTTCATCACGCTATTCAGACCTGCATGCCATTTAAAATGTATGAATTGCTTATTTCTGTAATTATTTTATTATTTACTTATTTTTATTTTACTTTAAGTTCTGGGATACTTGTGCAGAACGTGCAGGTTCATTACATAGGTACGCATGTGCCATGGTGGTTTGCCGCACCCATCAACCCGTCATCTAGATTTAAGCCCCGCATGCATTAGGTATTTATCCTGATGCTCTCCCTCCCTTTGCTCCCCACCCCCCGACAGGCCCCCGTGTGCGATGTTCCCCTCCCTGTGTCCTTGTGTTCTCATTGTTCAACTCCCACTTATGAGTGAGAACATGTGGTGTTTGGTTTTCTGTTCCTGTGTTAGTTTGCTAAGAATGATGGTTTCTAGCTTCATCCATGTCCCTGCAAAGGGCATTAACATTCTTTTTTATGGCTGCATAGTATTCCATGGTGTATATGTGCCACATTTTCTTTATCCAGTCTATCATTGATGGGCATTTGGGTTGGTTCCAAGTCTTTGCTATTGTAAATAGTGCTGCAATAAACATATGTGTGCATGTGCCTTTATAGTAGAATGATTTATAATCCTTTGAGTATATACCCAGTAATGGGATTGCTGGGTCAAATGGTATTTCCGGTTCTAGATCCTTGAGGAATTGCCACACTGTCTTCCACGATGGTTGAACTAATTTACACTCCCACCAACAGTGTAAAAGCATTCCTATTTCTCCACATCCTCTTCAGCTTCTATTGTTTCCTGACTTTCTAATGATCGCCGTTCTAACTGGCATGAGATGGTATCTCATTGTGGTTTTGATTTGCATTTGTCTAATGACCAGTGATTACGAGCTTTGTTTTCATATGTTTGTTGGCCGCATAAATGTCTTCTGTTGAGAAATATCTGTTCATTTTCTATTTAATATTGTCAGGCTGGGGTTGATTGCGGGTAACCAAAACTGCGGAGAGTAAATCCTTGGGTGAGGGGGAAACTACTGTATACACCACATTTTCTTTACCCATTCCTTCACGGATCCACACGTCTTGGCTGTTGCTGACAGTGCCTCAATGGACATGGGAGCACAGACATCTGTGTGATATTCTGATTTTCTTTCCTTCAGATAGATACCCAGCAGTGGGATGGCTGGTTCCTATGGTAGCTCAATATTTAGTATTTTTAGGAACTGCCCCCATCCCGTACTGTTTTCCCTAGAGACTGTACTGATTGCATTCCCACCAACAGGGTGCCAGGGTCCCCTTCCCCCCACATCCTTGCCAGCGCTGGTTATCTTTTGTCTTTTTTTAATAGTCGTTCTGACAAATGTCAGGTGGTATCTTGCTGTGGATTTGGTTTGCATTTCCTGGGTGACCCTAATAAGCACCTTTCACATGCCTGTTGGCCATGTGTGTGTCCTCTCTGGAAAAATGTCTATTCAGGTCCTCTTCCCATTTTTAAATTGGATTGTTTATCTTTTTGCTATTGACTTTCAGGAATTCCTTAGACATTTTGGATCTTAACCCTTTTTAGGGATATGGTTGACAAATATTTTCTCCCAATCTGTAAGTTAGTTGCCTTTTACTTTGTTGATTGTTTTCTCTGCTGTGAAGAGCAGGGATTGTTATCTTATTTAAAATTTTTATTTTGGGTCTGGACATCCAGTTGTTAAACATTTACCAGCACGCCACTGACCACATCATTGCCAGCTGAAACTGCTGAGATCCTGAGTTTGTAATTCACTGCAGTGTAGCTTCTAGTTCCTGAAACAGTACAGCTCTCAGTTGATTCAGATCTCTGTGCTCTTCTGTAATACTGAAATTATTTTCATAGAAAACTTGCACATCTCCTCTTAGTGCTATTCCTACAGACTTCATACTTTTTGCTGCTCTAGATTTTTTAAAATCCCATGTTCAAATTGATTATCTCTACTGGAAACAATTCCCTTAACTTTTGGATATTAATATTGAATCCAGCATAGGGGCTGGAGTCCCCCATTAGGTTCCCTGGATAGGTGAGACAACCCTATTGCTACAAACAAGGATAGTTTGATTTCTTTCCAAATCTCATCCTGCAGTGCATTTTCTTCTCCTTCGTGTCATCAGGTACAAGTGGGGTCGCATAAATGGGCAGTGTGTTCGCGCCTTGTCCTGAGTTCAAGGAGAAGTTTCACCATTAAACGCGATTGTTGCAGGTTAGTAATACGCTTCCTCCAGCGTTAAAAGGATATTCTCTTCTATTACTTATTTTTTAAGAGTTTAAAAAAATGAACAATGAATTTAAAATTTTACCAAAGGGTGTTTTTTTATTTTTCACCTGGAGAATGATCTTCTGGTGTTTTTGTTTTGATTTTTTGGTGCGTGATATTTTATTATTAGAATTTCTGATTTTGAATTATCTTTGTATTGCTGGAGTAAATCCTATTACATCAGATTAAATAAACCTCCAAAAATTGAGTCATACAACGTCTCCTTTTTTTCCTTCTCCCAGGAACAGTTCATATAACGAAGGGTTGTCTTTGAAGGATTTGACTAGTCAATACTGGTTCAGATGATTTTGTTATGATGCTTTCATTCAGGTTATCTATTTTTTGGTGAGGTTTTGTAATTTGCATAGTGAGTTGTTATCTTTTTAAGGCTACTGTAACACGTTACCACAAACCGGTGGCTGAAAACAGCAGAAATGGGTTCTCCCGTGGTTCTGGAATTGGAAGGCTGAAATCAGGGTATGGCCAGGGTGGTTCCACCTGCAGGCCCTGAGGGAGGACCCGCCCTGGCCTCACACCCACCGCCCCCGCTGCTGGTGGGGCCATCGTCTTTGGTTCCTTGGCTTGTAGAAGCATCACCCCAATCTCTGCCTGTCACCACGTGGTGGCCCCCTTCTGGGGGGGGGTCTTCTCCTCTTCTTAGAAGGACACAGGTCATCGGATTAAGGGCCCACCCTAAACCAATATGACCTCATCTTAACTAACAACTCCAGGGACCCTATTTGCAAATAAGGTGACATTCTGAGGCTCGGGGTGGGCATGGGTTCAGGGGGGCCACTTTGACCCACTATGGTACGTGTGGGCCCCCCTGGCCACTGTCTCTCATCAGTGCTGGGTCCTCATGGCCAGTGGTCGGCAGACGACCCAGCTCCAGTCCTATTTCAAAGTTTGCTTTGTTGGAGCAGTCCAGGTGCCAGTTGTCCTAAGACGGCTTCTGGGGGCAGGTGGGGATGTGTGTGCAGCAGGCTGGCATGGAGGGCTCCCGGAATCAAGGCCCGGGGGGAGAGAGGGAAGCAGAAATGGGCAGAAGGAGATGCCCCACTGGGATGCGGCCTCAACACAGGCCCCTGCCCAGCCACGGAGTGTCCTGGGCCCAGGATGACACTTTAGTGAGGCTCTGAATCCAAGCCACGAGGCCATGCCTGGGCTGTGGTCTCTGGTCCCCTCCCCAGTAACGGAATGAGACCCACTCCCAAAGAAGGGCATGACCCGGGGTGAAGCAGCCCCCTCTGTCCCAGGGCAGTTCCTGGGAGAGGTTCAGCTGTGGACTCGTCACCAATTACCAGACACTTTGGTCCTGAGGGGACATTTGACAGCCACTTCTGCCTGGGGCCAGTGTCACCAGGAGGTGCTTGTGTATGGCTTGGGAACACCCCTGCCATGCGAGTCCCTACAGACCCTTGCTCCAGCCAATCCCCCTCCCCGCTGAAACTGTGACCAGGCACCTGCCTGCTGCCTGGCCCCAAAGAGGGCGCACTGGGCAGATGCTGCCCTGATGGCGTGGGCAGGGGGCCTGGACCCTGACTGTGCTTGCTCTGTGCCTGAGGCCGTTCTCCGCTCCCCCTCCTGCTCCTGTGCCAGTGACCCCACTTACTGAGCGCCACATGTCCTTGGCTCACACGTTGTCTGGGCTGAATCATGTCCCCTCAGATTCATATGTTAAAGTCCTAACCTCCAGGACCGCAGCGTGTGGTCTTATTTGGGGATGGAGTCTTTCCGGCAGTGATCCAGTTACATGACAGCATTAGGGTGGCTCGAATCCAGGGTGGCTGGTGTCCTTACAAACAGGAAACGTAGGCACAGAGACAGACATGCACACAGAAGACCATGTGAGGACACAGGGAGAAGGCGGCCGTCCACACGCCAAGGAGCGAGGCCTCAGGAGAAACCACCCTACTGACGCCTTCATCTCAGATCCCCAGCCTCCAGGGCTGTGACGTGGGACAGTAAACGGTTGTTTAAGCCACACAGTCTGTGGTCCTGTGTTACTGCAGCCCCAACTGAGGAACACACATGCATTCTCTTATTTAATTTTCACAGTGACCCCAGGAAGGTTGGCCATTATGCCTATTTCCCAGACAAGGAAACCGAGGCTTGCAGAATTTGAGTGACCGCAGTCACCCAGCCAGTAAGTACTGGGGAGCTGGGAACTGACCAAGACTGTCTGCCTTGCAGTGCCCCCGAATCTGGCTGTGGCCTTCAGCCTGACCCTCGTGGGTCCCTTAGTCTCACCCCCAGGAATCTGCTGCCTTAGAGTGGACTCCACGCTGGGGGTTCCCAGGCTGCTGCCGGAGGCGCCAGGCCCTGACTCCATGGAGCCCCCAGAGCCTGTCTCCTCCCAGCTCCAGATCAGCCCTGTGACACCATCGTTGCCGTCCTCTCTGCTCTGAGTCCCGGGAAGGCCAGGAGCCACACACCTCCTGTGCAGAACATGGACTGGAACCCTGGGTTTTCCTCCCAGGAGCCCTCAGCCCTGTCTGCACTTGGGGCTCCCCTAGGGAGCACAGCCAGGACTGCTGCCTGGGCCCCCAACACACGAGGACAGATTTCAGGGCACTAGGCTGGGCCACAGGCCCAACCAAGCCACCCCATGCTCACGGGCATCATGGGTTGGGGGTCCCCGTCTGGAGTCAGACAGTGCTTCTAACAGTGAAGGCAGCCCCCACCTCCATTGAACAGGCCCCATGCTGTGCCTCCTCCTGAGACTGTGCCATGGATATTTGGGGGCCAGTCAGGGTCTGGAAGCTTCCAGGAGCTGGAGCTGAGTGCTGTCCTTGGCCTGGGTGCTCACCTCAGTGGCAGCCGCCCAAGGTGCCCTCAGCCCTAATGAGCTGGCCGTCCCTTGATGCCTGAGAGGCAGGTACACAGGAGTGAGGCTGGAAGCAGGCTCTTCACGCGCTGGCTGGCAGGCAGGTGCAGCACTGGGTGGTGCAGGGGCCTCTCTAGCTTGTGGCAGGTGAGCCACCTGGACAAAAACCCCTGGGAAAATGTGCATTCCACTCCAGAGCCTCCACCGAGACAGCCACACGGACTCTGGGTTTCCTCTACCCCCTCCGCACACACCTGAGTAAATCCATGCATCAGTTTGAAGTGGAATGTTCCTGCCTAGAGTGTTCCTAATGGGATAGTAAGGATTTCTTTCTTTCTTTCTCCAGTGCTTGTTATAATGGATGTCGGTGATCAGGGATACTCATTAGTCCTGGTTTCAAAGCCGCTCAGGCGTGAGCAGGTGGGGTCCAGGCTGGGTCCCTCTCTACTGGGGGTGCAACTCTGACCCAGGTGGTCAGGCCAGAGCACCGTGCCCCTAACTTGGCCCAAAGCAATTTGTCTCAACCAAAAGTTCAGCCTCAGAGGAGTATTGGGTAGAAGAGAAATGTTCACCCCTGATTAGATGGCATAAATAAACCAAGAGAGACTAAAAAGAAAAAATTCGTGTTTAGTTTGTAAGAAAAATCCTCTCTTTCTACCTAATGTGTCTGGGAGGAGCCATCATTGCTCAGCAGCTGTTTTCACAAGGGTTAAACACGGCATCGGGTTCTTTATTCTTTGCCAATATTCTGTTTTATACAAGAAGCACCAGTAGCTTGTCTAAAAAGAAATTTGAAATAAAGTGACAAAGGGAAACATTAGACAAAATTATGGTTTAGGCTGGGCATGGTGGCTCATGCCTGTAATCCCAGCACTTAGGCAGGCAGAGGCAGGTGGATCACTTGAGGTCAGGAGTTCGAGACCAGCCTGGCCAGAATGGCAAAACTCGTCTCTACTAGAAACACAAAAATACACACACACAAAAAGATTATGGCTTACTATTACCAATATTAAAAAACTGGTTATGGTTCTACACATTTTCTCAGGCACACACAGCAGAGGGTAGGGATGACTGAGTCACAGGGAACTGGGAATGAAGAAGGGCAGAGGGGACGGGACATCCGGCCACCTCAGTAAAGATCACAAAACCGACGCTTCACACACAGAACTTCACACTCTCACAATCAGCAAAGAGTCACAAAACCGACACGGCACACACAGAGCTTCACACTCTCACAACAGCAGCAGCAAAGAGCTGTTTTTTTGTTTTCTGTTTTTTTTTTTAGATAAAGTCTTGCTTTGTCTCCCAGGCTACAGTGCAGAGGTGCCATCTTGGCTCACTGTAGCCTCAAACTCCTGGGCTCAAGCGATTTTCCTACCCAAGCCTCTCAAGTAGCTGGGACTACAAGTGTGCACCACCATATCTGGCTAATTTTTTAATTTGTTGTTTTTTAGTAGAAATAGGGGTCACGTTTTGTTGCCCAGGCTGGTCTTAAACTACTGGGTTCAAGTGATCCCCCTGCCTCAGCCTCCCAAATTGCTAGGATCACAGGCGTGAGCCACCAAGCCCAGCTTTGCAAAGAGTCATTTCAGACCAAATGGCCTTTAACATATCATTATGGTAGTTCCCTTGCTTTCAGCCACATTATATTTAGCCACTTTCTATTTTAGCGAATTGTTCTTGATCACAGAACTGGCCATGTCTCCTCTTCTGCATCAGAAGCCCAGCTTGCATCCTCCCAAACCCACCAGAGCCTTGATGCTCCATGATTCTGTTGGGAAACTAACTCACCGACCCTAATGACCGGAGACCCAGGGGATTTCAACAGGTAAGGAAACAACATTGACAACTGCAGGCCCTCCATGGGCCTCCCCGAGCCGGGGTATGTGGGTCAGCTCGGGCTCTGTGACAAATGCCACAGGCATTTACCCTCCCACAACTCTGGAGGCTGGAGTCCAAGATCAAGTTGTGGGCAGGGCTGGTTTCTACCAAGGCCCCTCTCCTTGGCAGGTAGACGGCATTTTCTGCCTGCGTCCTCACACGGTCACCCTCTGGATGTCTGTGTCCTCATCTCCTCTTCTTATAGGACACCGGGCATCCTGGGTCAGGGCCCACCCCAGTGACCTCATTTAATCCTAATCCCTTGTGTCAAGGCCCTGACACAGAGCACAGTCATGTTCTGATGTCCTGAGGTTGAGGCCTCAGCATAGAGCACAGCCACGTTCTGATGTCCTGAGGTTGAGGCCTCAGCATAGAGCACAGCCACGTTCTGATGTCCTGAGGTTGAGGCCTCAGCATAGAGCACAGCCACGTTCTGATGGCCTGAGGTTGAGGCCTCAGCATAGAGCTTTGAGGAGGCACAACTCAGCCCAGAGCACAGGTCTCAGCCCAGAACACTGCAAAGGCCCCTGGGCCAGCAGATGCTGCTGAGCTCCGCTCCGGGTTGGGTTGGTCCCAGGGCAGCGAAGGAGTCTTAGCAGGTGCCGGCCCCAGGGCAGGTGGCTGCAGAGATACATGAAACATACATGAAACACACAGAGCCCCAAGAGCTTGCACATGCAGCCTGCTGCCGTGAGACACTGGGCTGAGGAGAGACCAGGTATGGGTTCCGTGTCCGGCCTAACTTGCTATTTGAGGTTGGATGCATCTGTTCGACTTTGTGTGCCTCAGTTTTCTCATCTGTAATACTGGATGAGATGGGCCAGTTCATAGTTCCAAGACTGCCTAAGCCTGTGCTTCAGGACCTCCTGGGGAGCCTGGAGGGGCCTGGGAGGCCGGGCTCCTGAGGGAGATCCAAGGCTGAGGTGCGTTGGAGCCATAGCCCTTCGTGGCTTCTCAGAGCCCTCTCGGGCTGGGGCTGTGACCCACGTTACCCTGGGTGTGAGAAGTTCTCCTTTAAATCATCAGGTCCTCGTCCAGCTGCTGAAGTTACTAACTTATGGTTCTGCAGAGAGGAAGCCATTTTGCCTCCACCACCGCAGCCTGGCACACAGAGTTCCGGGGTTCTCACCCAAGCTGGCTGCTTCAGTAGCTGTTTCTTGGGAATTGAATGCATATGTGATGTGCCCAGGTGAGGGTCCTGTAAAGCAGGAGATGGGCAGGGGGAAGCAGCGTGAGTCGCAAACCAGTGGGAGGGTGCAGGGCCACTGCCTCTCTCTGGCTTCACAAGCTGGCCCCAGATGAGTGCCATGGGAAGGGGCCCTCTGCCTGGCTGGGAGGTCAGGAGGCCGCGGGTGACTGCTCACCTCCTCAGACTTGCACCAAATCCAGGGATCAACAGTTCTCTCCAGTGCTTTTCCTCACCAGCAGTCGGCCCCAGGCCCACAGGCCTCGAGATTTCAAAGGTGGCCACCCCTACCACATGCCCCAGGAGCAAATGAAGTCCAGAGAGAGAGATTCAGCACCCTTTCCGAGCCTGCAGAGAGGCAGAGCCACTCACAACCTGCACCTGGTGTGTGGAAGGCGGCCTGATGCTGGAGGCAGCACACACCTGGCCTCTACTCCTTAACCAGCTGTGCGACCTTGGTGGTGGCTGGCCCTTCTCTGGGTACAGGGTCCTTCCCACAAGGCTGGGTCAGTCTCTTGGAGATCATTCACAGGCAGGTGCTGTCCTTGCTGTGTTTGTTGGGGGACCATCTGGGATGGGGCCCTGGTGTGGTGGGGTAGAGGGAATTGGGAGAGAAATGGGGCCAGGGGCAGGCATAAATGCTGCAGTGGGATGGGCAGTGGGCCTTGGCAGCGAGAGGGTGAGGAATGTGGTCTCACCGTGTCCCCACTCGGGGATGCCAGCTGGTCCCCAGCCAGCGGCTTTGGCATTTCCTGGGAATGCCAAAGTCTCCCAGGAGTGCAGAGTGCAGAGTCTCAGGCCCCGCTGCCTCTGGGCATGCGTTTCCAGCAGCACCCAGAAGAGGCCTGTGCACGTCAGACCTTGGAGGCCCTGGCTCAGGGATGTCTCCCACTCCAGCCCGAATGCACAGAGGGAGGCGTTCAGCAGAATTTAACTGAAGCTAATAAAAGCCCCTTCCTGTTTCCCAGCCATCATCATTCCTGCCGCCTGACCTCTACCCCGCACCCTGCAGTTTGGTGTGGGTACTGGCAGATGGGCTGCCACTGTCACTGCTCCTCGCTGGCTCTGATGCCCAGGAAGGGCTGCCGTGATGCTTGCATTTGCCCGGACTCAGAGAGGAAGGACTTGCACCCCAAGGAGTCACTGCATGTGTGAAGGCAGGGCTGGCTCTTCCAGAAAGGGCAACAATGCCATTCGTATAGGGTTGCTGGTGGCACTGAGAGGCAAGGCTGGGACGGGGTGGGAGACAGCCACCCTGAGTGGAGGCAGCTGGGAGAGCCGGTACATCTGCCCTTCACGGCAATGGCGCTAGGTTGGTGGAGCCGCCAGAGCCGTGCTCAGAAGGATTCTGAGGTCCTTTGCAGACACAGTCAGCAAGGATGTCTTGGGCCCTCAGTAACAAGCAGAGGCTGGGGCAGGCCCCTGTGCCAAGCATCCACCCTTTGATTTAGGTGAAAAACTCTGGTGCCGAACAGACTGGATCAAACCCTGGGCTCAGCACTTGTGTACTGTGTGGCCTGGGCACAGATGTGCTGGTGACTCTCCCAGGAAGGGGTTGAGCTGGGGGAGTCGAATCTGAGCAGGAAGGGGGTGTTGTCAGATGGAGCAGGGTAGGAGCAAGTGCAGAGGCCTGGGGTGTAACACCATGGCAACCCAGTATGCCTGCAGAGTGAGGCATTGTGGTGGGAGGCAGGAAAGGAAGGCCGCCTGCAGGAAGTCTTCCAGGATTGCTCCAGCGCACGCTCAGGTGAAGCCAGCCTCCTGGGTCATGCGCCCACACTTAGAGTTTCCGACGTACCACCTTCCAGCTGTCTGATCTTGGACAATAGCTCCACTGTGACTCCTGCAGGGTATGGACCACAGTGGTGTCTCCCCCAAAGAGGGAACCTGAGAGTCAAGAACATGGTTCTTGGCAAGCTCTGCCAATGGTGTCTGGCACAGTCCAAGCTGCAGCAACGTGGTTGGCATCATCAGGTCTGGGAACATCTTTCCCTCAATCACATTCTGGGGTCAGGGATTCCAGCTTCTTCTTCCACATCGTTTCTTAGGCCCAGCCCGCAACTGGGCACGACACAAGAGCATCCTGGATTCCTGCCCCACGATGGCTTCTCCAGGCCACGCCCCTCCAAGGGCACTGTTCTCCCTGAAAACTCAATGCAGCTCCTGCTCCAGGGGCGACGACTGCCTCGCTTTCTTCCCCCTCCCCCTCTTCCCCTCTCCCTCTTCCTTCTTCCCCTTCCTCGCCTCCTCCTTTCTCTCCTCCTCCTTCTCCTCTTTCTTGTTTTTACTACCTTTGAAATTGGTTTTTAAATTGTCCTTTAAAATAATATTAATTTTCACTTTGTAAGTATTAAAAAACTCATAAAGAATATAAAAATAAAAATAAAATCT